>NC_000008.11:31375254-31678284 GCF_000001405.40 Homo sapiens | reverse complement strand
TTTCAGAGGCTAGGGGATAAAGGGGCATAGAATAAGTATGTAGCCTTTCCTATGCTAACTTGACCATGGAACCTTTTATTTCAGGCTAAAACAAAACACTATTAGAAAATGCTGCCCTGTGAGCTTGTAAGTCAGAGGAAATTCATGACATAATTCAAAGAGTTTAAAGGTTGCTAATAAATAAATAAATAAATAACAAGTTAAAAGGGTTTTCTGGTTGTTGGTTTCGTTTATGTGTAGTTTTTTTTTTTTAATTTATCATTGGCAGAAAGCCAGCTGAAGAATCAGATGAACTTATAAAAATAAGTGCAGTACATAGATGAATAAAAGATAGGAAAGGGAATAAATCCAACTTCTGAGGTATATTTTACCAAAGAGAATATTTGAAAACAAATTCTCTTCTGAAGTAAGCAGTCTAAATATGCTAAATTCAGGAAAAATAAATGCAAGGGATGTACTAGGCCTAACTGACAAATAAAAGTAAAATAAATCACCAGGATTGAATGGTATCCAACCAGGAGTTCTAGTGGATTTGAGGACAACTTCGAATTTGTAGTCAAAGTTACATAAAGACTCATAGAAATAGCCCAAGGACTGGCTGCCGCGAGTCTGAAAATGATCCAATACATTAAATTTTACTGTGGATTTGTTGGAAGTATACTGTATGTTGATGAACTTTTTGAGACAGGGTCTCTCTGTCACTCAGGCTGGAGTGCAATGGCATGATCTCAGCTCACTGCAGCCTCAAATTCCCAGACTCAAGTGATCCTCTGACATCGGTGGATTTTCTACTAGAGAACAGATTCTGACAATTAAGTTAGAAAAATGTTATAGGAGAAAAGCCACAGATAGGGATATCAAACCTATCCATATCTATATAGAATCTATTTAGAATCCATAGATTCTATATCCCTACATAGATTCTATATCAATAGATAGACATAGATAGATAAAAAACACTTGAAATTTTTTAAGTGGTAGATAAATTGAGACAGGATATAATGTTTATTTAGACTTTTAAACATGTCTTAAGACACATTCTTAAACAAAGGCTTTAAATATTGAATTATTATCAAAAGCGATGTCCTATCCCAGATAGGAAACTGGCTGGGTGGCAGAAAACAAAAGCAAGACCTAAGCAAAATTTCAAATATATTTCATACAGGGATTTTAGTGTGAAAACTAGTCTCATTTTCATACTACTGAAAATGGAGCACATGGCAAACATTCAGGTTTAGAATTGAGTAGTTAAATGCCAAGCTGCTAGAGACAAGCAAGGGAAGGTCATCAAGCACTGTGCAGGCAATGACTAGGGTCAGAGTCCATATCAACCATGAAAGCTCCCATTCAGGGATGCTTGCAGAGTGCCAGACATCACGTGAGACACTTTGTATGCATTACCTTATTTCATTTCTACAACTTCCCATGTAGGTAATTCATATTTTATTCCACAAGTTTACAGATTAGGAAATTAAAGTCTAGAGAGGAAAGTAATTTCCCCAAAGATCATATAGGTAAATGGATGGCAGGAAGTGGTAGCTGCCAAATGGCAGAGCTAAAATTTGAAACCTGGCTGCTGATTCCAGAATCCTTGCTCTTAACCACTGCACAAGTGGATCTCACATGTGCGCATGCACCAGAACCCCTGGAAGGTATATCAAACACGGACTGGAGGGTTCAACCTCCCAGGCCTTTCTGATTAAGCAGATATGGGGTGGGTCCTGAGTTTGCATTTTTAACAAGCTGTTGCTGCTGATGAGTGGTTCACACTGTGAGAACCACTGCCCCACCTAAATGGTCTAAGCCATAGGGAATGAAATGGAAAAGAAAGAGATCATAGTAAGAATGGCCTCTGGGTCCCTGACACGAGGAAATCTTGGGGAAGAAAGTTGTCAAGGATTAAAGAAGAAAGGAAGGAAGCATCCATAAATTGGGGTCAAGCTATGATCGCATGGAAATATTGTTGGGTCTTTGGGGACCCAAAATTTACTATCGGGAGGCATAAAGTCTCCTTGGGACCCCAGGCAGCCTAAAACTATTCAGACTATCTTTGAGCACAGTATAAACTTACGGGCAAAAGGCTGTTCCCATGCTCAGGATCTCCCGACTCTCTAAGACCCACCACTAATCTTACCCACCTACAATCCAAAGCCTGGAATTCCTTTCACAGGAAATGCAACATTACACATTACAATCAGAAATGGAAGCTTGAGATGGAAATAAGCCCTAGAAAGTGAATATATCATTAATGGATTTCATTTAAAATATAAATGACTGCTTATAGATTAGCCACGGGTCTAATATAACACGACATATATGATTTTCTTAAAATTGCAGAAATTCAACTATTGCTTTGGAGAGGAAGCATGGCACTACAGAAAAGGCACAAAATTTGGTATCAGAAGTCCTATATTTGGAAATAAATGACTTCTGACAAGTCATTTTCTTCACCTGTAAAAGAGGAATAATAATTCTTCACAGAGATGGGAGGACCAAATGTGATCATATTTATGGAAGCATTTGGTCATCTATAACTCATTTTTTTTCCAATTGTAAGGTGTTATTACTACATTTAGGAATAATACACTGTATATCAACTGCTACCAGATATGCACTGTCTTTAAGTTTCTCATGTACAATGATGCCCAGTGTTTTTTTATAAACAAGAGATGCCTTCTAGGCCCAAGAAAACAAAAGCTCCAAGTGGAAATCCAGCATTCTTGCAAATTGGACTTGATAACATTTCTCCATGTCAATTCAGTAGGGAAAATCTAAAACTAAAGGAGAATTCAAACAATTTAGTATTTAGGCAAAGACAGACTCAAGTGGACTGGGCAGAAGTATTGAGTATATCAGCCCTCAGTAAAGCTTCATCTTTGCCTATGGACACTGCAGCCAGTATGTTCTTATGACAAAACTCTACAGCAGCAACTTTTTTCTTTTGAGATGGAGTTTTGCTTTTGTCACCCATGCTGGAGTGCAATGGCACAATCTCAGCTCACTGCAACCTCCACCTCCAGGTTCAAGTGATTCTCCTGCCTCAGCCTCCCGAGTAGCTGGGATTACACGTGTCCACCACCACGCCCAGCTAATTTTGTATTTTTAATAGAGATGGGGTTTCACCATGTGGGCCAGGCTGGTCTTGAACTCCTGACCTCAAGTGATCCATCCACCTCGGCCTCCCAAAGTGCTGGGATTACAGGCATGAGCCACTGTGCCCAGCCACTTTTTTATTTCTTTTAATGGGATGTGGCTGAGTGTGAACTGCTGTCCTGACATCTTACTCTAAAACCTGTAAAAGCTCAGGCTGGGCCTCCACCTCTGTGGGACCTCAGAGAAGGGTCCTGCATCCAAGGGCCTGAAAATGGAGTAAGGAAAGGATAGTGCTACCCCACAGTACAAGGTAAATTAAAGACCTACATTCCCCCCTTCATATGCTGAAAGCAAAGATGAATGTGAAGAAAGGATGCTACGAAGGACATAGCCATTGCATGATGGTGGCTGAGTCTATCATGGCTTTGGTAATCTTTAAGGCTTTAGGGTAACTGTTGACTACAGTAAATTCAGGTCAAAAACTTTGAATATTCATCTGTAATCTGTTTAAACTAGGTGCTATATGCTAGGTATCACTAGGGACTTCATACTAAACAAAGCTTACAAGATCTTGAGTAAGCCTCAAGAAGGCATGAGTATTGGGTTAAAGATTCCTCTTTAAAAAAAAAAAAAGTACCCAGATGCATAGATGAAAGATAAACGGGGATCCATCAAAATAAAATATACTGTGTTTCACAGGACACCATTCAGAAAGTAAAAAGGTAACTCACTGACTAGGTGAAAGTATTTGAAAATCATATATCCAATAAGGGACTTGTATCCAATAATAATAATAAGTATTGGCAAGGATGTAGAGAAAGTGAAACCCTTATACGTTGCGGGTAGAACTGTAACATGTGAAACTGCTACCTTGAAACAGATTTACCATATGACCCAGAAGTTCTACTCCTAGGTAAAACTACTCAAGTAGAATTAAAATGTATGTCTGCACAAAGATTTGAACACACTAGCCATAATAGTCAAAAAGTGGAAACAATCCAAATGTCCATTAACTGGTAAATGGATAAATAAAATGTAGT
This sequence comes from Homo sapiens, assembly GCF_000001405.40. Lineage (NCBI taxonomy): Eukaryota > Metazoa > Chordata > Mammalia > Primates > Hominidae > Homo > Homo sapiens. The sequence continues at coordinate 31,674,151 of NC_000008.11, read as the reverse complement.
AACTGCATACAACAGAATATTATTTGGCAATCTGATTCATGCTAAAACATGAATGAACCTCAATAACTTTACACTAACTGAAAGACACCAGACACAGAAGGGCATATACTGTATGATCTCATTCATATGAAATGTCTAGAAAAGGTAAATCTATAGAGATAAGAAGTAAATTATTGATTGACTGGATTTAGGAGTGGGAACAGTTACCTGATTTCTTTTGGGGGATGATGGAAATGTTCTAAAATTAGATTATGGTGTTGGCTTCATACAACTCTAAATTTACAGATTTTACTAAAAATCATTGAACAGTATACTTTAAAGGAGAATTTTATGGTATATTTAAATTTTTAATATTTGAAAGTCATAGACCATCCTGACTATGAATCTCACCATGAAAATTAAGATATTTATAGAGTAATGTGCCACTTATTCTGACGTCATGCTTCTAGAAAACTTGACTTTCTTAAAACAACCAGAACATGACAAAAGAGTAAAAGACCTCCAAACAGGGAATATAATCATCACTGCTAAATGCATGCACTTTAGACTACAGGAGAAAATAGACAGTCCTTCCCCTGCCTCTACCCAGACCTAAGATTAGAACTCAATGACTTATTAAATGTACAAGTACAGGGCATCTGATTTAATAAGCTTGATGATCTGGTTTTCCTCAGTAGCTACCATTAACAAAGTGACAGGTAATACTGAGGAAAGGTTCAGAAAGCAAAGACTATCAAAGCATAGTTATTAGTCTCATCAGCCCCTCACAACTCAATGCCACTGAGGGTAAAGCAGCAATGATCTTTTCAAGGACCACGTGGCCAGCAAGAGTAATGGTGTCTGTTATACAAGAGTGGAAAGAGAATCAGTGTTTCTCTAAATGAGGTCATCAGAATGGCTCTAGGTGATTATTTATGATACGGATTCTCTTCTCTCCCACCAAATCTACTAAATCAGAACCTCTAGGGATGATGTCTGAGTATCTGCAAGTTTAACAAAGACCCTAGCTGATTCTTATATATACTACAATTTAAAACATAAACGACTTTTTATTTAGAGAATGTTAGAAAGAGAAGGAATTTTGATGATCATCTAATCAAAACCTCATATATCAGAGACAAGAATGTTGCACTCCAATGTGGTAATATTATTTTCCAAGATCTCCCAGTGTTTCTTTAAACTCTTAAAAAAAAAAAAAAACTATGATTCTAGCCCTATACATTGTAAAGCATATTTATGACACAAAGGAATGTAAAATATATCTTGGAAATATATTATTCAAAGATTGATGAAGATAAAATGCTTAATCATTTAAAGGGATATATTTCTGCTCTCAGGAAAATTAATCTAGAGCACCTCATTACTCGAGGATGCCAACTAAATGAGTCATCATAATAGTTAAATTATTTTTCCTTGTTGGTATGCTCAGTTTAATTATTGCAATTTTTCCTTATAAACCTATCTTCCTTAAGAAAATATATAGGTTATATGACAAAAAAATCAGTATTCTTACAAATTATTCAGCCAATATTAAGTTATCATTTGCTCTGAAAACACATATTTCCTGTGCTACATGCCATATTTTTTAAACACAACCTCAATTTTCCTGTACATGGGTTCTAAAACATGAGCTAGCAGGAACAGCTCTTGTTCAAGAACCTCAGAAATCCTAACACCTAAACTGGTCCAGATGGTCACTTCACAGGAATCTTTTGTCTATAGCCTTTATCACACTCATGGCTTCGGTGAAACTATCTGCATTCCATCTTTGTTAAATGAATATGACATTTTTTAATGGAATAAATAATGCCTGCCAATATCAGAACTCTCTAGTTCTGGGAATATTGATCTAATGGTTTGTCTACTACCAAGCTAAGTGTCTAACACCTTGTTAATGGTAGAAATGGAAAAAAAACTCTTCACAAAAAGCAATCATATACATTAGGCTTGCTGAGGTAGGAAACATTCTCAGTACCACCCTACCCAACTATGGTGAATTACACTGTGCTGATACTTAACAGGGAGGAAAAAACACCTAGATAGGAAACATTTCTCACACTGACAACTGAAAAAGCTTTAAGATGAGCAAATCCAAATAGACAGGAAATTTAATTACAGTAAGACCTCTTATAATAGTGACATTCAATACATTTTGTATGCAACATTTTGACAGCTGATCTTAATCCTTCTTCTCTCTTCCTCTTTCATCTCTATATTGCTATCTTTTTTTATTGCTGATAGATTGTGAGAGACCTAACATATGTCTTGAGAACAGCTCTATTTTCTGCTATTGAGAATGGTTCCTCAAATCCAGAAGTCATCTTTTGTACGTATCTTTTTTCCTACTGACATTGATTTTCTCCTCCTGTAAAATTAATGATAGTCTGTGAACTCCTCCCTCTCCTAAATCTTACTTATGTCCCACGAAAATGTTCCCTTTGCTCCTTTCATGATGCCACCACTGCATTCCAAGAATTGTTCAGAAAGCTTCTTAAATCAACAAAAGTCATTAATTATAAATCTACTGGCTAAAACAAAAGCTTGACTTGTGTTTGCCTCTCCTCTGTCTTTAAGAAGGAAGATTTATTAAGCAAATTAATCAGAGTGAAACTAAGAGTGAAACCCAAAATACATGTGCATCCTTTAGAAACAAACCTGTTCATAAATTGCTGCTGAAATATACATGATAATTCTCTTCTGCCTGATAAGTTTGCCAGCTACATAAAAATCCGCTATCCCCAACTAATTGGTTGCACAATAGTATACATATGGAAACAGATACTTTAAAAACAAACAAAAATAAATAAATAAAAAGGTTTTGATCTTCTATTTTTCCCTGGTAGCCTGTCGTCTTCTCTCACTGCAGAATAGAATAGTGAACTTCCTCAACACACTTTCTCTCTAGGAAGTCACATACAAAGTTCAAAGGGAAGTATCTGGTAGAAAACACCTCTCAAAACTCAAGTTATGTTTTGTTTGTTGATTTGAGTTCCTTACAGTTATTAAAAAAAATGAGATCATGGCCTTTGAAGCAACACAGATGGAGCTGGAGGCCACAATCCTAGGTGAATTAACACAGGAACAGAAAACCAAATACCACATGTTCTCACTTATAAGTGGGAGCTAAATATTCAGTACACTTGGATATAAAGATGGGAACAATAGACACTGGGACCTATTTGTGGATTGAGGGCGAGAGAAGGGTGAGAACTGAAAAAGTACCTATCGGTTATTATGTTGATTACCTGGGTGATGAAATTATTTGTAAACCAAACCCTTGCAACATGCAATTTACCCAAGTAACAAACCTGCATATGCACCCCCTTGAACATAATATAAAAGTTGCAAAGAAAAAAAATAAAAACCCAAGTTAAAATAAAAGAAATATAAGGCCCTGGTTCTCTTGGTTTTCATGACACTGCCCACCAAGTACCACCACCTATCAGGATCAGAGAGATAAAAACTTAACACCTAGTGCCAAAATGTAATGGGAGCCAATCTTGATATTCATATGAAACCACTTATGATCCCTTTCTCTGATCATCTCTGTCAGAAGGTTTATTTTCGACAAAAAAAAAAACAAAGAGAATGACAATTCTCAGCTGTACAGTAGTACATTTCTGCCAATATTCCCATTTCCTGTTTACCACCTTTCGGTATCTTCCTGATTTCAGATACATAGATAATGTGATTAAATGGAATACTTATTTTATGAGGTAATGGCAATACAAGATTTATTAATGATCTTTGATTGAAAGGATAAAGTCAGGTTGGGAGAGTGTAAAACGTAAAATAAAAAGGAAGGCCTGCAGTGTAGGAGCTCAGGGATTGGAGAGGAGGGGCCAGTGAACAAAACAAAAGCAAAGGAACTAGAACACAGCAGTGGTGACCCCCGTGAGTAAGAACTCAGTGCTGGATGGATGACTTTTAGTAAGTTTTTGTCCTAAAAAATAACATGGAAAATTTTTTCAATGATTTGCAGAGCTTTGAGAGAAAAAGATGAAAGCTGGCTGGGGGAAGGTGGTAGGAAAATAAAAATGAAAAGGAACTAAATGCACAGAAATGTCTTAGTCCTGAATTTCTCTAAGTCTACAACTGAGACCTAAAATTTTCCTTTCTATAAAGCACATGTTGTACCAAGACTCCTTATCTCTATATGGGTTTATGGGTTGAGCATCCCTCATCTGAAAATCTGAAACCTGAGATACTCCACCATCTGAAAATTCTGAGCACCAACATGACACCACAAGTGGAAAATTCCACACCCAATCCTCATGTGACCAGTCGCAATCAAAACACAGGTGCACACACATGCTTTATTCAATGTCCCCAAGGGAAAAAAGGCCCTCCCAGCCTCCTTCATCTGTGATATATCTTTTCTGTGCACACCAGATATGCATGTCATATTTTTTACTGTTAAGTACTTATGCGTGAATAAGTGTAAGAACACAAAGCTTATCAGTAGCATATAAATTCAGAGTCAGGAGTGACGGTGATGCCAAAAAACCACAGACTGTCCACATGGGAGACTGAGACAGTAATCCTTTTTTTTCTGATGGTTCAATGTACACAAACCTTATTTCATGCACAAAATTATTAAAAATATTGTATAAGGCTGAGTGCAGTGTCTCATGTCTGTAATCCCAGAACTTTGGGAGACCAAGGTGGAAGGGTTGCTTGAGCCCAGGAGTTCGAGACCAGCCTGGGCAACATGGCAAAACCCCATCTCTACAAAAAAATACAAAAATTAGCCGGGCATGGTGGCACATGCCTGTAATCCCAGCTGCTTGGGAGGCTGAGGCAGGAGAATCGCTTGAACCTGGGAGGTGGAGGTTGCAGTGAGCCAAGATTGCTCCATTGTGCTCCAGCCTGGGCAAAAGGGAAAGACTCCATTTCAAAAAAAAAAAGAATACAAAAATTAGCTGGGCATTGGCATGGTGCTGCAGGCCTGTAGACCCATCCCATCTACTAGGGAGGCTGAGGTGGGAGGATCGCTTGTGCCCAGAAGGTCAAGTCTGCAGTGAGCCATGACCGCACCACTACACTCCAGCCTGGGGTGACAGAGCGAGACCTTGTCTCAAAAAACAGAAAAAGAAAAATATTATGTAAAATTACCTTCAGGCTATGCGTATAAGTTGTATATGAAACATAAATGAACTTCATGTTTAGACTCAGATCACGTCCCCTCTATATCTCATTATGTATAAGCAAATATTCCACAAAAATCCAAAATCCAAAACACTTCTGGTCCTAAGAATTTCCCATAAGAGATACCCAATCTGTAGTAGCCTGAGTTATACATAAAGCAGCCAAACTGTTCTATGCTGATGATATCATTTATTAACTCCTTCAATGATTACAGGATTCCTGCTATATGCTGTACATTATGCCAGGAACTGTATCTGTAAACTCATAGAAAACATACTTTTCACAATACCTACTACTCAGGTAGAATACAAGACTAAAGATAAAAAGGACTTTAGGGTTACATGCCAGAAACCCAGGCCTCCACCCCTGCCCACACCATCCTCCAGCATTCAAGCAATTCCAAATATCTAGTCTTCAATTTTCCAATCATCTGTTTTGGTTTGGGGACACAGTACTTTGTGATCCATTGAATTTCACAATAAACTGAGATTAGTCTCACACTTTTGAATAGTACTCTTTGTACACTGTCCATTTTGACACACAATATAAAGGAAATCCAAGACAAAGAGATATCCCTCTCTGTTACTACCCATCCTGGAAAAACATCTGGGGGGATATAAAGGCCAGTTTGCTTTAGGGGTTTCTGTGACTAGGGCATTCCTCCACAAAAAGCAAAACTGCACCTATTAACCCACTTCATTTCAGCCACTGAGCAGACATAAAATTGAAATAAATTTCCATTATTGCCAATCTGGGATCTATCTAAACCAATGATCCAAGAATAAGAGGTTCCACCATCCATTATCCAATTCCACTACATTCCTTGTAATTTTGAAAATTACAAAATCTGGTAGCTTCGTAATGTTCTCAATGCTTACTTATAGAAAATTTTCAAATATCCACCCATAAATTTTCTCTCTACAAATCTCACTGCTCCATCTTTTGACCTTGAAATGTGATCCTCTTCCAATAGAAGAATCAGAAATTAATGTGACATGTGTTGATTTTTAACCCCATCATTTTATTTTTTCTAACATCTTTATTGCTGAGCCAATATCCCAGAAATAGACACAGATATGGACCTCACTTTTTCAGTCTGTCTCCAGCGAGAAAATAGCCATAAGCTCTACATAAAAGTGGCAATTTCCAATCTTCGGAAATTTGCAGTGTCTTATCATTGCTTAATTTTAGGATACTCTTTCTTTCTGCTTTTCTACTTTTCAATTAAAGTGACATGAGAGCTTGGATGAAAAGGAACTCTTACTGCTGGGTACCAAGTAACATTCTCAATGTCCTAATGGAGTCCAGAGTCTCTGAAATGGCAGACAATGTCCTTGACTCCCAACCCTTTCTGGGGCCTTCTGCAGCCTCACCTCTTACCTTCTCTGTGCTTTCACTGGACCCTCCAGCCATGCTAAGTCACAGTGCAGTTTCCTGAACAGGCCATTACCTCCCTTGGTACATTTACAAATGTAGTACCCCTGCATGTACTTGCCCATAATTACAGCAATTATCACACCAAAATGCAACATGCTGCTTGCTTATCCATCTCCCCTGATCAGACTGCAACCACTGAGGAGCAGGGGATGGGGGAATCACTCACAGTGCTTGGCATATACTAGCACTACACTTTGTTAAAATAATGAATTGATAAATGAACCCTCCCAAATCTGAGCCACAAACTCCAACCTCTGGCACCCTATTTGCTTATCCATCTTCTGTATTAGATTGGGAACTCCTAATGTAGGAATGGGATCTTTACTCATCTCCTAATGCCTAATCTTGTGCCCAGAAAATTGGTAAATCAGTATTTGATTAATTGTTTGACTGGTTGAGTCTTTGCAGGGAATTAAGAATAACAATCATCAACTGGCAATGAATATTCAAGGTGATATGAATTGAGACGAACGTCTTTGTCTCCCAGAGTATTCGGTTAGAATTAAGTAGACACTGGAGCCGGACAGCCTGCTCTCCACTGTGACCTTGCTAAGGCTCAGTTTCCTTATCTGCTAAATAGTTATAATAGTTCCTGCCTCACAAAATTGTTGTAAGGATTAAATGAGTTAACATGTTGACAGCTTAGAGCACTATTTGGCACATAATAAGTGCTAAAATGTTTTAAACCAGGGAAACGTGTGACTGCCAGTTTCATTTTAGAATGTGAAACCTACCCTCATACCTGCCAGAAATGCCACATGTGGTAGAACCTGTCAAAAGGATGTCAGATGGAAGAGCCCATTCTGAATAAACCATGAGATGTAGCATTCAATTTCATCTAGCCACCTCAGTATTTAATGATTTATTTTCCCTGGGAAAGAGATCATAAAAAGCAACTTTGAGAATCTTCTAGTAGTTCCCAAACCCATATTCACTTTTGATAATTTTCCCAACAGCCAACCATCAAAGTAATTGAATGAAAACACCTCAGTGAATGTTTTGCCAGAGAAAGAAATTACTTGCCTTTTTTCTTTCTTCTTTTTCTTCAGAATAAAAAGTGAGCATTTTGAAGATGATCATGTTAAAGGATTATTCCAAGAGTATTTCTTTTTTCCCCAGTGACCTATTTTTTTGGAGAAGTTCTACTCTATGACATTTAGACCACCTCCCCACTTTCCTCTCTCTCATCAATGTCAGGGTAGAAAATGTTGAGGCCTTGGAGCAATGAGTCATTGGAGCTTTCCCAGGAAACACAAATCAGAGAGGGAAGAGGATATTTTTTAATGCAAAGCTTATAACTTGAAGAAGGTAGTGTCTCCCACATGCCCACCTCCTTCTCTCAATTTCAGCCTCTTAGATCTAAAAGGCTTTTAACATTTTCTTTAAAGCCGCTCAGAAATCTGCTCAATGGCTCCCTACTACTGGGCCCTGGTTTGTCCTGAAGTTTGTAATTAATGCAATAATTAAAGCCCTTTCGAAGGGCTGTTGGTTCAATCAATGGTGTTTTATTTTCCAGGAGAAGAGGCTCTCTTTCTATAAAAACACGGTAGGAGGCACATTTAAAAACTGTATTTCAGTCGTGAACAACGTGGCTTTGTTCCCAAACGGCAAAAAGACGATAAGAAAATTATCCGGGGGCCCCAGAGGTGGCAGTAGCGGTGTAACTGAAATTCCTTTCAGCAGAGTTCATGCTCTGCTGCTGCTCCTGCAGCCAAGGAAACTCATTTGAAAATGGAGCAAATTAGCAAAGTTAAACAGATGAGAGCCCTGGGTCATATCGCACCATTTCATTAAGGCATCCAGGATAAACGCAATGCAACAAAACACAAGCATGAGAAATAAAAATTAAAAAAAATAAAGCCTATGCTTTTCTAGATTGACTAATCAAAGAAAACTTTCATAAAGGTTGACTACGTAAATCACTGATTTTCAGATGCAGACCTAAGCTAAAAGTAATCTAGTTTAAAATGCTACAAGTTAAATAAACATTTGCCATATCTACAAAATCATTCCTTTTGCAGCTCTTCTCTCTAAAACATAGTTTGGCTGACCTCATTCTCTGCCTGAAATTCCTTCAATAGTTCTAGACTATTTTTCCAAACCTAGACCACTGTTTAAACTCATCACTCATTTTTTCCCAAATGACCTGTACCCTTACCAAAATGATGTGGTTTCCATCCTGGGTGCAAAATACTTGCTTTCTTGTTCTCAGAGCATTTCTGTGTATAGAAGGTCATAAAGGCAAACTGGTACTGGAATAGGATGGGTTTGGAGCCAGAGGGCTTAAGTCTGAAATTCAGCTATAACTTGTCCTGTCAATGGTTAAGGAAGTTTGGGTCATATATTTATACTTTCTGAGCCTATGCTTCCTTACTCTAAAATGGGAGTGATAGGGTTTTTCCAGGGTGTTGTATCCACACTGTGATGTGTAAAGTGCCCAACCCAGCACCCCATATTCATGTCTGCTGACAAATCTCTGTCCCACCCACCCTTGAAGGTCCACCTCCAGCCTCTCCCCGTCAACAAAAGCTTATTCTTACCCTTCCAGGTAGAAGTGAGCTCTACCTCCTCTGAATTCTTAAATCATTTATCTATGACCTGTTCATTTGACATTTTGCCAAAAATAATCCTATGGGATAGTTATTTTCTAAGGTCTGGGTGTCTCCACATTTAGATTACAAGCCCACTGGTCACTGATCATGCTTTCCATATCACTTTATCTTCCATAGTACCAAGCACACAGTCTATGGCCTTGATTAACCTATAATATGACTGAGTTTTACCAGTTAACTGTAGCTTGTTCCTTTTCCCTCTCCAATAACAGTTCAGAATTTCCATGCCTGATTTTGCAGATCAACTGCCATCCCCGCTACACACCGTTCCATCCTCCTTTCAGGTCTTGCCCCTTGGTGCACAGAATCTAATAAGACAATTTATTTTCTCATTATAATGGTAAGTGGAATTAAAGTTTCAGGTATACTGACTAGGCTTCTAAGAGAAACTACTCTTATAAGAGATTATAGAGAAGTTGCAAAACCACATAATAACAATTGCTGCAAGAACTCTCAATTCTTCTTGAGAATCAGTAGAACAATTCCTCCATCTGGCTCTGAATAAGTTCTCAGACAACTTCTCTGCAACCTTCCACTATCAACACCTTCTCTCACTCATATTTCCAACCTTCCTCCCACTCTATGCGTTGGTACTCCCTGCTTCCCTCCACCCAGGTAAGCCTTCTCCACTCATTTAAATCATCCTGTCTTCAAAGAAGTCCAACAAATTTGGGATGGGAAAAGTATAATTAGCTAATTGATAGCTTCTTCCTTTAGGAAGAATTCCTGGTTATGTTAAGTCTTGACTACAGAGGAATCCACTGGTGCCTGCCTTTCCCTGTTGGAGAAGGAAGGAGGGGAACCGTGAAGAGGGTATGTGGTTGGTGGAAAGTTTGGTACTAGACAGACAAAAACAACCAATGAACACAACATAGAAAAACAGTAAAGTACTTTTCCCTGACTCTCTTTTCTCTTAGCTTATCAACCAGAGAATACCAGTAATTATTCTATAAGAAAACCGCCCCCCTAAAAAAAAAGAAAAGAAGAACCCACCCTTTCCTAATAAGAGCTTGAGGTGTGGATAAAATAAATAAAGCTGAGTACAGTTACCTACTCTCTTTGCTTTCTCTCTCATTTTTTCCCATTATAATAGCAAACTGCAGCACCCTCCTCCCCTGATGTACAGCCCCAAAGATGAAAAAGAATAGAAGAATGGGAGAAAAAAACTAACCACAGAGGAAGTAGAATAGTACTTGAAAGAGTCCCTCACCTATCAAAAGCAAAGTATAATCTACATGCCTGCCCATTAACTGGACATAACCCAGCCCTCTTCCCCATGAAAGCCTGACTCCTAACTCTACAAAATGTTATATCAAAGTATATGACATTTGGGGGAAAAGGTGCAATTATTCATGCTTTATGTAAAATACCCTTTTGGGTGCAGTAGGACACCCACAGAAGTGTGACCTTCAATCTTCTATCCATAATGTAAGCAGGAATATAAGACACACATACACCCTCATCCACAGCTAAGTACATAATGGGCTCCCAAAAAAGAATGGCCCCTCCTTGGGCAGTGCAGGTGGTTTGGAGGCAGGAGGAAGGGTGTTGATTCCACAACCTACTCCTCATCTCCCCTACTCTTTGGGCTTCCCTGCTGAGAGAAATAAACATAGAATAATAAGCATCATTTTCATAAATAGTTGAATATGTTTTGAATACTTAACTACTTCCAAATCCAGAACTTTTTTGGTAAACAGTGCTTGGGTATACAAAGTTTAGGCACAAAAGCTAAATGAGGTTTCCTACTTTTCCAATCCAATTTATTCTGGGTTTGTGGAGCAGACTGACAGCCCTTACACCAAACCAGTCTCAGGGAGCTTCTCAGAACACTGGCACAGGCAGCACATACAGACCCCTGGTGTCCCATTGCCTGGGTGTTCCATCCACGCAGTGAGCACGGAAGACAAGAGGGCCTTCTGTGAATAGCAGGCAAGAAGCATGTGGAGTCATCCCTGGTAATACAAGCCCAGGCAGGGCTTGGCCACAGGCATGGAGAGAAGGGCCCCAAAAAATGACAGTCTGGGTCAATCATAGGACTAAATATCTTATCAGCAGGAGGAGTTGTAAGGAGGATGAGGAGAAGAGGAACCCAAAAAATTCCCCTATTTACTCTTCTTCATCCCAACAATAAGTTCTTGGTATGTGTTTTTTATTTCTCAGATCTATAAGTGTCTCTAAGAACATTCATAAATTCATTCCATCCAAGTGCAGATGATGAAACCTACCTAAGGAGGACTTTCACTCACTTATCCTATAATAGACACACAACGAGTCTCTGCTAGCACCTATTAAGTTGGTAGGATGAGGTCCTAAAAGGTGACGACCTTGACTTATTTACCATTGCATCTATCTCACACAAACAGTTCCTGGAACATGAAAGATACTCAGACATTTGCAGACCAAATGAGAGCTAGCAATGGACAAAAGTGAAACCCAGAAATGCAGGAGTGGCAGGTGCACCTGGTAGGCATTGAAAATGCAAAGACTTCAACATTCTTTTCTTCATCTTTTTAAAATAATGCTGGGAACTACATAGGCTAAGCCCATAACAGCTTTTTCACAGTCCTTCATTCATCAGGAAAAGTGCTGTTTTTTATTTACTTACTTTTTAAGGACAGTTCATTTTCAGTTAGCTGCTTAATATCAACCTATATGGTTTTTTTCTTAATGTAAAATGTATGAAGAAAAGTGCACAAATGCTACTTACAGCTTTTGATCACTTGGTGCTGTGAATATTTGGAAACCTCCTCCATGCCCACAAATTACCTGTCTCTGTCCACTAATTGCACAACTTAACTTTACAGCTTCATTTATCTTGAAAGTGCCAGACCATGTTCTATAATGGGAAGTCATTTTGCTCTAGTAAGGTATTGTCTTGTTCCTTCTTCTCCCTGAGGCCCATTGTGTGGTCAGGGTATAGACTAGAACTCAGATTAAATCCTTAAATGACTCTTTTCATTTTCATTTCAGAAACTCGTTTGAGGAAAAGATGGCCTTTAAGAGACTGGCTGAGCTGACAGATTGTAAAATGGGAATATGCACCATATTGGCGAGGTCTTTGTTCAGCACTGTCTCTGTAACACCTAGCCCAGTGTTTGGCTCATGATAAGTGCTCAAAGCACATTTACTCAACAAATAACTATGAATATGGAGATCCTAAGTCATGCTATGTCAAAGACTTTTTCTGTGACTTTTAACATTTTGTTGAGGATTTAAACTGTGGACATCCAGATGACATTTTTTAGACAACATCAGAACACAGCATTTAATTAATAACTTTGTGTAAAGTCATTTGCTATAAACCTATCAGTAGAAATCAATGACACAACTGGTTAATTATTTAGAGTGCATTTGCTTCATTCCTATGTACCCACAAAGTGTTGCAGGTTCATTTCAAATGAATGATACAGGAATCAAAATAATCATCAGAGTTTATGAAAGAAGAACTCATATTTCCCTAAAATACTGGCAACCTAAGTTTGCCCTCACACTGCAGGAACTACCTTAATCAGGATCTACAGAAATATAAGGTTAAAAATTTAGAAATAAATGGCTTGCTTATAGTCCTCTTTCAGATTCTGCTGGGGACTAGTTCACTTAGGACCAGGACCAGACCTTCATAAGCTGAGGAATTTTAATTACCTTCATTAAAACAGATAAAAGGCGGTCAGACCTCTGGGAGTGGCCAGGAAATTCCTTTGATCTGCTAAGAAAGGTCTGGGAGCTAAATAGATTAATATGGCATTATAGAAGGTTTTCTCAAATCAACAGCTCTATGAGTTTATTCCATTTAGATGTAACCATTAAAATACCCTGTCCAGCAAATAAAGAAACATACCAATGTGGAAAAAGACCATATTATATAAACTGTTTGGGGAAATACTAAATCATCACCATAACAGCATTACAACAAGAACAAGAATCTTAATTATTTCCCAGTTTATAATCCAGAAGCAATAACATGTCAGAAAAATTTATAAATACTTAGGTACTGCAATAGCTTTAATGGGTGGTCACTATTAAATGTTAGCAATAAAACATGCAAAAACAATTATAAATGAATTTAAAAGAATAAATGATGGCCAAATAATATAGAAAATGACTATATCACTATAGACTCCCAACAGTATATAGGAAAGCCTTATCTCAAGATAAAAACAGAAGTATGTTTATAATAATAGAATTTAAGCCAGAGTATAATTCTATTTCCTTCTACTAAAAGAGAAACTACACTTCTTCCAAGGAAAAGTGTCAATACATATGTTTACATTAAAAAGGAAATCAGAAATAAATTCTCTTCCATTTAGTCAATTTCTTTAGTGAGAATTTTAACTCTAGTGGCTGGTGAGCCGGAGTTTTGTTAGTACAGAAGTTACCCAAAGATAGGGCAAATAATAAGACTCTCCTTGTTTTAATTGTTTTTCCAAATCAAAACGAATAATATATGCAACATTCTTCTGCAAATCATCTTAACACACCCTGCAAACAGTTTTAACATACTCGGCAAACAAAATGAAACAATTCTATATACCCAGAAAGTACTATGTCAAATCAGTATCTTCCCTAGAGATTTCCCTGATGTGCCTTAGCAGAGGTGCCTTCTCCTTTGTCTAAACACCTGTGAGATATGGTGGCTTAATCCTGGTCAAGCATCAATATGTCTTTTCTCCCCAGCTGTATCATAAATTCCTCAAACTTCTCCATATCCCACAGAACAGCAATCAATCATAGCTTGCCAGAAGCAGCAAATAATCAACAAGTATACTGAATTACGGAGGGCAGGGAGAAAATCCTGTTACTTTTATTATTTACATTATAATGGCTGTCACATACGTTGCGTTTCATTTCTACATGTAGTATATAAGAATACTTTCTAATAAGCCGAACTTGGTTCTGAATTCCAGCTTCACCACTCAGCTGTGTGTCTTGGGCAAATTCCGTAACCCCTCTGAGACAGTTTCATCTGTAAAATGAGTATAATGATGCCAATCTCTGGGGATATTGTCAAGATTTAGTGAGATAAGAGACAGGAAGGGCCTAGCACAGAGCAAGCACACCAAATACACCCAAGTCAGCAGGGAGAAGACAGAAAGCTGAAGTATGTCCACTTTTTGGTAGCTACAAAAAGATTGGTTTTCATCTTGCCCAGTTCTGCTAAGATATTCTAAATGCAAAAATCCTGCTCTCAGCCTGGTTCCACAGAGCATGCAGCAAGACAAGAAATCTTTCCAAAGCCCTGAGCCCAAAATATTTGAGCAACCACCCTGCCCTCCAGTTAAGAAAGTGGAGTCTGGCAGATTGGGGAGTTTGTTTTGTTTTTTTCCTGGGTGTGCTGGAAAGTTCCCTTCAGAGTCATTCTGCCAACAAGGCCATTTCAATTCCCCTCTCCAAAAGCTCCTACCCCAATCTGTTGCTCCTGAGGGTCGGGTTCAGCATGAGGTTCAGAAAGGAGGTATCCCCCCTCGCCCCTGGGGGAGCCTCAGTTCACCCTCTCACCAGCTTCCCTGCATCACCTCTTGTCGCATGGTTGCATGGTTCCCAGATGCTCTCCTAAGGAGTCTCCTTCCTTGGTATTTCATTATTGCTCATTCTTGGTGCCATGTCCCAAAGTCCATTCAGAAAGGTCATGCTATCATTTTAACTTTTCCGGGAAAGTTGTTTTTTTTCTTTCTCCATCTCGCTCCTCTTGTTTCCGCTCAGTGCCTTCTACCTATGCTGCCACCACAAATGCATGGTGTTCTAGTGAAGGAACCCTCGCTGCAGAGCCAGCATGGCTGAGCCTGGACAAATATCTCTCTGACCAAGCAACTTCTCCAGACATGATTCACCTGGAAGGAGGTTGCCTGTTAAAGTAGTGCTTCTCATACTGCAGTGAGCATGAGAAACATCTGGAGAGTGGTACATCTGAAGGTGACCTGGGAATTTGCAGTCCTAATGAGCACCAGGGTGGTACAACACTGCAGACCGACAAACCACAGCTGGAGCAGCACCCTGTCAAAGGACCTTTGGCATGCATTTTAGGAGAACCGCTGGGTTCCTAAAATAATGAAAAATGCAGCAATCAAGTAGTCAAGATTCATCTTCATTCTGCTGCTATTGCTAGTCTGGATCTCTAGCTCCACTGAATCCTGCTGCAGAGAGTCACTCTCCCTTCCCTCTGCTGATTAACATTAAGAAGGTACTTACTGTGGCCAGGTGTGGCGGCTCATACCTGTCATCTCAGCACTTTGGGAGACCAAGGCAGGCAGATTACTTGAGGTTAGGAATTCGAGACCAGCCTGGCCAACACAGTGAAACCCTGTCTCTACAAAAAATACAAAAATTAGCCAGGCATGGCGGTGCATGTCTATAATCCCAGCTACCCGGGAGGCTGAGGCACGAGAATCGCTTGATCCAGGGAGGTAGAGTTTGTAGTGAGCCATGATTGCACCACTGCACTCCAGCCTGGGCAACAGAGCAAGACTCTGTCTCAAAACAAAGAAAGAAAGAAGGCACTTACCACTGCCTAAGTGCTCGACAGACATGATCTCAGCTGGTACTCACTGATCTGAGAGAGACACATCATTCTCATTTTACAAAGAGAAAACTAAAAATAAAGTTTAGAAACATGGAGTTCCCAAGGTCATGAGTACAGAGTGAGAGGTAGAAGCCAATGCCTGACCCTTAATTCAAGTACTAAGTCCAATCTGAAGCCAGATTTTTCCCCACTAGACTCTACCATGTCTCTTTTCCTTCCTGGAGAAATATAAATGTATGATGAGTGCTGTTTCCTCGCTCAGACAATCAACTTGTCAGCGTAGGGTAGAGATACAATGTCAATTCTGGTCACAATAACATGGCATGTTCATTGTAGAATATTGAAGACAGTTTTGTCCAAGTGGATCTGATTTTACTACTCTCAAAATGTATGCAGTCCTCCCCACTCATCTACCTATAGGCACTCTTTGATGATAAACAGGAAAGTCTACCTTTAGCAACAGGTACCCACGTTGGCAGAGAGGGCAAAAGGACCTCACCCAAGTGATGGTGTGACTAGAATTCTATCCAGACCTTCTTGTTCCCAGCCTTGTCGTGGTTCTACACAGCAGATCAGATGACCTGGAGGCAAATAAAGGTTCTGCCTCCCAGCAGCTGCATGACCTTTAAAGTTCTGTAAACCTTTTTGAATCTCAGGTTAAAATTGGAACAAAATGATATACCTTGCAAGATGGTGTTAAAGAATAAATGACGTAAGATATGTAAACATGTTCAGCCATAATAGAAACTCAGTAAATTCTAATTCTCTTTTCTTATCCATCTTCTAATCTTGTGCAGGGTGTCTTCAACTTTATTAGTTGAAAAAAACAATTCCAAGAGCTCCCAGACTTAAGTGCACACTAAAAATCACCTGGAGAGCTTTTCAAAAATGCAGATTCTCAGGACAAACCCTGGGCCACATGAACTATCATCTCTGGAAGTCTAGTCCAGGAATTTGCACACTATAATATGCAACCCATTTTACAAACCATTGGTCTGTCCAAGATCAGAATATCTGGCCCAGTAAGTCATCTATGGTTCTCCATGGTCAACTAGAGGGAGGAGCCCGCAGGTAAGGTCAGAGGTTTCAGAACTTGTCTTCCCATCTTTTTATTTCATTTTCATCTTTCCCCCATTTTTAAAAATTTGTAACGTGTGGTTTTCAGAAATATAACACTTAGCTTATTTACACTGTATTAAAATTAGGAAAAACCCAATATAAAAAATCCTTCCATGAAAACACTGTTATTGCACCCAAAGTAAATAAATGAAAACAGGAAATTCAAAATCATTCTTCCCATGGTGGTTCAAATTCCCTATGCAAATAATAGCTATGAATGCATCAAATCAGCAGCTTCCTAGACAATGAGAAGGCTGCATATAGATGGGCAGGAAAAATGCACGCAATTACTATCAGAATAATAACTTTGAATTCCTTGACTGCCATTCATTAAAATGCTCAGTCACAGCTTCAGATAAAGGGAGCTCCTGTGTCAACCTAATACATGGTTCAAGGACCTTTTGACTCAAATATTTTTCTAAATTAGATTGATAGATGTCACTTCACAAGTATTTATGTGACAAGGCATTGTATTCTCATAGGACCTGGGTACCAGCTATGAATGGTAGTTAATTCTCAAGTCAGTGTGCCAAGAAAAATTTGAACAATAATTTGTCACTGAAAGGGCTTAGGTGGTACATAGGAAAGAATTCTTAGCTCAGGAGAAAAACACATAAACGAGTGACCTTCAGCAACACGTTAGTAACACTTAATCAATTTTGATGATTTTTTGAAAATCATATCTTTATACAAACTATCCATTGGGTCTCTCAAATTAGTTATTCTTCCCAGTCTTATCCCCCACCACCAAAGAAAGCCTCAGAGTATTTAAAACAGCTTTGTGCTACTTATGTCCAGATAAATAAAAATATTACTAAAACCCAATCTTAACCGGAAGTTGGCAAATAGTACTTCAGTCTGCTCCTGGTCTGGGCTCCACCTCTGGCATTGGCCAGAACTCTGTCCTAAGTCCTCACTGGTCCTAAATGCAATGTGCACTCTTACATTTAAAATGTGTGGCAATAGTCACCACTCAAAAAGTCCTGGTTTGGGCTCTGTCTTCCTCCTCTTCCATCAGGATGTTCGAGGGACACAGATGCAGCAGCCACTCTTCCCTCCTGAATCCTTTTTGGGTCTTCCTTTCACTGCTCTAATTGCTTCTTTCCCATCACTCTGCCTCACCTTTAAAGGTGGCTGTTCCTTATGCTTCCTTTTCTCTTCACTTTTCCTTACACTCTCCCACCTTCCCTAAGCAATCTTATCTACTTCATGGAGCTAGAAATGTCATGTCCTTGTCCAAAACCACCACACTCAAAAGACAACCTGGAATTCTCTTCTGACCTCCAGCTCCAAACAAGCACATGCTTCCTTGGTATTTCCATGTGGATATGTCGACAATACACTAAACAAGGGCTTCTTCTCCTGCAGTATTTGCCATCGCATCACCTACTGTGCATACAATTTGCTCAAGCCAGAACACTGGGGGCCATCCTCCCCACCGCCCTTTGTAGGCATTGCCCCATCACAGCCAAGGCTAAAAGAAGCTTCCAAAAATCATCTCAAATCTTTCACTTCTCTTCACTTCTGTAGCTCCCACTCTAGTCCAGGCACACATCCAGTCTCAACTGGGGCCCCACCTCAGCTCCCTGCATGCACTCTTATTCCCTTTTAGTCCATTCTCCTTATAACCAGCAGTTGTGATGTTTTTGAAATGACAAGCATATAACTCCTCTTCTTAAAAACCCTTCATTGGGTTCCCCTGTTTTTAAGATAAAATCTGGAATCCTGGAAGTCTAGAATCGTCTGATTGTTCCTTACTTCTCAGACCCCATTTTTGCTTCCTTTGTGCTGACTGTCCTTTCTGCTATTCCTCACCTTCTCTGCCCCAAGGTTGGAAATGCAAATCTTTCCTCTCCTCCTTTCCCCTCCTCCCTACCCTAACAGAAATGCTTCTTTCTCAAAAAGACCTTCTTGTATCTTTCAGACTAAGATAGATTCTTCTGTTATATGTTCACCTGGCTGGGACCTTGTACTTTTCCCTCATGAGGCTTAGCACAACTGTAATTATATAATTATTTGTGTAACCCTTTTGCCTATCTTCTTAGCTCAGAAAGGGGCATGTCTAATTTCTTCATCATTGTCAAGCCAGAAATCAGTACAAAGCCTATCAAATAATAGATGCCTGATAAACATTTGCTGAATAAGTAAATGAAAAAAGTAGGCTTACTGCTTCTCTTTTTCTATTAGCCACCTACATTTGTTTAGCAATCTTATGATTCCTGTAATTTATCTGGGAAACATCCTAAGAATGGCAACTATAATAATTTCTCCCATAGGGTGGGAATGCCGAAATCTGAGGGGAAAGGAATGGGATTTGGAGGCTATGCAAATGGATTGGAAAAAATACAGGGAATTCTTTTTTATTTTTTATTTTTAAAGACAGGTCTTATTCTGTTACCCAGGCTAGAGTGCAGTGATGCAATCATAGCTCTCTGTAACCTCAAATTCCTGGGCTCAAGGGATCCTCCTGACTCAGCTTCCAGAGTAGCTAGGACTGAAGGTGCACACCACCAAGCCTGGCAAATTTAATTTTTTGTTTCTGCACAGACAGGGCCTCACTATGTTTCCCAAGCTGGTCTCAGACTCCTGGCCTCAGGCGATTCTCCTGCTTCAACCTCCCAAAGCACTGTGATTACAGGCATAAGCCACACATCTAGCCAAGAAGCAGTAAAGTAATGACAAACTTCTCATCCATTTTAATGAAGAGATATATCCCTTATTGACCTGTGAGCAAGACAATGTGTTAAGCTGTTCTTTAGTGACCTTGAACTCAAGATCCTTACAAAGCCGAACAGCCGATGGCAAAGATGACACCGAAAGGCACATTACACGTATCATGATTCTTTACACTTTACACATAATTCACAAGTATCTTGTCTTCTCAATATTTAATAAAATGTTTTAAAGACAGCATAACAATAACATACATGATACAGATGCACAAAAGACTACTCCTGTTACACGGCTTCAAACCCATTCATTATCTCTATTCACCTGGGATGAACTGGTTCTATTTCCTCCTGGGTTGCACAAAGAGAGCACAACCATATACTCAGCTAATCACAAAATCACCAACAATTCTTGCTAACAGGAAGTAGGTGGATGATATTGGCACTTTAATCATTTTCATGGACTTTTCAATAGTATTTTAAAGAGAAATATGACTGAGTCCATAATGACAGTTATTTTGCAAGTTACTGGAAATAAAACTACTTGAGAGTTAATAAAAGTGATTAAAAATGGTGGCCAAATTACTTATCAATACATTTAATACACCAGGCAGGTTTAACCTAACAATTTTGCTTTTACAGGCAGCTTTATCAGCCATTTTTAATTTATCCTACTATGAAAAAAAAAAAAGCGCATCATGAAACTCAATTAAGTCAGCAGTGATAAAGCCTGAGAATATTTCTCCACAGTCTCTACATCAAAATGATTTGTGAAACACAGAGCTCTAGAAGGCAACCTAACATGCCAGGGAGAGACAGAGTGAATGTGGCCTGACCCTCTGCATTTTCAGTGATATCAAATGAAACAAGACATAGTGAGCATTAAACGTTGAAGATTTATTGCAAAACTCACCCATAAAATGCTACTTTGAAATAAGGAATTACACATAGTTAATACACTATTTATCTACAACACACATACACACATAGATGCCTTTCATCATCAGCTCTGCACACAGGTATGAGGCTCTTCCACTGCAATGAGGCAGCAAAGGGCAAATTTGTCTACATTTCAGGGAATAGAAAGGCCATTAAAAATAAATGACCGTCACAAATTGGAACCCTGCCTATTTCAGCCAATTTGGTCTGGAGGTGAGGTTTGGCTATGCCTCGGTGTTAGTTAGTGCAGATTTTATTCAGGGGAAAGTCAGGACCAGAACATCTTGTGTTCTGTTCATTCACTAGGTAGAAATAAACTATCGCATTTTACTTGTTATATATTAAGGGTATCATCGGTTACTGCAGTTAGCCTACCCTAACTAATACATCTTCCATGAGGAAGGCAATGTTCTAAAAAGACAAAGATAAGTAAGACATAGTACTTGCCACAAGTCAGTATTTTTTGTTGAAAATAGCATTTACTACTTCTTGTTAAAAAGTAATGTGCATTCATTATAGAAACTTTAGAAAATACAAAATGAAGATCATTCTAAAGATCAATAATCCCAATACCCAGAGATAAACACTGTTAACGTTTAGCTACATAGAGTTCTAGGCTTTTATTTTTATTGAAAGATCAATGGGAAGACAAGAGGAGAGGAGAGGAGGGGAGGGGAGAGAAGGGGAGGGGAGGGGAGGGGAGGAGAGGAGAGGAGAGGAGAGGAGAGGAGAGGAGAGGAGAGGAGAGGAGAGAAGAGAGGAAGGAAGGGAAGGAGGGAGGGAGGGAGGAAGGGAGGGAGAAAGAGGGAAGAAAGGAAAGGGAGACACAGAGAGAGAGAAAGAGAAAAGAAAAGGAAAAGCAAAGAAAGAAAAGTCAATCACACATGTATTATACAACACTTTTCACTTGACAATGTAATATAAACATATCTCTAAGTCATCATATTTTCTCCTACAAGAAGATTTGTAAAGACTATAGCACAATCCGTTATAGGGCTATCCAGTGTTATTTAACCATTCCACGGAAGGACAGTCAATCTGAAATGACAGGTAGTGACAGTACAACAAACAGGTAGATAGAGAAGCAGACCATTCTGGGAAAAGAGAACAATATGTGCAAATCCACAGAGCCCTAAAGCTGCCTGGCATATGTAGAGAATGCCATCAGTGTAGCACAAGGTTCTGGATAGGAGAAAGAACTGGACAAGAACACTTGGGACAAAAGCCAAAAGCCCTCACATGCCATTCAAAGGGGTCTGAGTTTTATCCTGATGTCAACCGAAAAGCTTTAGGTAAAAGCACAGTACCATCTATTCTATTTTAGAAAGACCACTCTAGCAACAGTATAGAAAATGGATGTGAGAAGGAAAGAATCCATGCATAAAGAGGCTGTTACAGTTGCAGTAAGAATCTATTACAGAGAAGTTGAAGTGAGGGAAGACGGGACGAATCTGAGATTTGTTAAGGACGTAGAATCAGTGGGATGTGGTCACTAATCTGGTATGGAGCAGGAGAGGTATCTGGTTTGAGGTAACTAAAAAATATTAATGCTGCCATATGGTGAGGGGTTAACTGAATTTATCTCAGCGCCTACTACTCTGGCACCAAATAAGTGTCGACCAAGGAAGTCACTGGGAATAACTGTGGTGATCATACTAGCAGTGAGGGTAGAGTCATTATTAGGATACAAATGTGCAGAGGGACTGGCAGTGGAGATGAGGCACTGGTTAAAATATTTCACATAAAGTGTTTGTAGGACATAAGTTACCAGGTAAGTAGTTAGATGTTCAGATAGAGAGCCAAAAAGAAAGGTCTGGGCTAGAGATATAGATTGAGGAAACATAATTTATAAGCAGCATTGGCTCTTCTGCAGTAGGTGAATCCACCAGGGGTCGGAGACGTTAAACTGAAGGAAAAAAAAAATGGACCTAGCCCAGCTAAGCCCTGCCCATCCTGCCCCAATGCCATGGAGCTGCCAATACCTCTTCATGCAGAAATTGTAAAAGTCAGATCAAATTATTCCCATTTGACAACTGTTTCAGCATTGCTCATTTTACTTATAAAAGAGCTTAAATGCATCCTTTTCTTGCCCAAACCATAAAAATCATAATTTGAGAAAGAACCCAACACTGGCATCTCAGCAGGAAGCCTCGCCCTGCAGCCATTAGAACTGCTGCCACCCCCCTGAAAACCAAGCTCTCCACACTCTCTGTGCTGACCTCATCCATTTCAGCAACAGTGCTAATTATTAGAACCTAAAACAATGCCCCATCTACATTGTAAAAATAAATTCACAGTAAATAGTAAAACCATTCAAATCTTTATTTTTTCATTTTAGCACCACAAATGACTGAACTTTCTCATTCTAAAGAATACAGCTGTGGATTAATCATACTTTATCATTTCAAAGACAGGCTTGCAGAGGCAATCATATTTGCTTTTTGAAAAGACGATGCCAGCGAATGCAAATAACTGTTAATATTTTTTTAAATGACACAAAAAGGCCATGGAGATAAGATTTGGAGAAAAGAGACACCTTCCCTTGAAGGTTCCCTCTCATTCAGCTCTCTTTCTCCTCTCTTAGAGTGTCTAAAAGTTTCACAGTTGTTTTCCCACATGTGTTCTCCTGAGAACAACACTAAATAAGAGGAGAGGAAGAGAAAATAAGCTCCAGAAAAAGCTCCAGAAGAAGGAGATTTCTATGTTTGGGTCATTTCTGAGGACCAAATACAGTTTAAACGGACCTTGAAAAGCATTTTACCTTCTCGTTTTGCATATTAGGAAACTGAGACCCAAATGAGTGAATAAAGTCAGCGACCCACAATCACACAGGTACTAACTACAAAGCTGAAAGTGGAAAGGATTCTTCTGACTCGAGGCCAGGGCACTTTTCACTGGCAAGTAAGCTGAAGACCCTGCTAGTATCCAAACACAAGAATAGTGTTGGCTGCCAGTGAGGCAAGACACACAGAAACAGAGAAAAATTTTAAAATACATACATTGTAACAAACACAATATGACAGAAGGAAAATTTGTAACAGTACCTTGTGTAAGGTACACAGGAAAGAGGAGCTCTGTGTTCAAATTCTAGAGTGCATATCCCTGGTAGGAATCATTACTAGTTTCATTATGGAAGCAGTAGGATTTGAGCTGTCCCTAGAAGGAAGAACAGAAATTCCACAGGTAGAAATGAGGGTGGAAGAAGATCGAGGCAGAGGAAATGGCATATGTAAAAACAGGAGGGTTAGGAAAGTGCCTGGCCTGTTCAGGGAGCAGTCAGAGTGGATGAAGTGTTCATATGGGAAGGTGAGAAAGATAAGGCTTTATTGAGGCTAAGGAGGATATTGAATGTTGAGATCTTGAGTTAACTATGGTGCATCCATTGAAACTTTCTAAGTAGGGAACAAGGCCTAAGAAAAGTAGCATTTCAGGCCAAGTGCAGTGGCTCATGCTTGTAATCCCAGCACTTTGGGAGGCTGAGGTGGGAGCATTGCTTGAGCTTAGGAGTTCAAGACCAGCCTGGGCAACATGGCAAAACCCCATCTCTACAAAAAATACAAAAATTAGCTGGGCATAGTGGCATGGGCCTGTGATACCAGCTACTTGGGAGGCTGAAGTGGAGGACTGCTTGAGTCCATGAGGTTGAGGCTGCAGTGAGCCAAGATCGTCCCACTGCACTCCCGCCTGGATGACAGAGCAAGACCCTGTCTGAAACAAACAAAAAAAAAAGTAGTATTTTAGAATGACTCAGCCTCTGGTGCGTACTGATTAGAAGGGGATTGGGGCAATGGACAGGAATACAGACAGGGAAATTGCTGGGGTAGAGGCAATTAATGAATACATTAAATCAATTAAAAGGTTCTGAAACTAATCAAAGTATGATAAGGTTCCTTTCTGGACTACACTGATAGCAATATGAATAAAAATACAATATTCTCATGATGACCTTGGAGGACTGTTTTCTGTAAGTCCATTCTCTAAGCTTATTCTTTACATCTTTCATTGTTTTTATTTCTAAGCTTATTCTTTAAATCGAAGCTTACTCAATTCTTTATTTCTAAGCTTACTCTTTAAATCATTGTTTTTATTAAGCTGTTATCCATTGTAATTTCCTTATTTCATGGTTTCAGATTCAGGATCTTACATGCTATTTAAACTAAGAGTTGAATAAATGAACACCTCTCTTTTCTGAGAACTTTTGCTTCTTGTTAATGACAGTGTAATTAGAGACACTAACTCTGTATAGAAAACAACAACAATATAAAAACTGCTCACCACTACTCCACGTGCATTAGGAAGGCTAGTATCAAAACAGTAGAAAATAGCATGTGTGAGGGAGGATGTGGAAAAACTGGAACCCTTGTTTACTGCTGGTGGGAATGTAAAATGGTGCAGCTGCTATGGAAAACAGTATGATAGCTCCTCCAAAAAGCAAACCTAGAACTACCATATGAGGCCGGGCACCATGGCTCACTCCTGTAATCCAGCATTTTGGGAGGCCGAGGCAGGCGGATCACCTGAGGTCAGGAGTTCAAGACCTGCCTGGCCAACATGGTGAAACCCCATTTTTACTAAAAATACAAAACTTAGGCATGGTGGCATGCACCTGTACTCCCAGCTATTCAGGAGGCTGAGGCAGGAGAATCACTTGAACTCAGGAGGTGGAGGTTGCAGTGAGCCAAGATCGTGCCACTGCACTCCAGCCTGGGCGACACAGTGAGATGCCATCTCAAAAAAAAAAAAAAGAAAAGAAAAAAAGAAAAAAGAATTACCATATGTTTCAGCAATTCTGCTTCTGTGTATATACCCAAAAAATTGAAAGCAGGGATTTGAGAAGACATTTCACAGCAGCATTATTTATAATAGCCAAAATGTGAAAGTAAACCAGGTGTCCACTGATGGATGGATGGATGAATAAACAAAATGTGTTATTTACATACAATGGAAAATTATTGAGCCTTTCAAAAGAAGGAAATTCTGACATATGCTACAACATGATGAACCTTGAGGACATTATGGTAAGTGAAATAAGCCAGTCACAAAAGGACAAATACCATATGATTCCACTTAAATGATGCACTTAGTAAAAATCAGAGAGGCAAACAGTAGAATAGTGTTTGTCAGTGGCTGGGGGAGGAGAAAATGAGAAGTTGTAATTTAATTGGTATAGAGTCTTGGTTTTACAAGGTCAAGAGTATGGCGATGGATGATGGTGATAGTTGTACAACATTACGAATGTATTGAATACTGCTGAACTCTACACTTAAGAAAGGTAGGGCCGGGCGCGGTGGCTCACGCCTGTAATCCCAGCACTTTGGGAGGCCGAGACGGGCGGATCACAAGGTCAGGAGATCTAGACCATCCTGGCTAACACGGTGAAACCCCGTCTCTACTAAAAATACAAAAATTAGCCGGGCATGGTGGCGCGCGCCTGTAGTCCCAGCTACACGGGAGGCTGAGGCAGGAGAATGGCGTGAACCCGGGAGGCGGAGCTTGCAGTGAGTCGAGATCGCGCCACAGCACTCCAGCCTGGGCGACAGAGCGAAACTCCGTCTCAAAAAAAAAAAAAAAAAAAAAAAAAAAGAGTAGTCAAATTTGTAAAGACAGAAAGTAGAATGGTGATTGGGGAAAAGGAGGAAAGGGAATGGGGAGTTAGTGTTTAATGAATACAGAGTTTCCACTTTGGGAAGATAAAATATCTGGAGATGGATTGCAGTGAGGGTTACACAACAATGCAAATACTTAATGCCACTGAACTGCACACCTAAAAATGGTTAAAATGGTAAATTTTATGTTACCATAAATTTTTCTAAACTGCTCATCGGAATAAAACTATATTCCAAAATGCTAGGGTGTTTTATAAAATTTCTGCTCCAACAAAAAGAAAGGTGCTAGTGTTCCTGAGGACAAGATGTGACCCATCTCTATGGATGGGAATGAAGACAACAGAGGAAAGGATTGTCCGGAGGTGTCCGGGCTTGCAAAGCAGCAGCATGCCTAGGTTATCTCAATGCTGTGGCCCTTTGTGCAGATGACAGGACAATGAGCACACCCACTCTGAGCAGAACCTCTCCATCCTGGCAACCACCAAGGGGCCCCAACTGCCAGAACCACTTCCCAAGGCTAATGAGAAATTCTATGTGAAGCAAACACAGCCATCCATTTCCTTCTCAGTAGACAGCTCCCCTGCTCTGTACAGAGGTACAGACGGGATGCTCCCTGCAGTGGAGGAAAATGCTGCCACCACATCTGCTGCTTCACTGATAACACATCATCTCCCACAGTGCCTCCAGGGCCGACTGAGGAAGTGAAGGCAAAGAACCTCATTATTCATCAGAGCCCAAATGGGCACATGCCACCCCACCTGCAGGTAAACCAAGAGCTGTTGTGATATTGGAAACAAGAAAAATAAGTAAAGAGGAACTGATCTAAAACCTCTTTGTATTACTTCTTAGGGATATAAGCTGTGTTTTTCCATCTTCAGTTATGAGAATGAATTTCAACATAAAGTATCACTTACAGTACTGAGATGGTTAAACACCTGTGAAGAGAGATCCAAGGAGAACACAAAATTTCTGAATACTGAAGTCTGTCACCCAAAATAAACTGGGATGGTTTACAAATGGTTCTGCTGAAAACAGTGGTAAGGGTTCATAGACTACAGCAAAACTCTTCTGTACTTTTAAGCATTTACAACACTGGAATTTTTTTTTCCTGCTGGGCTATAAGCTACACAGAACAAATATTGTTCTAAAAATAAGTGAGGGAAAAGTTTTGGGAAATTAAACAACCTTTCTCTGAAGCCCCAAAGGTCGATCCAGATTACAGTAAGGCTCTGGATGGGAAGAGAAGGGAACAGTGTCCTGGTATCAAACTCACCATATCAGAGATGAGAAGAGAAAAAAATCAAAAGTATGTTTTTATCTTTCTAAATTTAGGCTAGAACAGTGATTTCCACTATCCAACCAGCTGGGGTCCTTCAGTCATTTATTCATTAATTATTCAACAGGAATTTAATCTACACATAAAAATCAAACTCTATGTGTCTATCAAAGAGGCCAAAAAAATTTACCAACTCCATAAGTGGTAGTTATAACTATGTGGTTTTAGTATGCCCTCAATTTTTTTAGCTATCTTTGCCTTAATGGCAATTCCCAGATAAAAGACAACCATTTGGGATGATAGTATTACTGGTATGCATTTTCCAAATTTAGTGAAGCTGACAGTACTTCACATTTCTTATCCCTCGTCCATCCCCTGGGCTCTTAGGTATACCCAGTACCAAGACTCTAGTGCCCTCATCAGGTATGTTCCCTTGCACTGGGCTTGATTCAGCTCACATATTCTAGCACAGCAGAGCAAAAGAAAAGGAAACAATTCCCTCCTCTAGGTTCCCTTGGACCATTGCTACCTCATAAACCTGGCTACTAGCTCCGGATTCATGCACCACTCAGAGCTGTTTTCTTGTTCCCAGCAAGCCAGGGCAGATGTCCAAAGACAGAGCCTTGGGCTTTGGAGAGAAAGCCTCTGAACTAGAGATGCAATGCAGGTTACCATCCACGTCCTCATGGGATGGACAAAGACTCCATCAGAAACAGAAAGACCATTTGCATTCACAGTCTTGTGATCTAAGACCTCTATTTTCCAACATTCCTTGGACCCGGACAGCTGAATTTCAAGGTTTCGAGAGAAGGCTAGTCCATATGATAATGACTAGCAATCCTAAACTCATACACTACAATCCACTCCTGGGCCCCATCATTTACCCAAGGCTTCCCCTGTAGTATCTTCATAGGGGAAATAAAGAAGAAGAAAAGAAAAAACACAGAAGTCTGAGTTAGAAAGTAGTAGGACAGTCTCTTACGGTCCATCCAGACTGTAGGTAACATTTCTTCTTTTTGATTTTTTAGTTGTAATTTAAAACAAAGTATAAATTTTACTAGGTCCAAATGAGGTAAATCAAGGGCCAGGAAAGAACTTCCTAACAAACTATTTTCCGTAGGGAAAAATATCCTGGTTCTCCTGAAGAAGACCAAAAATTAATGTAAATTACCACATATGCATCTCTCTCTAGGATGCCTGGATGGCAAGTCTGTATTAGGGAGAACTGTTTCCTAATAATTGTATCTATGCCAAGAAGAGACTAGTCAATCTATTTTTAACCTTCAACTTCACCAAAATTTCTTGTATTTTATCTGCTTCAACCTGTATGGATAATTTAGGGACGAAAATCCAGGGGGCAAGTCTTCAGAAACAGATTTACTTGAAGTGCACTACAGCACTCAACAACTTAGGCAATATGAAAACACAACCTCTCAACTAGGACAATCCCTCAACTTAAAATGACCAAGTTTTGTCTTAGTCATACAATTATTTGTGAATTTGTATATTCTGTAAATCCACAAATAATTCAACATTAGATTTCAACAGAATGTGTCACTAAGCAAACGTTCAAGTACTATAAAGCGACTGATATTCTGGAGAGGTTGGGGGTAAACTAGCCAGGTTATATATTCTTTCATAATAGTAATTTTAACTTACATGTTATAACATAAAAGCGGAGTAACAATATGTATGCACAAATTTAGAGTATTCATATATTGGTTGAAAACTGTCCACAATGCCCATTTCTGTGATTAGGAAATAAGAACATTGTAAATTAGTTTTTACTTTCTTATGAAGACTTTCACTAAGCCATGTTGCACTATTTTGGGGTGGTAACAAATTGCTTGAATCAGTAAGAACCCTAATTGTATACTTTTTGTTTTCATTATCATTTATCTATACAAAGCTAATCAAAATACCCATTCATTAAGAGCTATCAAAAGAGATTATTTTTTCAGATCATTCAACCATATTTAAAACAAATAAAAGGCTAAGTATTGCTATGAGGATTTAGAGATCTTTGGATATCTAAGCAGTTCATAAATTGTCATTGAAATGTACAAGAGGGTTGTAAAAGACATTATGTTTATAATTAAGAAAAAAAAACAGGAAGAAAATAGGTATCGAAGCAAAGGAGATTTCCGGAAGAATGAATAGATTATATTTGACAAGGGCAATAACCCGCCCAATCACATCTTTTGCTCTCATTTGCTATAAATATACAAGCCAGAGGAAGTACAGCTCACTGTTTTAATTCTCTGTTGTCTAAAGCTCCTAGTCTTACTTAATACATCAGGACATATGGTAAGACTTTCCCTACATTCAGAGGATTTATAGATACCCCACAACAACAAGAACGATCCCCTAGTGCTAGTGAAATATTCTAACTCAGATATTTAAATCCACTTTTTAAAATATTTTTATTCTAAGGAGTTCTTCTCCCAAATGACCTATGTTGGTTTCATTTTTAACATACATATAAATAAATACATAGTTTCTCTACTCAGTAGAAGTAGCTATTTTAAATCCGGTATAGATTTTTGACAGCAAGATTTATAAAGTTTAAAAAGAGCAGTCACAAACACTTGGGAAATTAAATTTACATGTGTATTTACAACATACAAGCAGTCAGGCTATATCTGTTACTGTTTCTATTTCCTTAATATAGCTTTTATTAAGAATAGTTTTCTTTAATGCTGACTGGAAAATCTCTGCAGCATTTTCTTTCATTTTCAAAACACCATAAGGTTAGCACACTTTATTAAATAGTGACTGAAGATATTAAAAAGAGCAAGTGCTATGTATCATAAATATTTGATAAAGATGTTTACATTATCAATACATGCATACATGTATACATCTTCATTCTACCATCATATGATATAAAATACTTATATTGGCTTGTAAGATCAGAATTGATGTACAAATCTGGCATAGCCCAATTGTAGATGTTATTCAACCTCAGTGTTTGTACTCCTTTTTGGAAATCAGCTTCTGCCTCATATAACCACAATGCTTTGGAAGCTAAAAGTGTAGCACATCAAACAATGACTTGTTTGAATAATAGAGATTTAATCGGACAGCAAATTATCCTGCATTCCAATGAACATAAAACCCAAGGATATTTCTTAGGTCGTTCAGTGAGCAACAGAAAAAGTGAAGACTACAAACACTTTAAATAACTGTAAAGGAAGTGTCATTTATACAAACTTCAACTACAAAGCAATTAAGCTATGAATTTCCATGTTGTCTTCTAAAATACACTCATAGTTTCTGTTTCCAAAGGTCCATTTTTCAAAGAGCTTCTTGTTTTATCGACATTATTCCGGAGTTTATATTAGATGAGGGGGAAAGAGAAAAAGGAATTTCAAGAGGAAAGATTTTTATTAACTCAACCCTAAGGCTAATCTGTTGCATGTGTAGTTTCTACACTAGCAAACAACTTGTAGGAAACAACACAGCAGCTGAGAGCAGCAGAGCTGGAAACTGTTCCCCTGGGTATGATATCACAAAATGACTTTGCTCTATTCCTTCTCCAGCCTAGCATTATGGCTCAAGCCTGCACACAACCATCACGCCCCCAGGGCAGCTTCATGTTAGGTGAGGGCCTTCTGCTCCATCACTCTCCCTGAAATCTTCTGACCAGAAGCAGCTCAACCAGAACAAATCAGCCCCCATTCTCATTCTCATTCTTTCCTCTTGCTAGTTCTCTCTCTCTCTCTCTTTTCCATTTTTCTGTGTTTCTTTGCCTGGCAAATTCTGAATGGCATTATCTGACACCACACAACTGGATGAATTCACACATTCATTCATTCTCTCTCTCACACACACACACACACACACTTTTACACTCAATATTCCAAGTGCAGATTTACTGAATTTACATCATATAAAATAGCTGATATTATTTGCTTTTATCCTCCAGTTTTACAAGAAACACTATGTTTGTAAAAATGCGAGGAGAAACTTTTAGCATGATTTCAGTTAGAACTTAGCTAAATCTATTTGAGGTTAAAAGCAATATCCTACTTTAAATCATATAACACAAAAATCGCCAAGCACACACAATAGCTACAGAAATCCAGGGCAGTAACTTTGTGATTTCTTAACATACTCGATTACATGCAAAAAGATCTCCAGCTCATTAAAAACCCATTTTTTTAAAACGTGCCACAACTTACAACTATGTATTATATTTCTTTTGACTGGCAAACTGAGGGACAAAACTAAGTACCTTCAATGAAGTTTTTTCCCCTTAGAAGCACAAGAATAGAATATGATTCCTCCAAACAACATGAGTTTTCCATTTCCAAACATTCTCTGGATGCTTGTAAGAACTTTACCTCTCAAGTCTTACATTTATTTCTAGTTAAAAGGTATAACTAACACAATTGATAATGTAGTAATGCACCCCCAATCCTAGGCATCACAGCTAACTACAATCCCCTTTATATTAACTTCCCACCATGTGGTGTGAATGATTCAAAACTCATGACTTGGGATAAAGGAAAAATCCTTCCTGAATTACACACTATAAAACATATGAAAACTGGACAGTGGTGTTGCTTAAAAGGTTTTGTTTCAGATTCTGTAACAGAGTAACATATGCTGCAGTACGATGGTGCTGAGCTTTTCGGTTGCCTAATAAGACAGCTCCCAGCAGAGCATTTCCCATGCTTTGGAGTGACATCTATCAGTGGGTCTCGGGGAATCCCTATGCCACTTAGCTTTCTTCAGCACCACTCTCTGAACAGCTTCTGTCCACTGAGTGGTGCAATCCTAACAGGTCTCTGGCATACAAAGTACATTGTTCAGATAAGGGAATGGTGGGTGAACAATGATCTTTGCTGTCATTAAAACCAAATCATCAGGTATTAATTAACAGCAGGACTTAACCACCACAAATGCCAACCAGAAATTTAAATAATTGGCCCCCACCAGACACAAATTTAAAAGAACTGACACACTCTCCATCACAGGCAGACTCTGCTTGGCATGGTGCTGAGTTTTATAAAAATTCAATTAACCCAAACGTCTATTAGACGGATACATAAAGACCAGGGGGAAAAGCTATTATGCATGTTGGAATTTGTGATGTGTAATCGTGTTAATTTACTGTTTGAGAAGAAACCCCGCTATGTGTTAGTGATTATATAGTAATCAGGAAATTATACAGATATTTAGATCATAGAAATTAGTTTATGAATGGCATAAACATAATGCTACCTCAGCAACGAAATGAGATAATCAGCTAATTTCTCAAACCTGATCATATGAAGCAGACCCGGGAAGAATACTTTTCAGTGGTAAGTGGGAAAAGGTGTAGCAAATAATTGCTAAACTTCCAAAATTCTTCTTCTTCAGGGCCTACATGTGATATTCCATAATTTCGTTCATCTGTTCTGATGCAGTGAAGTGCAAAAACATCCTCCAAACCAAAATATTGTGAAAACAAAATTTCTTGAGATGACTTGGCCAAAAAAAAAAACCCCCACCAATAACAACTTTATAATTCTCACATATTACACATATTCACAAGGTACAGACTGCACCTCTCTGCTGGACATTGAGTTGCCAAAAAACTCTGCCACATCTGTCGGGGAATGTCAGTGCACTGCCCCTTCCTTGCAGAGACTTCACAGACACAGAAGCAAACCCCTAACCATCTCCACACTCTGGACTCCAAGTGAAGGGAAGGCGTTAAAATCCTGCGGGACTCACCCTTCCTCCTTCAAAGGAGGCCCAGAATCAGCAACTCCTAACCAAAGCCAAGTTCATATCACCCACAAGAAAGCAGCCGGCACATTTCCGATCTACTTGGTGAGCCAAACCCCAAAGGATTAAAAAGTTTCAGGAGGCCCCAACCCAGGACTAAACTTGGGCTTTCTCCAGTGGCAAAGCCTAAGACAAGGGAAGCTGGAGAAAGCGAAACCTCCCTCTCTGAGGATCGCTGAGAACCCACCACCCTGAAACCAACAACTGGGACCCAGAGCGCCTCTGCCTTGCTCGGGCGGCCGTCGAGCCCCGCTGCCCGCGCGCCCGGGATGCGCCCTCCTCGCCGCGGGTTCGCGCCCCCAAGGGCGAGGAACTTACCGCACCGCTTGCACAGCACCCGGCTGACCTCCTTCTTGAGGTTCCGGCCCGTCTCCAGAGGGGGGAAAGAGGCTCGGAAGGCGGCCGGCGCGCGGCTGGTGCTGTTGGCGTCGGGCTCCATGAAGAAGATGTACCTGCTGTCCTCCTTGAGCCTCCCGCAGGAGGGGAAGGCGGGGTGGCCCCAGGTCCCCAGGCGCACGGTGAGCAGCGAGTCCTTCTTCAAGCCCCCGGCTTTCACCGCCCACACCTGGTGCACCTTCACCAGATAGGGCGCCTCCTCCCCGGGCTCGCCGGCGCTGGGCACCGGGGCGGTGGGCCAAGAGGGCACGGTCCCGTTGGCGGCGAGCAGCGGCTCCTCGGCGGGCGGCCCCAGCGCCCGTGGGCCCGCGGCTGGCGGCTCGCGATCGCCGCCCCACGCCCCTGCCTCGCCCGCCGCCGCCGCCGCCTTCCTGTCGAGTGCCCCCTGCTGCCGCCGCTGCGGGTGCACCTTTCCCTCGATCACCACCGCGGCGCGCTGAGCTAGCTCCTGCACCGATCCCACGCTGGGCGGGGACGAGTAGCACACCGAGGCCCCCGCGGGAGCCGCCTCGTTGCCGGCCGCCGCCCCCGGCGCCAGGGCCGCGGTCCCCAGCAGCAGCAGTAGTGGCAGCAGCGGCAGCGGCGGCGACGAGCGGGCGGCGGAGCCGGGGCGCTGGGCCCGGGGGCCGGGACGCCCGGAGCGGCGCGGGGCGCGTCGCCATCTCATGGTGCGAGGTGCGTGCGGGCTTCTGGCTGTCGGTTCGGACTCTGCCCGGCTCTCTCGCGCTGCCTCCCTTTTCCTTCCCCTCGCAGCACCACTCCTCCTCCTCCCCCCTTGCCCTCCTCCTTTTATTTATTTATTGGGGGTGCAGGGGTAGGAGAGTTGTTTATGGGAGGAGGAGGGGGAAGAAGTGGATGGAACCACAGAAAGGCGAAGAGGTATAAGGGCAAAAAAAAAAAAGGCAAAATAGAAAAGGCAAAAAAACCGCTGCCGCCGCCTCAGTTACAGGGAGTGACAGGTCCCCCCACCCCCCGCGCCGCCGCCGCGCCCGAGCCCTGCTGTCGGGGCTGCTGTCACCGGAGGAGGACGTGGAGGTGGAGGAGCTGCTCCGCGGGTGACAGTCCTTTGTGTGAAGTGATGCTGCGGCGGCTGCTGGGGCTGCGAGCAAGCGGCTGGGAGAGAGCGCGAGGGAGAGAGCCCTGGAGGCGGAGTTGCGTGCCTGGAAATCGCTGGGTGGCCGCGGCGGCGACAGCGTCCTGCGCCTCGCCAGCCTGTTTACCTGTGGTGCCAACTCGGCCCGCGCGTCCTTTCCCCATGCTGCTGCCGGAGCGGAGCGGGACCCGCGAGTGGGTCCTCCTGGGCGTCCCCGTCCCCGCGCGCCTCCTCCCTCTCTGTCGCCCCGAGTGCTGCAATGGGAGGACGGGCGGCAAACAGGCTGCAGTCCGAGTGGGCTGCGGAGGCTTACTGGGGAGTGAGAGGTGACGCTTCAGTGAGCAAGGACCTGTAGCCGGCGCAGGATGCCCAGGCGCCGGTGGGAGGCAGGCAGAGAGGGGCAGGTGGGACCCCGGGCGTGCGGGTCCTCGGTGCAGAAAAGTTTTGGGTGAACCCGTTGCTTGACACTTAAAAGGGAGCAACATGTTCGCAGGCGACAAGCAGCGATTAAAACAACAACTTTATAACGCTCTCTCTCCTTGCAGCGCGCACACACAGTGTGCACTTCAGATGTGACGCCTCCTCTACTCCATGCTCCTTTGATCCTTCGGTCTTCATGACCCCCGCCTTTTCTTTTACTGAAATTCCTGCTTCACCATGACTTTATGACATGTGTGGTACTGCTGATAGGAGCATAGTTTGAATAAAATATTTGCTGAACGAGGCCATTTTGTACAAAGTTTATGGCACTTTGTCAACTAATGGGTTTTGCAAAAAATAAAAATAAAAAGTGAAATGAAAGAAGCTTCTATGGCTATTGGAACAAAAGATCCCAGGCATAAGGAGTTGTAGGTATTTAACCTCCACCTGGTATTGTGCCACCTGAATACCAAGCTCCCCCAACTCCACCCCCATCTGTCCCCCTACCCCCACATGTCCTGCCAAATTTAAAGAGCTATGTCTAAAACAAGAATCCATCCTCTCCCGGGATATTCCTTTCAACAAATGCCATTCCACAGAAAGGGAACACATTTTTAGCATTTCAAGGTAAATATTTTCTCTCATGTTCTTTTATAGTGAAAAATATATTCAGTGACCTCATAAAACAGTTAAAGTTGTTATTCAATGGGCGATAGATCCACACTGTGAGAACTGAAGAATTTTAAAGTACTCTAACTTCATAATATCTTTACTCTGGGATTCTACGTGTTGCCTCTAGCAGTTTCTTGAAAGTATGTCATAGAAGCTTTAGATTTTTATATAAAACATAAAAACAGATGATAAGCTACAAAGATCTTTTTGTTCTTGGCATAATATAGTTGGCTACAAAACAAGGTTCCATTCTCTCAAAGTGCAGTTTGGAGGGACAGGGTCATCACACTCCCTGTGTGTCTTGGCAAGGGGAGTTCCCTGTTACTCATACCCTGATGGAGCGCTTCAGGAGAAGATCACCATTTAGCAGCATAGTTGGGCAGGTCTGGCCTCCAGTATACGTTCACTTGAACCCTGCATGGTGCTTCTAGCGATTTACTGAAAGAAAGTGGTTCAAACATCCAATCCTACTAATTTCTTTACTTTTCTTTAGCCTGGCCTCCCATATTTCTGACTCGACTTTTTGGGAGGTACAACTCTGGCCTAGAACACTTTCTTCCTCTCTACCTTCCAGATTTGTATCAGTTATCTGTCACTATATGACAAACCACTTCAACATTTGGTGACCTGTTGGTTCATTTAGCCCAAGATTCTGCAAGTTGGCAATTTGGACTGGGTTCAGCTAGGGTGGAGTTCTTCTGTTGACCTCATTGATGGCTCTGCTGGGGGCTATCTAGTCTCCCATGGCTTCTGCTGAAACATCTCATCTCATAAAGAATGTGGTCTCTTCCTCCAGCAGACTTAACCTGGGCCTGTTCATGGCAGCTGGTTGTGTTTCAATAGAGTGGCCGGAGATGTGCGAGGTCTCTTGAGGTCTAGAATCAGAATTAGCACGTCAACATTGCCACCATTACAAGGCCAGGGGCAGAGGAGTAGACTCTACCTCTTCACATAAGGACCTGAAAAGTTGCAATGCCAAAGAGCAGAGATACAAGCAGGGGAAGAATTAGGCCATTTCTGCAAACAATCCACTGCTGAACTTAGGCATCCTTTGAGATCCGTCTGCCC
Source organism: Homo sapiens (assembly GCF_000001405.40). Classification (NCBI taxonomy): domain Eukaryota; kingdom Metazoa; phylum Chordata; class Mammalia; order Primates; family Hominidae; genus Homo; species Homo sapiens. The sequence continues at coordinate 31,637,398 of NC_000008.11, read as the reverse complement.
CATGAAGCCTCCTTTCTGACATACTAAACACTGGAGTGACCACTCCACAAAGTGCACTTTCCCTGCATTTGCAGTCTATATCATGTCTCCTCACTCTTGATCATGTTATCTTATTGAGCCCAAGTTTTTCAGGAGTTTTACTCCCATCTCTCCAACTAGATTGCAAACTTGTTAGCAGAGACGACAGTTTCTATATTCCCCAGTTTTGATCCAGTTTGGGTCAAATATTAAGTACTCAATAAATGTCGGCTAATTAATCATGGACTGATGTGGCAATGTGCTTACCACACATTAATCCAACACTATCATAGATAAATGGAATTCCAGGGGCAATAAAAACAACAATAAAATTTTAAAGCACTGGCTTAGAGTGTCATTAAAGGAATAGATATGCCCCTGTTAGTACTATACAAAGCATTTTGTCTATGATGAAGCATAAGCCTCTTCTTTAAAGTGGTATTTTTTAAAAAGACCCTGTTCCCACGTTATCTCCTACTCTTCCTCTATTAAGTGGCATTAATGAGTAATTCTTATAGACATTTTCTGTGCAAAGGTAGGCCTTCTTTAAACAGCTCAGTACTAAGAACTGTTTGCACACATATTTCATTTCAATTCTTGTATCAGAGCCTTCATTTACCCACCCACATTGGAAGGATGTTGCTGATTTTGCCCTTTTGCACGAGAAGGGAATGGCATTTCTAATATGATTAACATATGCTTAAGAAAAGGTATGAATAATTGTTCAGTATGATTAAATGCTGTTCAGAAAAGGGACAATTTAATTTGTCCACACCAATGTTTTAAAAAGACAGAAAGAAAAAGGTTCAGTCTTTTGTAAACTTCCTAAAACCAGTGGTTCTCAATTTTTAGTGAGCATCAGAATCATCTGTGCAAATGCACAGATTGCTGGCCCTGCCGCCAGATTTTCTGGTTCAGTAGATTGGGGATGGGGGTGGATACAAATTTGCATTTTTAGCAAGTTCCCAGGTGATACGGATACTACTGGTGATAGAGACTGTACTTTGAGAACTGCCAAAATCTTGAGATTTATAAGCATCAATATCCACAGCATACTAAACCTGTAAACGTGTAAGAATACTTAGGCATGACATTCAACTATTCAATATCCCCTCCATCTTGAATCTTCCCCTTCTCTGTTTCAGTAAGGGAATGTGGATTGCCTCCTGGATTACTAGGGCCTGATGCTATTTAGCAGACATTATGACCAGTTAAGGGGGCAACTATACCTGTTGATAGTAAAAATGAGTGCTTCCTTGGGGCTTAACATGTCTCCATGGTCAAAGTTGAAAATAAAAGGAAAATTAGGGGTCAGAGAAGCTGTCATCATGTTATCTGCTCAAGCAGGGAAAGAGCAGACATAAAATTATGCAGGTAAATGTGAAACACTATTTTTAGTAGTTTAGAAAATATGGGGGGGAAAAGTCCACAATTGCCTCCACAGTGCAATGGCAACCTGAAATGGTTTTCCCACCCCTAGCACTTTATTCCTGATTAAATGCTCCTAAATGGTGGTTATGAAAGGGCAACAGAAAATTCACAGAGGCACTGATACCTACTTTATCATCATTGACCAACAGCACACAGAAGTACACACCTCCAGCTATAAATCATGAAACAACCATTCTGAGGGGCCTGGAGTCCTGAATTTGCAGTCTCCGAAAGAAGCCTCACTTAACAGCCTGTCTTAGAGCAGGTGCAGGATCCATGACTATTTAGACACAGCAGACTAACAGCAAGCTGGGTTTGAGTGAAAAACAAGTTACAAGAACTGGTGAATGTGAACCGTTATAGGCCACCCAGGAGAAAAAATGTAGCAGAATGTCTCTCTCTCTGTCGAATGGTAGCGAGAAAGTTGGGGAGATTCTTAAAAAATCAGCTGCAATATGAGTCTTTAAGAACTGGGCCTAGATCCTTGAGTCACAGACTTTAGGGTCCCTGGTCACCTCCACCTACCCACCTATCCATCCATCTCTCCATCTATCCATTTCTTTAAGTGTGTGTGTGTGTGTGTGTGTGTGTGTGTGTGTATTTAAGTCAATACTATGCAGCATAAGGGGGAAATATTAAGATGAAAGGTTCCTGCCCTGAAGAAACTCACAATCTATTGTGCCACTAATTTGCACAGTTGGTATGACATGAAATCCCATAGATTTTACATATTTCAGTCCAGCTGGGATGGAGGAAAAAAAGGAATAAAACCAACAGGGTTTTCTGATTGTTTTTACGTGATTCAAAACTTCTTGGAACTTTGGGGCAGGCATGGACGATCAAACAGTCTCACTTAGGTTTGCTTTTACAGCAGCCCTTTCCAGATAACAAAGAAATAAGCATTCTTGAACTTTTACACTGGGCAATATATGTAAAGTTTAAGGATATAATTGGCTGGCATCACACTCCAATTCTGCTATTTGCCAGTCCTGAAACTCCAGGAAAATTTATGAATCATGCTGAGCCTCTTTCCTTATTTATTAAATAAGCAGAGTCCTTGCTTTATTTCACAGGATGCTTGCAAGGATTAAAATAGCTTAGTATATATGAAAATTCTTTAGAAACTCTAGTATTATGCAAAATACAATGTTACGCTAAATAAATGATACGTTGCCCCCGGGTTTCTTCCAATCCGGCAATGAAGACAACACATGTTGGAAACTGCCTCTTAAAGTTGATCATATGATATGTCTACTTAAATGCCTTTATTGCTGGATGCTCAGTACTTCCGGGGGACGCTTTTCCCATTATGAGACATATCACACTATTTGAAAGTGTTTTTCTATAACAGGCTGCAAGATACTTATTAAAGACCTGGTCATAAAATTTAAACGGTGATTCTCTGTTGTATACCATTATTATGTTACTCTTTGTTTAGACTGAGTCAGTGATTGCTGGTGTGGGGCCGACAGTCTTGTCTCTCCCCATCTATTTCCATGAATTAATGATGTTTGGAGGGTTTTTTTGTGGGTGGATATACTTGGTTTGTTGCTCTTGTCCGTGTGTGTGTGTGTGTGTGTGTGTGTGTGTGTGTGTGTGTTTTGTAAAGGAGAAAAGAGAGACTTGAGGAAGAAACAAAGGAAGAAGGATGATAAAAAAAAAAATGGAGGGTGGAATGGGATGTATTCTCCAGGCTGGCTTAGCAAAACAAGGGCTCATTCTCACACAGAGAGAGAGAGACTACAAGTAAAAGCTGAAGTTCAGGCCAGGCACGGTGGCTCACGCCTGTAATACCAGCACTTTGAGAGGCCGAGGTGGGCAGATCACGAGGTCAGGAATTCAAGACCAGCCTGACCAACATGGTGAAACCTCATCTCTACTAAAAATACAAAAATTAGCCGGGTGTGGTGGGCGCCTGTAATCCCAGCTACTCAGGAGTCTGAGACAGGAGAATTGCTTCAACCCAGGAGGCGGAGGTTGCAGTGAGCTGAGATCGTGCCACCGCACTGCAGCCTGAGTGACAGAGCAAGTCTCCATCTCAGGGAAAAAAAAAGAAATGCTGAAGTTCAGACCACTTTTATGAAGAGCATTGTGAAACTTAAAGGCACAACCATGCCCGGTGCTTTCAAACTCAGGTGAAAAAGTCCATGCAAAGAAAAAGAGCTTTTCCCAGTTCTGGGAGGAAGGAAAATTGTAGATGTGTCTGAAGAAACTAAGGGGGAACAACACAGCAGTGGGAATGTCACTGCACTTTTCAGAGAAGTAGGGGATCTGCGTTCTCATGGCAGCACCCCTTAAGGAAAAGAACAGAAAAAGAGTGACAGATTTAGTTCACACTAGGGCACACCTGAGGAGAAATGGTGGGGGAAGGTGAATGTGAAGCTAAGACTCTGCAGTTACAACTTGTAAGCTAACAAACTGGAAAATATAAGAAGTGAAGTTAGTATGACCTCCTTGGGACCCTCTTGGGAACACTGAGATGATGAATATTAGTACTATTAACATTATAATTAACTAATAATATGACAATGCTGTGAGTTAGAGAAAGGATTGTTATCACCATTTTGCAAATGATCAAATCCACTTGTTGAAATCAAATTCTATTTTTATTTTATCCCTCCTCTTTGAGCACAAGTTTCTTTATTATGCCTTAGTAGTGAGGTGCTATCTATAGATAACATATAAACCATCCAACAGAAATATGCCACTTAAGATCCTAAATACATTATACAGAAGTTACACCTTTTCCCCAAAAAATTGGCTTGGAAATTTCATTGTACACTGGCATTTAGCAGTAAGAAACATGCATTTTATTTATTTCTAAGAACACATTATTTCTAAGAACAGCTTATTGTTGCTATTACAAATATGACAAATTGGAATAAAGAAGAGGTTTGATGGTTAAGCTTGTTTTGAGTTTTATTTTTCTCAATGATGAAACAGCATTTTTGCTTTCTTTCCATTTGTTCTAAAAGTATTCACTGAAGATTCCTAAATCTCTCTAAGGAATTTTCCATAGGGATGAATAAACCCAAGAAGAAACTTTTGAAAAACTTGTAGGAAATTAAATGGTCATATTTATGATAGAATTTTTTTCTAAACATTTATTATTATTATTATTATTATACTTTAAGTTTTAGGGTACATGTGCACAATGTGCAGGTTAGTTTCATATGTATACATGTGCCATGCTGGTGTGCTGCACCCATTAGCTCATCATTTAGCATTACGTATATCTCCTAATGCTATCCCTCCCCCCTCCCCCTACCCCACAACAGTCCCCAGAGTGTGATGTTCCCCTTCCTGTGTCCATGTGTTCTCATTGTTCAATTCCCACCTATGAGTGAGAACATACGGTGTTTGGTTTTTTGTCCTTGTGATAGTTTACTGAGAATGATGATTTCCAATTTCATCCATGTCCCTACAAAGGACATGAACTCATCCTTTTTTATGGCTGCATAGTATTCCATGGTGTATATGTGCCACATTTTCTTAATCCAGTCTATCATTGTTGGACATTTGGGTTGGTTCCAAGTCTTTGCTATTGTGAATAGTGCCGCAATAAACATACGTGTCTTTGACAAACCTGAGAAAAACAAGCAATGGGGAAAGGATTCCCTATTTAATAAATGGTGCTGGGAAAACTGGCTAGCCATATATAGAAAGCTGAAACTGGATCCCTTCCTTACACCTTATACAAAAATTAATTCAAGATGGATTAAAGACTTAAATGTTAGACCTAAAACCATAAAAACCCTAGAAGGAAACCTAGGCATTACCATTCAGGACATAGGCATGGGCAAGGACTTCATGTCTAAAACACCAAAAGCAATGGCAACAAAAACCAAAATTGACAAATGGGATCTAATTAAACTAAAGAGCTTCTGCACATCTGCACAGCAAAAGAAACTACCATCAGAGTGAACAGGCAACCTACAGAATGGGAGAAAATTTTTGCAACCTACTCATCTGACAAAGGGCTAATATCCAGAATCTACAATCAACTTAAACAAATTTACAAGAAAAAAACAAACAACCCCATCAAAAAGTGGGTGAAGGATATGAACAGACACTTCTCAAAAGAAGACATTTATGCAGCCAAAAGACACATGAAAAAATGCTCACCATCACTGGCCATCAGAGAAATCCAAATCAAAACCACAATGAGATACCATCTCACACCAGTTAGAATGGCAATCATTAAAAAGTCAGGAAACAACAGGTGCTGGAGAGGATGTGGAGAAATAGGAACACTTTTACACTGTTGGTGGGACTGTAAACTAGTTCAACCATTGTGGAAGTCAGCGTGGCGATTCCTCAGGGATCTAGAACTAGACATACCATTTGACCCAGCCATCCCATTACTGGGTATATACCCAAAGGACTATAAATCATGCTGCTATAAAGATACATGCACATGTATGTTTTCTAAACATTTAAAGTAACACACACCACTGCTGAGTAAAGAAAGCATATCATGAATCATGAGTGTCAAAGGTTGAATCCTAAAGCTTGATTTTTGACAATTTGACAATTTTCTCATTATTTTGCCATGGAAGCCTTCATCGTCATCCTTCTCTTGAAAATGTTGGGCTATATAGATGGCACTTCCAGTCAGACCAAGAGAAAATAAATAGACTTTTAGAACTGAAGTGGCATTCAACCTACCTTACTTTGCCCATCTGACTCCATAAAAATAAAACTCCTCCAGTTTTGTCACTTTTGTTTTCCTTTGGTTTTATAGATTCTTCTACTTTAGCACAGTCCACACATCTGAATAGTAGGATGCTTTGAAGTCCTTAACATACACGTCAGTCCACGAAAGTCGTAATTACTATACTTTATGCCAACTTCTATTCCGAAGTTTTCAGTGAAGGCTTCAGTGTGGAGGAGAGTTTATTACTAGGTCAAGGAGGGCACTGAAGTGTAGAGGCCTGCAAAACAAAGACATGTAATAAAAGAGATCAAAACAAGAGAGGTAATCAACTTCTTGCCCTACTGGTAAGTTTCACACCAGTTTTTTCTGTATTTACTGATGAAAGAGTGGTATAAATAAATATTTTAACATCCACTCCTAACCCAGTATGCCATGTTAGAATGTCATAAACTTCCCCATTAGGTTATGCTTTGAACCATAGAGAAATACATCAAATGTTAGACCAGGAAAGAATCCTAGATATCTAGTCCAAACCCCTTAATTTCATATGTGATAAAAAGGTTCCGGAAAGTTGATTGCCCTTCCCAGGGTCATGAAGAGGATTGTTGTCAGAAGGAGGTTTAGGACTCAGGTACTGGCTCTCTCATTTCTGCACTTTGCCTAGGAGCCACAATAGCACAACTAAAAACCCTGTGTTAAGCCTTCCTAAGAAGCTGTAGGCCTAGACTCTCTTTCTTCCAAAAACTGTTTCTGGAAGTGATAGGATACATAATCTCAGCATCTTAGAAATGTTGAGTTCTCAGCAGCTAGAATGCTAAATTCTTCATATATAAGATAATACCACATTATTCTGGGGTAAGAGGTGCCACAAAGCCAGCATTCGAAAGCTGTTCCCAAAATACAACAAGCAATAGCCTTCTAATTGTTCCTGTTTATTGAGGGTGTCATTTTTCTATAGCTATGACTTCCCTTGGCCCAAATTGGGATATGAAAGAGTTAAAGGCTTTTTCCTCATATTTTACAGAATGCATCAGAAGAGATTTGTTCCAGAATTCAAGGACAACTCTACAAATGACCCACCAATATTATCAGATATAAATACAAATAGATACAGACGTTGTTAGATAATATAGATACAGATGTTATAGATACATATATAGATATCTCCTAAGGCTTAAAGTCTAAATGAAATTATGATGTCTGCTCCAAATAATATTAAAGAAATCTATTAAGCTGTCTATTTTATTGCAAAGAACATGTCTCTGGGTGATAAGACCAAAAAAGATATTATAATAAATATTACAAACAGCTGAAACTCTGAAATGATACTACCGTGCCCTTTCATTCCAGGTCCTAAAGATACACCTTCCATTTATGGTTGGCCTTCCAGGAGCATTGGAACATATGAGTCTGAAGTCTTATCCAATGTTTTCAGGTCACATTAATCCTTCTCCTTGTAATCTTGTCTTTAAACTTAGTCACAGTCTAAATTAAATTCTGTATTAGAGGAAATACCTTATATTATGAGAAGCAGCATAGCATGAGTTCCTGGGCTCAAATTCCAGCCTCAACTCTTACTAGCTACATAATCTTAGGCAAATTACTTAACCTTTTTGCAATACAGTTTTATTCATTATTAAACAATTATAAAAGCAACTACCTTTTGGATTAATTACATTAGATTTGTGTGCATAACACACTTAAAATAGTTCCTAGCACATACTAGCAGGTATAAATTACTGTTATTTTCCTCTTCTCCTTGAGCGCAGTGACAACAGCCTTAGCATTAGGTTTTTTTCTATGTGTAAGACAGAGGCAATTAATAAATGTTTGAATAAATGAAGCAACAAATGAAGACCATATTAAAGACTTATTAAATCTCACACACACAAATTTTAGTACTAGTAATAAGTCATTCCCGATAGACTGAGCCCCAAACATTGATTTTATTCACAGAAGAAATCTTCCAACTCCTTAACCTTGTGCGCTGGGCACACCATCCCCAAAGAGACTCTTTACCCGTCAGCTAAATAACTTTACTGCATAATCTCTCTCAGTATAATCAATTGACTGAACAGTCTGAACTTAGCAGGAAATGGCTTTACTTCTCTCCAATCACTGCTTTTAAGCATGCTTTGTTGGATATGCATCTCTCAGTCCTTGTCTCAGGCAGATCCCATAGCTGCCCCATTCTCTCAGGTATACAAAGAAGCCCCATTCCATCAATGATGGCACCCATGCAGGGATTAAAGGTATCTGGTCCAGTCTAAATCAAAATTTAATTTCATATCCAATTCAAAGCTTCTCTTCTACTCCCCTAACTCAGGGCTGCAGTGGTGGAGAAGAAACTGGACTGTTCCTTCTCTTTTCCTTCCTATCCTTACCCCACTCTTCTGGTTTCTCTAAGGTCAGAACAGAGGAAGAGAAGACTAAAGGAAAGGTGCATGTTTTGTTGTTGGCTTCAATTACTCTGCATTTTAGCCCTCCCTTGGTTAATACTGGCTGGCCATCAGTGACCTCTGGGTTGGTCAGACATCCAAATCCTAGCACTTCAGTGGGGTACACAGGAAGTTTCTTTAGAAGCTTGGCAAGCACACGCTTGTGCTCGCCTCTTGACATTCTCCCTTACCTATTCTTAATGATATATCTCCTCCCATCCCAACCTACTACTAGGGTGTTCTCTTGCCTTAGCAAGCCACCTTTGAAGCAAGAAACTTTTAAGGGAGCTTTTACCTTTCACAGCATCCTCTTCATCTGTGGGAAAGTCACACATCCTTTCCATGCCACAGGATTAAAAAAAGTAGGCTACTCTCGGACACCCCCTCATTTTGCTGTCGTTATGGCTGTTCCAGCTGCCCCCTTGCCTTCAGAATTCCCCAGATAAGCAGTAAGCGCCAGTCTCTGAATTTGCGGAGGAGTAATCATCAAGGAGCACTGTGCACTCGCTCAGGATCAGTTTCACTCCCGATTCTGTACTCCCTGGCAGCCCCAGGAAAGGCAAAGGGCTTCTGTACTTCCAAAAGTCTCCAGCTGGGGACAAGAAGGCCAGTTTCCTCTTATTCTATGTTCCCTCACTGTCTCCTAGTAGTATCCTTGCAGCCAACTCCTTGGTTGGCTTAAAGGACGTGTTAGAAGAGCCTCCTCTCACCTCTGCTTCCTTTACCTGAGGTGGCGGTGGGTGGAGGATGTTGCCACAGCCCTCCCCAGCAATCCAAGGGGTCATTACCTCTATGAATCCCTTCAACTCCACCTCAATTTCTTCCCACTGTATAGGCTGGGGTGAGTCACAAGTAAGGGAGTGAAAGGGTGAAGATCCTGGGACAAACCTGGCCACACGTGAGTCCACAAAGTACCCTACTGCTTATATAATCTTTGTGCCAGGCATGGAATTAGGACAACATCACAAAATCAGTGAGAAAACCAAGTAAAATGTTCTGTGTAATAGGAGCCAGACACAGTGGTGCACACCTGTGGTCCCAGCTACTCAGGAGGCTGAGGTGGGAGGATCCCTTGAGCCTTAAGAGCTTGAGGCTGCAGTGAGCTATGATTGTGCTAAGGCACTGCAGCCTGGGCAACCGAGTGACGCCATTTCAGAAGAAAGAAGAAGAGGAGGAGGAGGAGGAGGAGGAAGGGGAAGGGGAAGAAGAAGAGGAGGAGGAAGGAAAAGAAGTTGTAGGAGGGGGAGGAGGAGGAGAATAAGGAGGAGAAGGAGAAAAAGAAGGAGGGGGAGGGGAGAAGGAGAAAAAGGAGAAGAAGAAAAAGAGAAGAAAGAAAAAGAAATGTTCTATGAAATAAAAGAGGAGGAGGACAATTCTTCATAGCAGTCAGTAAAACAATATGAAAGATGAGCCAAAAACTCATTCTGGTAAATAGGATTGAACGTATCTGTATACCTCCCTTTTATCTATGAAAAAATTCAGTCTCCCAAAGGAAATATTGAGGAAAATACCAAAGCATTAAGTTATAATATCTATCCTGATATTAAAGATGAAGATAAAATGCAAAACTGGTTGAGACTGAACTTCACAGACTGAGCATCCTTTTCTGTGTTGTTATGAGCATCCAATTATGTGCACTGTTGTTCTGGAATTTTAGAAAATGGTCAATTCTTTAAATAGATATTTTTCTCTTCGTTAAATTAATATATAATTCTTGGGTTTCTTCATCTACTCCAAGGCAAAAGTTCTTAATTATTAAGCATATTAACTTAAGAGTTTATATTCTTACCATTTAAACTTCATTTTTCTCTAATGAATTGTGAAATTTCATAACATTCATTGATACTAGTTTTTGTGAGGTTGACAAGATACCAAAATGATGTACAGACAGCTTTTGATTTATACGAGCTCAACATATGTGTGCATGCATCCAACTCAGAAGATATACATATATATGTAAATAAAATATCTTGAGCCAGAACTAGAATATTATGTGACCGAAGAAATCTCCTTCCTTCCCTCTCTCCTCTTGAGATTCCACTCTACCTGTCTCTTCAACCTATTACTGCCTAGAAATGCTCCTAACTACATGTTTATTCTCTTCTAGCCCAAGAAATAAATCAAATCAGATTCAGAATGGGGTCTGGATACCACAGTATTTTCTGCCAAGAGGTACTGGAAGAAGAATTGTAAATCTTCACTGCTATAAGCTGTACCTTTCCCAATAGTAATACTCTCCTGCCCTTAAAGAGCATCTCTACTCCTGATCCCACCTATCATCAGTCCTTTTTAATTTCCATTACAAAATAAGGTCACAAGTATTCCTGACTGCCCTATATGAAGGCATATTTGAATTTTTCCATAGAAAAATTAGTTCAGTGCTGTTGTGGCAACCAGAGATGAATGAGTCATTAGAGGGTTGGCATTGTAGACCCAAACACCTGCAAGTGTTTCCACAGGAAATCACGTCCAGAATTCCAAACAAAGAACATGAAACACTAAAAGGTACCTTAAATCCTTTATAAATAACATAAAATCAAAGAAGAAAAAGCTCCTTAAAAAGTTCAACCTTTCTGAATGAGTAATATTGCCATAGTGCCTCATCTAGAAGTATTTTCAGAATTTCCCATTTTATATAAAGCAGCAAACTTCCCCTTGAAATTAATTATGGGTCCAAAACAAGAATAAGATCTTCCTTTGTGATCCAATAAATGAATCTGCTCTGAACTTAGCTGTTCTTATCATCTTTACTTTTCCCACTATCTTAGTCCATTCAGGCCGCTGTAACAAAATATCTTAGACTGGGTAACTTTTAAATAACAGAAAATTATTTCTCACAGTTCTGGAGTCTGGGAAGTCTGAGATCTAAGATCCAGGTGCCACCAGGTTTGATGTCTGCTGAGGGCCTGTTCTCTTCTCCAAAGATGGAACTTTCCATGGGTCCTCACATGGTAGGAGGGGCAAACAGGCTCCTTCAAGCCCCTTTATAAAGTTACTAATCACATTCATGAGAGCTTTAGCATCATGACCTAATCATCTTCCAAAGGCCCCACCTTTTACTACCATGACCTTGGGGGTTATGTCTTAACATATGAATTTGGGGGGGCACACATACATTCAGACCATATCACTCACGTACCTAATGGTGCATTTTTTTTTCTGTTAATATTTCTGCTTCAAACATGAAAATTCTGCTAACAAGCTAGCTGATGGTGGAACCACTCTCCTCTTGTCTCTATCCCCAACGTAACAAAATTTAGTTACTCTCCACGTTTCTAAGGGCGAATATTACCTGGATATTCTCACTTGTCTATCATTCACCAGGAGGTCGGCTATGTCAGATGTAAGCCATGCTTGAAACTACCCTAGAGCAAAGAGCTTATGAGATCCACGATCTCATCACATATTTGGGAGGTTCTCAAGGTTTACACCAGAGTGAATAGAAATTTCTAGGGGTTGAAAATTCTAGAACTGAGGACAATTTTTTTTAAATGTTTGTTTCTTATCAAAGTGATACATGCACATAGTTCAAGAGTAAGCTACTTCTATGACTTGTTAATACAAACAGGAATCTCAAGACACCCCCATTTTCCATTTCTCCTTCCACAAAGTAATCAGTTTCAACTCTTAGCTGAGTCTTGGTATTTACCCCAAAAACATGATCATACTGCTATTTCTAGATTTCTTTTCAGTTTTAGGTGTTATGTATTAACTACACAAGGTAAGAGTTTAGTTCTTTTTGCTCTCCAAGTAAATGTTCACTCCCCATACCCCATTCCTTCCTAGTATAGAGTTAAATCAAAATTTTGATTATTCAGTATTTTATCAAATCTATGTATATAATTCAAAAATGAACCATAATATAAATTATGATTAAAATTCTTCCCTGCTCAATATCCTACTTACCCTGGAGCTAACAATTGTTTCTGGTTTTCCCCTATTTGCTTAACTTTTTATGTACTTATCCCTAAGTCAGCTTCAAGTTCTTCCCTATATCGCTAAATACCTTCTCAATACATTTCTTTACCTTAACTATTCTATCAACTTTGTGTTTTTGAAGACATCTCTCTCTCTGAAATTATAACCTGATTTACACTCCAGTGATTCCCCTTTATGTCTGATAATTCTCATTCAAAGATTTCCTTTCACCATCAAACAAAGGGAGCTTGCTTGTCTCCTGAGTTGGATCTCCTGTTTCCTCGATCCAATCTCTCCCTTTTTCTTGGTTCACTAACTTGTTTTAATAAAGTGTATCCTCAGTAGCTTCCCAAGGAAGGGTACATGGGAGTAAACGTTTTGAGACTTTCCTTGGATTTTATTGACTGTTTGGCTGAGTATAGATTTCTAGGTTGGAAATTATTTTCCCTTTGAATGTAGAAGATATTGCTCCATTGTTTTATAGTTTTCAATGTTACTTTTATGAACTCTGAAGCTGGTCTAATTTATTTTCCTTTTAAATAACATGGTTTTCCCCTCCCCTGGAAGCTTATGTGATCTTCTCTTTATCCCCAGTACTCTGAAATATCATGATGAGCCTTGGTAGTAGATCAATTTTTAATGACTTTGCAGCATCCTTTCATTCCAGAAAATCACATCTTTCTGTTTTGGAGAATAATCTTAAATTATTTTTGCTAATGAATTCCTCCCCTTCACTTCTCTGGAATGTCTTTCTGAAACTCCTGGACTTTGAGCTGGTCTTCTGATTTTCTTATTTTTTCTTAGCTTCCATTTCTGTTTTTTGTTTTATTTTGCTTTGAGTTCTGGTTTTGCAGTAGTCACAGGAAGAAATTCCTTTATCTCTCAAGTCTTTTTTTGAGCATTTTATTTCTTTTTCTACTTTATTTAAATTTCCAAGGTTTTTTTGAATATTCATTTTGAAGCATCCTGTTCTTTATAAGTATATAATTTTTTTCTTCTGTTTCTGGAGATATTAATGAGAGTTTTTGAAAAGTATTCTTTCCACCAAATTGGATTTTTCTTTTTTAGTTGTTATATCTCATTTAGGAATTTCATCAGCTATCTAGCAATTCTTGGTTGTCTTCTCATATTTAGGAAAGGGAGCTAAAAAGTTGACGGAAGCTATAAGTCCAAGGGCGCAGCTTTTGTACCAAGAGTTTCACAGTCAAGAGAACTGGGTGGGCTGTTCGTCTGGAACCTTCAATGTCAGTTTCTTTAGATGTTTTCCTCTTGGGCTGGTCAGATTCCATAGAGTATTCAATCTCCTGCCCAGAAGGAAAAGTCTGCCTACTATTGTTTCTCAAGTCCATGAGGGAAGTAGGCTACAAGCCTCAGCATTCATTGTGCACATATTCTCTGAGCACCTTATTTTCAGTATAAGCTATTCTCAATTTTGCCAGGCATCCCCAGTCCAGAGACTCTCTGTTTTACTCAACCCAGGAATAAACTTCCAGTTCTATGTCTGGACAGAGAAGGGCAGTGCATAGGATCATAGAGCAGGTGAGGGGGAATCTAGGCATCTAATGCTTCTAAATCAGATTGCAAACAGTTCTTATTTACCTTCATCCTTTCATTCCCACTTCCAAGAGTAGTCAGTGCTGATAATTCCTGAGCCTTTTGCAACATCAGCTGAGTTGATTCTTGACTTTACTCATTCCCAGTTGAAGATTTGGTATTCTCAGGTAATTTACTACTTTTCAATCTGATTCAAGTGTTCAAAATTTTATTGTTGTCATTTCCCTATTCTTGTTTGTTAAAGGTTTGTGGCTTTTAAAAAATTCCTTTATTTAGATTCGATTATCAGGAGTAAACAAAATTAGATTTATGCCATCTTAATCTGGAATTTAACCTAGGGTTTAAGAATGGATGCTCACTTGCTCCACAGCTGGAAAATCTATAGACCTGTCTGCTAGTGCTAATTTGTTCAACCTTATTAAGGCATAATTGAAGTACTTGAAAATGTATGTATTTAAGGCATGCAACCTGACATGTATACAAATGTCATCATGATAAAAACAGAAAACATGTCCATCACTCTTAAAAGTTTCTTTGTGCCTATCTATAAGCCATGCATTCCCGCAGCTCTTCCCCGAGCAATCACTCATCCTCTTTCTATCCCTATACATAAATTTACATTTAACAATATTAAAATGAAATCATGCAATATGTACCCTGGTTTTACCTGGCTTTATTTACTCAGCATAATTATTTTGATACTTGTACGTGTTGTTCCACATATCAACAGCTCATTTCTTTTTATTGCTGAGTAGTATTCCATTGCATGGATATATCACAAGTTCTTTATTCATACATCCACTGATGGACATTTGGGTTGTTTGCAGCTTGGGGATATTATAAGTAAAACTCTATAAACATGTGTATACTATCTTTAGGTCAACATATGTTTTTGTTTCCATTGAGTAAATGCCTAGAAGTGGAATGACTGGGCCATAGGGTATGTATAAAACTTTTAAAGAAACTGCCAAAAGTGTTTTCCAATGTGGTTGTACAATTTTACAATCAAACTAGTTTATGAAAGTTCTATTTCCTCCAGATCCTTGCCAACATTTGGAATGGTCATTTTTTACCATTTGTAGCCATTTTAATATGTATGTATATAGAGATATTTTATTGTGATCATAATTAATATTTCCCTAGTGACTTTTTAATGTGCTTATTTGCCATCCATATATCTTTTCTGGAGAAGTCTATTCATACCTTTTGCCTATTTTTTTATTTAGTGTTTGTCTTATTAATGAGTCATGACTGTATTTTTGCCTGTGCTACATATAAGTTACTTTCTTCATATACGTGTTGTGAATCATTTCTCCCAGTCTGTGGCTTGATTTTATATCTTATTAGTGGTGTCTTTAAAAATCAAATGTTTTTTATTTTGATGAAATCCAATTTGTCAATTGTTTTCTTTATGTTTCATGCACTTTTTTCTTCCAAAATATTTCCCCTATCTCTAGTTTGTGAAGATATTTTTCTATATTTTCTTCTAGAAGATTTACAATCTCAGATTTTGCATTTAAGTCTATGATTCATTTTAATTTAATTTTTGAGTGTAGGGTGATGTAAGGATACATGTTAATTTTGTTTCCACACAAGTATTTAGTTGACCTTGGACCTTTTTTTGAAGACTTTTATTTCTCCCATTATATTACCTTAGCACTTTTGTCAAAAATTCATTGACCAAGTACCTGTGGCTCTATTTCTGGACTCTGTTCTGATCTAAACTATATGTGTGTGCTTTCACCAAAACCATACTGTCTTTGTTACTGTAACTTTGTTGTAAGTATTAAAATCAAGTAAGGTAAGTCTTCCAATTCCATTCTTATTTTTAAAAATTTCCTTGGTAATGTAGTTTCATATAAACTTTATAATCACTTCTCAATTTCTACAAAACTGAGTGCTGAAATTTTTATTCGGATCATACTGACTCTATGACCAACTGGGGGAGAATTGTCATCTTATCAATATTGAGTGTTCTAATCCACGAACCTTTTTTGGCCCTCTTTATTTTTCTCTCAGCAATGCTTTATTGTTTTCAATGTAGTGATCTTGAACTTTTTTGGTTAAATTTATTCATAAATATTTCATATTTTTGGTGCTCCTGTAAAT
The DNA here is from genome assembly GCF_000001405.40 of Homo sapiens. Lineage (NCBI taxonomy): Eukaryota > Metazoa > Chordata > Mammalia > Primates > Hominidae > Homo > Homo sapiens. The sequence goes on along the minus strand of NC_000008.11, from coordinate 31,621,273 downwards.
AGGATTTTATATCATCTCACTTTTCACTTGTTGCTGCTGTTACACAAGGAACCAGTTGATTCTTTTATATTAACTCTGTTTCCTGTGCCCTTACTGAATGTATTTGTTAGTTCATGTAGATGATTTGGAGACTTGCATATTTCCTTTGGGAACAGTCTATAGCAGGGAACACTTTCACTTCTTTTGTAATCTTTATAATTTTTGTTGTTGTTGTTGTTATTTATTGTAATGACTAAGACCCTCAGAACAACTATTCATGAATGAAACCACCATTCAACCTACTTCATCCCCATCCTTTCTTATCCCTTTGAAAAGAAGCAGCATTGTTTGGAAGAAAGACCTTGGCTTTGGAACAGATGGACTAGGATTCTAATTCAAGCTCTGCCTCCTATGGTGGCTGTGTGATTCTAGCTGTGTGACCTTTGATCAGGTACTGAAAACCAGGAGCCCTTCCCTCATCATTAAAATAGAAGTATTATCTGTTTCATAGACAGATACAAGGATTAAATGAAATAAATCACCTAACACATAATGGATAGGAATAACTGCTCATTCCCCCTCCACCTTTATGAATAACCCCTCTCAAAGGCCAAGTCACACACTTAGTGCTGCATACTAGACTTCATTAAAAAATCACTGAAAAGAAAAGTTCAGTTTTTAAACATGGCCATTGTTTGAACTCTGCATGTTTTCTTTCAGCTAGTTTCTGTTTTCAGTTTCCTTAGATCTGGTTCCGATCTTAAAATAATTGATAGTCACATGGATACATAGTCAGCTTATGCATTTTTTTTAAATTTGTGCATTTTTGTCAATTGAAGCTAACAAATATTTTAAGGATATATATTATTTGTCAATTTAATGAGCTTCAAAAATATTTATAAACATACCTTATTATTTATCCAAAATAATGTTATCTAACTTAGTCACCAACTTTTAATACTGGGCAACTTTCGGCTATTCTCAAAACTGGAATTGATCCTCAAAGAGTCAATATTTACTTTTCTAGATTGCATTCTAACAAATATGATAAGCAACATAGTTAGGGAGAAGAACAATGAAAAGTCAGAAGAACTTGCTTCAAAATTTGAGGTGTTATTACCAACTACATGACCTGAGGAAAGTAATACAACCTAGCTGAACCTGTTTTTCTTCTACCAAATAATTTTGCAGGTATCTGTCTTATTAACTTTTAGAGACGTTATACATACATGTTCCATGTAACAAAATATAAAAACCCTAGATTAGTCTAGAAATACAAAGTAGAGGGAGAATAGACCCTGAGTCTCCCTAGTGAACAAAATGAAAAAATATATAGTGTTAGTGAAAGCATTTAAAAATTTTTAAGTGATATACATTACTGGACTCCTCATGCCTCCAGTAATGATGACCACACTAGAATCATGGTGTGATATAGAATCCAACCTTTAGTAACCTTATGATTAATTATGGGAGTAGGCAATAAAACAGCTCCAACCCAACCTGCAAAGGAAAGTTTCTAAAACATTAATAAAGGCTAAGTTTTGCAATTCATTGCAATAGCTTTCAAAATTCCCTTCCAGTTCAACAATCCACTCTGCCACTCCATCCCCTGTGAAGCTCCTTAAAAACTCATATAGTTTGTTAGGAGCCCTCTGGGGGCTAAGTCCGAAAATGTTGCTTTCCCACCAGACTTCAGAGTTATCTGGTGGCCTTGTGGGCCCCTAAAGCATGCAGTGCTGGCCAAGGAGCATGTGAAGCCCTCCTCTGGGGTCAGAATGCAGGGTTCTTTACTAATTACTATCAGAGTGTCCTCTGTATTATCCTGTATTCATACTAAAAAAAAAATTAAAGGAAAGGTAAAGAATTCTAACCATAATCTTTCCATTAGCACAAAGCCAAACTATAAAACATGTTAAGAAGTACAGGATACTAAATGTTAGAGAGCGGAATAAACTAAAATAAGACAATATTCTGGAATACTGAAATGAGAGAGGATTGCAGGCCAAACAATGAAGTCACTTTAAGAGATTCCCTGCCGTCCTCAAGTATATTTACCCAATTTTAAGTTCTATTCAATACCTTGAAAACACACAGCACAGTACATGCGTCTACATTTAGTACACAGCCTAACTACATTTCCCAGCCTTCCTTATAGTCAGGTATAGCACTATCACTGAGTTTCAAGCCAATGGAATGTAAGCAGAAGTTATGTGCATCACTTCCAGGCCTGGCCCGCTGGCATCCTTCTGACTGTATGGAAGAAGATAACCCCTGAATACCTTGTGCCGAAGAAGATGGAGTGTCCATCAGTCTCCCACTCCATGGAAGAGGACCACTCTACTGGTCTATCTACCCATCTGATACCATCATGGGAGCAAGAAAGAAGTTTCTACTACATATGAGAGTTCATACATTTAGGGAATTAGATTCCTCTAAACCATAGACTCTAAAAGCAGTTCCTGGGAAAAAACTTAGAACATGTGTTGAAAAAATTTCAAGTCATGCTGGCATCACTGAAGTTCTTGGGGGGAAGTAGAGTGGTAGTTATGAGTATGAGCTTTGCAATCAGATAGGCCTGAATAAGAGCCTGTGTTCACCATCCTGTAGATATATGGTATTGATCAAGTTTCTGTAAGTGTCAGTTTTTTTTTTTCTTTAGACAGTCTTGCTGTCTCCCTAGCTGGAGTGCAGTAACGCAATCTTGGCTCACTGCAACCTCTGCCTCCTGGGTTCAAGTGATTCTCCTGTATATAGCCAGTATATGATAGAAGCAAGTTTCAAGCCAATGCATCTGTCTCTTGGACTGTGTATTAACCTCCCAAGTAGCTGGGATTATAGGCGCAAACCACTACACCCAGCTAATTTTTGTATTTTTAGTAGAAATGGCATTTCACCATGTTGGCCAGGCTGGTCTCAAACTCCTTACCTCAGGTGATCCACCCACCTCGGCAATCCAAAGTGCTGTGATTACGGGCATGACACCACACCCGGCCTCAGCTTTTTTTTTCTAAGTGTACAATATTGGGATATTACTGCAATAGAATCTATTTCATAATATTGCTCTTTGTCACAGTGCCTGGCTGATACTAAGTGCTCAAAAAAAGTTAGCTTTCAGAACTGAGTATATATCTCCCCAGATAACTTTTAAAAATTAAATTGCCATAATCTTAGTGCTGTTCCTGAAGTATTTCTGGTTTTCCTTCCAGGAAGAGGGCAGGATTACATTTTCCTTCCCACTCAGAGTTATATGTACCTACATGATTTATTTTGACCAATGAAATGCGAGTAGAAATGGCATGTTTCATTTCCAGGTAGAAGTTTTAAGAGTCAGCATGCATTTCAAATGCTATATTTTTCTCCACCACAGCAGAGGCAATGTTCCAGCTACTGGCTGCTCTGTCAGGTTGAGTCCTAAAGTGAGGAAAACACCAGTCAACACATGATATACATGTGGCATGGCCAAGAAATAAATCCTTGTTGTTTGAAGCAACTAGAGATTTGGAGTATATTTGTTACTAGCCCACCTGACCTAAACAGGAACAAATATTCATACAGGTAAGTTCATTTGAAAACAAGTTTTGTTATTTTATAGCAGCCTCTAATAATAATGGCTGACGAGTGTTGAGCTCTCACCATATTCCAAGAACTTCTATAAGCTTTACATGTGTTAACTCATCCATTTTCACAATAACTCAGTGAGATAACCTGCAGTATCTTTATCCCCGCTTCATAGGGACAGAAAGGTTAAGTAACTTGCCCAAGCCTACATAACCAGTATATGATAGAAGCAAGTTTCAAGCCAATGCATCTGTCTGTTGGACTGTGCTATTAACCTTCATTACATTACCTACCGTAGTGGATGCTGTAGTGTACCTGCTAGATCCCAGCTTCAGGACTGAGGCTGAAGCTCTCGTTTCCTCTTTTTTTTTTTTTTTTTTTTTTTTTTTGAGATGGAGTTTCACTCTTGGAGACTGAGGCTCTCATTTCATCAGCTATCAGAAACATTGGTTGCCAGTGGTTCAGAGCTTAGTCTTTCCTTGGAAATCACCCTCAGGCAAAAAGTGCCGCCTCACCCAAAGTTAGACCCCCTTCCTGTGGGATTGGTAGGGATTCTGTTGCAACTGCATCACAGTTCAACTTCTCCCTCTGCCCATCCCTGCTTTCCTCACTCAAGTTCTCAAAAGTATTCCTCAATAAACTTTCCTCATGTAAATCTCAGGGTCTCAGAGTATATTTCCAAAGAGCCCAGAACAACAATACCTCCCTAGATATTCCTACATGTGTACTGAAACATACACAGACTATATATGAACTCAGTTTGCAATTAATTGACAAATGACAGTCATAGACCACGGAGTTGAGAGAATGTGAAGATCGCTGGGCTGTCTGGAGAAGGTTTGGAATGATAAGCCTCTCACAAGTTAATGGAGATACAGAATCTTCTACTTTCTCAGTTGAATTCAGTGTAGTTCATTTCTCATAAATGTCATCTGTGGTTGTCTAAATCCAGAAAAAAAGTCAAAGAAAGAACCACATATTTTGTATATAACAAATGATAGCTGGTCTTTATTATGACATACATTCATTCTTGTAAGTAGAAATGGGAACTCTCCATCTCTTTCATGAAGACAGATGTCTCAAGAGACTGGAAGCCATGTATCTTTATTTTACCAAATATCATATATCTCTTTTTTAGTTATACATAAAAAAGCTATTGAAAACTGATGCCTTAAATTGATTTCTAAGAAATGATAAGCAGAACCCAAAATTTAATTCATAACCCATCAGCTGTCTCTTGGACATCTTAGGTAACTTGACACCTACTTCTAATAAAATTTAAAATCACGCAAGTTCTAGTTCTAATGCATTTCTTTTACTGTAACTGAATATTTCTCACAATTTAAACTCTATCCCAATATCAGTTGTCTACGTTTTCTCAAAGGAGAAATAGATGTTGTAAAATTTGAAATAAATAAGCAGAATTATAGAGGCAGTAACAAAATAGACCAAATATAAAACCAAAGGAATCTAAATGGATCTGCGGAATTTAAAATAAACATTACTACCTTACATTGATATATGCATGTCTTATACATTGTACATTCTGCTTACATATCTTCACCATATATTGATGTAGATTAATGGCCAATGTTATACAGAGTTCAGGAGAAATTAGATGATTATATTTTCTTCTTTATGGTAGTTACTTCTATTCTTTACCTAACCAAAAAAGCTTGAATTCAAAAATGAAAACTTAAAATTGAGTAGCTTGTATAGTCCATAGAATTTTAAAAGAGCTTAAGCCAGTAAGAAGCTTGAAGGTAACAAAGCCATTTGTTACCATCATTTCAAAATAAATAAGAATTATATTCCTTATTGGCTGTCTTAATTTCATTGAATGTACAGTAAATTATGCTAATGCTTCTGTGGAGACATATTTTTGCATTCATATTACTACCCACTGAACAATTGCTTTATTTTCACAGAATTGCAGATAGGAATAAGAAAACATCCATCCTGTAAGTTACGGTAGTACTTGAGAGAAACCCCTTGAAGTAACCAGGCAAAGAACAGCCAGAAGAGTGAAAATGTTAAGTTATAGGATATTTTCAGAGAAATATAATCTTTGAAAAAATTGCAAGTGCCTGAGACAATTCAAACCAATGAAATAACTACCACAGTAGTGTTTTTTATGAGGTTTGGCTGATGCCTAGAAAAGAATTACCTATAGTTAGCATACCAATTACTTACAGGTAGGCAGTTGCTTCTTCTCCAGCTTAAAGGTGTTTAAAAACAATTTGTTTACTGAAAAATCTATAAACCTCCCCACCAGAAATCTTATTTTATATATTAACTTGACGTATTGAAGCAAAATTTGTCACTAGTCTTGTTTTGAGGTTTATAAACTCATACTTCAGAAGCAACTTGTTCCACTCCCAGGAGCTATGCCCTCTACTTGGCTAAACCACAGTTCAGTATCTTTGTGGTATCAATTGCTAGACTTTTCCACCTCTTTTTGGTTATCTGAAAGACATATATTATGATTTTTCATTTGGTTAATGATGCTATCAATTTTGCATTTAAAATGCCTAAGCATTAGTTAAAATGCCCAAGTAAATTAAAACCATGTTTTAATTTAAAACAAGGTTCTAAAAGACTATTTGCCTATAATGTTTCTTCTCATTACATTTTATGTCTTATGAATAATTATTTGAACCAATCCTGACATTGCCCAGGACAGAGGAGTTCAAATGCATTGCGAAGTCTTAAGTCAGAGTGAGAATATCCCAAACTTGCCCAAGACTTTCAATCAGGCAAGTTCACCACCAACAAACCCTGAGACAGAATTAAAACCAAAGGAAAGTTTATAATCACGACCATAGAAAGTATTTTCCATTTAAAAGATATTAAACAGAAAAGTACTTTCCGTTTTCAAAAAAGTTACAAAATAGTTTCTTCTCAACATAATTATTAACAGCATGGAAATGTATTACATTTTTTCAAATGATTACAAATATTCAATTAGTATACGGTAAATATGAAGGATTTTTATTGTAGTATGTATTTTGGGATAACAGGGCAATACTCAGATAAGTATATCTTACTTTCTACAAAGAAGTTACTCAGTGTAATCATTAAAGAGAATGATATGGCATATTAGTTTAGAATGTAAGATCTGGGGCCAGATTGTCTGAGTTCAAATATTGACCTCAGCACTTCCAAGCTGTGTAATTTTGGGCCATTTACCTAACTCCCAGTGCCTCACGGTTCCTCATCCAATAAATGGAAATGACCCTAATTATACCCACATCATAGGACTGTTAAGAAGATTAAATGTGTTAACATGTATACAGCAATTACAACAGTGCCTAGCACATGGTAGTCACTCAAAAAGCATTAGTTACCCAGTTGCCAGTTAATTTTCCCATGCTGAAGTTGACTTACAAATTCCCCAAATTTTAGTCCTAGTGTAGACACACTCACGCAATCTTTTATGTGTACACATAATTTTTTTTTAAGTTTCCTACCATTGCAAAATGTATGTATGACATCTGGACACCAAAAAAAAAAATGGTGACTTTTTAAAAAGCTTGGTATTGTAAAGAATTGTTATGCACTTAGTATTGGTCTCTTGAATAGCCCAGCCTTTCATACCTAGAGCTTAGAACAGAAGAAATACCACACCGTGTTGCACCCATGGCCTCTGTAGCTGATTATTCTCTCTTTGACAATGGTACCTAGAAGAAGTCTCCAGGGATAATATTGATGCCCTCCATATAAACAAACCAAAACACTTAGGAACGTATACAACCATCTTATATACCTTTCTTCAGACCCATCATCTATTGTTCATTAATTTATGCCTTTCCTTCTTAAATCATGTTACATTTTTTAATCTCTTGCAGCCTATGAGGAAGACAAACTAAATCGATGTTATTTTCCTTTTATATTTATTCCAAAGACTACACTTTTAATCTTCACTAAGTGCCTTTTTGTGCTAGAATTCCACAAATAAGTAAATTAACATTAAAGTGAGAAGAAGAATCATACACATAACATACGAGTTGAAAGCTGTTCTGGATATTTTGTACTTAATTCCTAGAAAACTTTATTAATCTTATAAAGCCTGTAGTGACGCTTGTTTCTGGAAAAAAAAAAAAAAAAACAGTTACAGTTACACTCATGATTCCCCTTATTCAGATCAATGAACTTTTTACCAAGCCAATGAAAATGCTAAGGCATTTGCAGTTCATTACAATAGAAGCAATCTTTTCTGAGCATAGTTTCTCATTTTATTTGCTATGAATTCTCTATTTGTACATTAATTTACACTAATTAGCTTTATGTTTCTGCACTTGAGAGATGTTATATAAATAAGTATATGAAATGGCTTCTTATATTTCCTTCCTCAAAATGTGTGATAATTAGATCCATGCATCTAATTTTTTTTAATTACCTTCATTTAATATAGGTTCAAGTATTCCTATAAGTGAATCATTTTGGGTAATATTGGGGTTCTAAAGTAATACCTAATCTCTCTCTGTATGTATACTTTCTATCAGTAGTTGACTAGAGTACTACATATCCTTTCCACTTAAAGGTGTGCTTTTTTATACATTTAATATTCCTTGTTATATAAAATAAGCAGCCCATACTCCACCTTTTTTTCAAACATGCAAATCAAGTCAAAAGAGCTTTAAGAAATATTATTTATAAAGAGCATTGTTAAGCACTACAAGGTTTTGTTTTTCTAAATCTTGTCCTGAAGATAGCATGACAAAAGTTAACTTAAATGTATCATATAACCCAGCAATTTTACACCTAGAAATTTACCCAAGAGAAATGAAAATATATATCCATACAAAGACTTTCATGTGATATGAGTCATATTTATGGCAGCATTGTTTTCATTAAACAAAAAGTTGAAACAATTCAAATGTTCATCGACTGGTGAATTGTTAAACAAAATGTGACACAACCATACAACAGCACATTATTCAGCAGTAAAAAGGAAGTTGCTGATACACAGTACAATAGGAATGAACCTCAGCAGTATTATGCTAAGTGAAAAAGCAATATGCAAAAGATCACACACTGTATGATTCCATTTACTTGACAGGTATTATATATGTATATACAGTATATATATTATATACTATATATTATATGTAATTATATATTATATAACCACCTCTTATATAATAACCACTTATCACCTCTGAGAATAAAATACATTATAATTATATATGTATTATATATAATTATATATTATATGTTATATTACGTATTATATATGCAATAATACATATTATAATTACATATAATATATGCAATACATATAATTATATATTTATAATATATAATCATGATATATTCTCAGAAGTGAGAAGTAGTGGAGCTATTTCTTGAGATTGGACTGCTATAACTAGTTCTTATCACAATATTAGGGAATAGGGTAGTACTGAGAAATTGTAAACTTGACATCCATGTCATTTCTTCCTCCTAACCAAACACCTACATGTAAATCCCTCAACTCAATATGTAAATAACCATATTCATTTGACACAGATACAAAATCATGTAGAAAAAAACTTTTCCAGCACATCCTACCAAACTTACTTTGTACCAGCAAATCACATGACACATCAGTAGTCTGCTCGCAAGACCACACTGATGTCTCAGTGGCTGTCCTGTGCTTCCTCCCTTTCTTTCTGACTTCTTTATTTCCTACCAATATTTACTGAACACCTCCAAATTCCAGACCCATTTCTAGGTATGTGCAAAATTATTTGCAATCATGAAACTTACATTTTAGTAAATTCTATGTATTCATTGTTGACTGCTTGTGCAACAATGTTACCCCAAAGTTGGTACCTTACAAAAACACATGGTTATTATTTCACAGTTTATATAGGTTAGGAGTCTAGGCACAGCTTAGCTGGCTCTTCTGCAAGGTAACAATCAAGGTATAGGCCAGGGTTTCCTCTCTAAGGCTCAATTAGGAAAGGATCTGCTTCCTCACTCCTGTGATTGTTGGCAGCATTCAGTTTCTTGTAGGCTACTGGACTGAGGATCTTGGTTCCTTATTGGCTATTGGCCAGAGGCTGCTCTCAGTTTCTTGCCATGGGACCCTCTTCATGTGTATCTTATAACATGGTAGCTTGCTTCTTCAAAGCCAGCAAGGGAAAAAGAGAGTCACCTTGCAAGATACAATTGCAATCATATGTGACTAAATCACATTCATGTAATTACATACATACATCTCTTTTGACATTGGTTAGAAGTGAGCCATGGATCCCACTCACACTAAGGAAAAGTGGCTGCATAAAGGCATAAATATGTGGGAGGTGGAGACCATGGAGGCACCCTACATTCTGTCTGCCACAGTTCACCCTCTGGCCCCCCTTGGGAGAGGATGAGTGTATTTTGCACGTGAGAAGAATGTGAATCATTCTTCTCACGTGCAAAATACACTCATCCTCTCCCAAGGTCCCCCAGAGTTCCACCCTGTTATAGCATCTGCACAATATCCAGAATTGTATTATCTAAATCAGGTCCAGGCATTGATGAAGGCTGTTTAAATTGATCTGTCAATCTGTCAAACTAAAAAGACAAGTTATTTGCCCACCCACACACCCAACATATAGTGGTTGAACAGGCATAAGAAAACATCTATAGACATACAGACATTCTTGTTCAAAATGGGGGAAATAGAAGGTACAAAGTCGTCACTGGTCCATAGCAATTCTGAAATCCAGCCTGGCAAATTTAAAAATGTTCTTAACTAGGTTTCTCAGCATAGGATAATTCTTCATGGCTCTCAGCTTTGCCCTCTGAATCATCCTTCGTGTGTGTGTGTGTGTGTGTGTGTGTGAGAGAGAGAGAGAGAGAGAGAAAGTACATGTTTGCAGCTGAGTAATTTTAACAGCCTGCTCCTGCCTAAAATTTGAGGGTCCAGAAGCCTCTTTCACATTTTATTCTCTGCCACTTTCAGTTCCAGTTAACATTGCTTTTGCTGTAACAATTTTCTCAAATACTTCGTAGGACTCCTGTGAATTTCACTGAGGTTCACTCCATTAGACAAAAGGACAATACACTTAACTTCTTAGAGATACTATCATTTAATCAAAAAGTTCCATGAGGCACAATTTCAATCTCTTGAAAGGGCAGTTTATGTAACTGAAGACTACTCTAGTCCTTTGATTTTTCCGAGGTTTTTAACAAAAGGTTGTACAATCACACCCCCATGTTTTTCTTTAGACCTTCATTTGTGGCAGGGACTGGAGTCATTTCTCAAATGTCATGGGGTTTTTTGTCTCTGGAGAGGCCGAGCATTTCCTAAGTCATCCAGCCCTTGTTTGTTTTTGTTTAACAGTTCTGTCAATTTATACCTCTCCTCTTGCATCTTACCGTAAGCAGCAAGAAGAAATTAGGCAGAATATTCAATACTTTCCTCAAAAATCTCCTTAGCTAGATAACTATGTGCATGATATTTACAAATTCTTCTTTCCATATAAATTGTAGGAGACAATTTTGCTAAGCTTTCTGCCACTACAGAGCAAAGATTCTGTGTTAATTACCTACCTATTACCACAAACTTAGTACCATAAAAATGCTTTTACTGTCTCACAGGTTCTGTGAGTCAGGAGTGTGAGCACAGTTTAACTGAGTATTCTGCAAGGCTACAACCAAGGTGTCAGCCTAGTAGTTTCTCTAAAGCTTGAGAGGAGAAAGTTCCACTTCTTTGCCCATGTAACTACTAGGAATATTCAGTATCTTGTGGGTTGCCAGACCGAGGGCCTAAGTTTCTTGCCCTGTGGACTTCTTACAGCACAGCAGCTTTCCTCTACAAAGCCAACAAAAAAGAAAGGCTTTTCACAAGACACGCATTACAATCTTATATAATCACATGCACATAATCACATACATCCTATCACCTTTGCCATATTCTATTGGTTAAGAAACAAATCACAGTTTCCATCCACACTCAAGGAGAGGAGACTTGGGTTACTGATGTGCACCAAGAGTTAGAGATCTGCTGGTGCTCTGAACTTGGACTTCCCAGCCTCCAAAACTCAGGAATAAATGTTGTTTAAGCTACCCAGTCTATGGTATTCTGTTACAGCAGCCAGGACTGACTAAGACAGATGCCAATATACTTGTGCTTTCAATAATATATTATTATTCATGGATTAAATAATCTCCTCTAACAACTGAGATACTGCAGATAACATTAAGGATGATTTAAATCAACATACCACTGCATTAGAGATTATTTTAATTGGTATTTTGACTATTAAATGAATTTGCTTCTTAGTGTACTTTTTTAATGTAAAATACATGAAATACCATGGGATAGATTTTGCTGTAATTTGGCACATATATATATATATTTTTTTTCTTGCAACAACCAGATAGGAAATATGCTATTTCATTGAGATTTTCCAGATGTGGTAACCATTTAAAGAGAGATTTTAAAATTTGTCCAGTTTCACAGAATTGTAAGTGGTGAAGCCTGGATTAAAATCCAGGCATTTCATTTAAAAGTCCATGCTCTTAGCCATGACACAGCCACCTCTCTTAATGGGGATTCTGTAAGAATTTATTAATATCTGACCTATGTTAGAGGATAAATATTGTTCCAAATATTCAAATTGTTTTGTATTGTCAATTTAGATTTGAAACAGTAGGTAGATCAGGGGACAATGGCAGTAATTTACTAGAGTAAGCAGGAAAAACAATAGAAAATATTATGTACTTAAATTGCAGGCATTGAGAAAAGGCCACTCAAATTGAGAATCATAAATGGCAGTCTTAGAGCAGGCTTTATTAAAGAAAAATAACTGAAATGAGTTTATTCTTAGGAAGAGGGTAGACTCCAACCATGCAAAAGGAACAGATGCTTATCTAGTTAAGGTTTTTTAACAGCAAAACTTAATTTAGGAAAACTCAAAGAAATAGATAACTGAATCATTACATTAAAAATAGATATTTTAAATAGTATTTTCTCAAAACAGAGTTGTATTACTTGTCTTTAAGAAAAAATGAAAATATTATTTAATTTATGTTGATCTTCCATCAATTACTTCAACAGAAAATCAAAACTAAGAATTAAATTACATGAAGGCAATGGTATTGACTGCCTATATAATCTAGCAAATACTACAGCTTGTTTTACCTCATGCTATTGTGCCTATATTCCACATTCTGCTGAAACGAGTTACTCTCTTTGTGCCTCAAGTTCTCAGTCTTATTAACAATGAGGTTGTTTCTAAAACCTATAACATGTTCATTATGAATTTTAAACACCTTGTTAGGAAGCCACTTGCTATATTTAAAAAATTCTGCCCATCTGCAGATAGACACATACCCCCCAAATATGCAAAAAGAAAGAGGAAATAAAGGAAGAGAGAATGCAACCAAGCATTTTCTATGTCTCATGAGGGCACTAATGATAATTTTATTAATAAGTTATCACTTCAGAGATACTGAAGGTAACTACAGGAATATTTTTGTGAGGTATCTTATAGCTACCCAAAATGGTAAAACAAGAAAGCCTAATGATTATGAAAGTTATTTAAATCAAATATCCCCAAGTCTTCCACCCTCCTCCCCAGAATTCCCAAGTCTTTTAGGTTTTAGTCCCCATTCCACTTACTATGAGAAGTCTAGTGTTCTAATATTGCTGCAGATTCTCTGAGAAGAACAGAATGGAAATCTGGAAGAGAAGTGAAATCTCCTCTCCCTCCCCCTTTAAGTTGCTGCCCCTGCTTAATCCTTGATTGCTGTTCATGGTTAGCCTTCTGTACTGCTAAGCCCTTTCTTATTTTGCCCACCATGGCCATCATCTTCTCCCTCATTACCCAAATTAAAACAAACACAAGGATATTATATGTAACCAATTTGAAGATTTAAAGACAAAGAGGATAATGATCACATAGAATAGTAAACAACTTTGAATATATGTCAGACAGTACTGTTCAAAAAAATTTGCCTCCAGTCCTAGCCACAGGAAATCTCTTACTAAACAATTCATTCTTAGGCTTTGCTTTTATTATGCTAGGACACTTCTCTCATGAGAACATTATTCTCCTTTTTCTAATTCCAGTGAAAATCAAAGAAGGAATATATATTTTTAAAAATGTGTTTTTCTTTAAACTGTCAAAAAATCAAATTCTTAGTAAGGACTCCATCTCCTATCAATTTATTTTCTTGCTGGGCACGGAGGCTCACACCTGTAATCCCAGCACTTTGGGAGGCTGAGGCGGGCGGATCACGAAGTCAGGAGATTGAGATCATCCTGGCTAACATGGTGAAACCCTCTCTCTACTAAAAATACAAAAAAATTAGCCAGTCGTGGTGGTGGGCGCCTGCAGTCCCAGCTACTCGGGAGGCTGAGGCAGGAAAATGGCATGAACCCAGGAGGTGGAGCTTGCAGTGAGCTGAGATCGTGCCACTGCACTCCAGCCTGGGTGACAGAGCAAGACACCGTCTCAAAAAAAAAAAAATTATTTTCTTTCCTGTTCAAAACAAATATAGGCTATGTGGATTTTTTTTCCCTTTACATTAGGATATAGAAATGTATGATAATTCTGGAGCAACTCTCCATACACACATGTATGCATGTGCACATACACAAAAAATGTATTCTATAGTGGAAAAAAAATATTCCTTTTGGAGGAAAAAGCACAAGATTTGAAAAAAGAAAGACCTGAGTTCAAACCCTCACTTTCACTTTCTAGGTGTATGGCTTTGTTTAAACTCTTAATGTCATTGAACCTCAGGGCTAATAATACCTCCCTTACGTTGATGTTCTGAGGCTAACAAGAGACAATGTATGGTAAGTTACTTTTCTAAAGGATGTGAGCAACAAATAGGGGTTCCTCTTTTTATCTTGGACAAAACCATGAAGCCCATAAATGCCTACAATTCCTATCACTGATCTTTCTTCCAGGACTGCAGTGACATATAATTTGATGATATCTAAGGAAGCATCTAAAGCTTTTAGAAGAAAAAGTATTAAATGTGTGGCACATTTTTGTTATTTTCAAAATGATCTTCTGTTCTTCCTTTTTTTTTTGAAAAAAGTTTATTTGATCAAGCTTATATGGTGTGGCTGTGTCCCCACCCAAATCTCATCTTGAATTGTAGTTTCCATAATGCCCATATGTCACGGTAGGGACCAGGTGGAGGTAATTGAATCATGGGGGTGGTTCCCCACATGGCATTCTCATGATAGTGAATAAGTTCTCATGATATCTGATGGTTTTCTAATGGCCTTCCTCCTTGGCTCAGCTCTCATTCTTCTCCTTTCTGCCATCATGTCAAGAAAGACATGTTTGCTTCCCCTTCCACCATGATTGTAAGTATCCTGAGGCCTCTCCAGCCATGCTGAACTGTGATTAAATTAGATCTTTAGCCTTTATAAATTACCATCTCAGTCAGTACTTTATAGCAGTGTGAGAATGGACTAATACAGTAAATTGGTACCAGGAGTGGAGTGCTATAAGTATACCCAAAAATGTGGGAGTGAGTTCGGAACTGGGTAACAGGCAGAGTTTAGAACACTTTGGAGGGCTCAGAAGACAGGAAAATGTGGGAAAGTTTGGAACTTCCTAGAGACTTGGAGGGCTCAGAAGACAGAAAGATGTGGGAAAGTTTGGAACTTCCTAGACATGTATTGAATGGCTTTGACCAAAATGCTGATAGTAATAAGGGCAATGAAGTTCATGCTGAGATGGTTTCAGACTGAGATGAGGAATTTGTCGGGAACTGGAGTAACAGTGACTCTTGTTATGCTTTAGCAAAGACACTGGTGGCATTTTGCCCCTGCCCTAGAGATCTGTGGAGCTTTGAACTTGAGAGAGATGATTTAGGGTATCTTGTGGAAGAAATTTCTAAGCAGCAAAGCATTCAAGAAGAAGCAGAGCATAAAAGTTTGGAAAATTTGCAGCCTGATGATGCAATAGAAAAGGAAACCCCATCTTCTGGGGAGAAATTCAAGCCTGCTGCAGAAGTTTACATAAGTAACAAGAAGCTACATATTAATCACCAAGACAATGGAGAATATGTCTCCAGGGCATGTCAGAGACCTTTACGGTGGCCCCTCCCATCACAGGCCTGAAGGCCTAGGAGGAAAAAATGGCTTCCTGATAGCAGGTCCAGGACCCCCCTGCTGTGTGCAGCCTATTGACTTGGTGCGCTGCATCCCAGCCACTCCAGCAGTAACTAAAAGGGGTCAAGGTACAGCTCAGGTTTTGGCTTCGGAGGGTACAAGCCCCAAGCTTTGACAGCTTCCATGTGGTGTTGAGCCTGCTAGTGCAAAGAAGTCAAGAATTGAGGTTGGAAAACCTCCATCTTGATTTCAGAGGATATATGTAAATGCCTGGATGTCCAGGCAGAAGTTTGCTGCAGGGGTGGAGCCTTCATGAAGAACCTCTGCTAGAGCAGTGTGGAAGAGAAATGTGGAGTCAGAGTCCACACACAGAGTCCCACTGGGGCACTGCCTAGTGGAGATGTGAGAGGAGGGCCACCATCCTCCAAACCCCAGAATGGTACTGCCACTGACAGCTTGGACCATGCACCTGGCAATGCCACACTCAAGGCCAGCCCATGAAAGCAGCCAGGAAGGGGGCTGTACCCTGCAAAGCCACAGGGGTGGAGCTGCCCAAGGCCACCACCTCTTGCATCAGAGTGCCCTGGATGTGAGACATGGAGTCAAAGGAGATGATTTTGGAAATTTAAGATTTAATGACTGTCCTATTGGGGCCTGCAGCCCCTTTGTTTTGACCAACTTCTCCCATTTGGAATGGGTATATTTACCCAATGCCTGTACCCTCATTGAATCTAGGAAGTAACTAACTTGCATTTGATTTTACAGGTTCATAGGTAGAAGGAACTTACCTTGTCTCAGATGAGACTTTGGACTTGGCTTTTGAGTTATGCTGGAATTTGTTAACACTTTGGGGGACTATTGGAAAGGCATGATTGTGTTTTGAATTGTGAGGACATGAGATTTGGGAGGGGCCAGGGATGGAATGATATGATTTGTTTTTGCCTCCACCCAAATCTTATCTTGAATTGTGGTTTCCATAATCCCCACATGTCATGGGAGGGACCAGGTGGAGGTAATTTAATCATGGGTGTGTTTTTCCCCATGCTATTCTCATGATAGGAAGCTTTCACAAGATCTGATGGTTTTGTAAGGGGCTTTCCCCTTCGCTTGGCTCTCATTCTTCTCTTTCCTGTCATCATGTGAAGAAGGATGTGTTTTCTTCCCATTCTGCCATAACTGTAAGTTTTCTGAGGCCTCCCTAGCCATGTGGAATTATTAGTCAATTAAACCTTTTTACTTTATAAATTGCCCAGTCTCAGGCAGTCCTATATAGCAATATGAGAACAGACTAATAAACAAGTGTATTATAAAATAGTATTTGAAACGTGTTAGTAATACTAAATTTTACTTTTGAAAACATTACACCTGATTTCACAGGCTGGATATCAATTTCAAAAAACCTGAAATTCACGAATATACATAAATATGAATCCAACCATTTTTGTAATATATGGTCACCAAACTAGAACCTATTTGTAGTGTTCATTTATGCCAAACTACAAAATCCCACAAGTGAAATATGAATTGAGGCATTCTTCTGAAACATCTACAGAAAGGATACTGACACCTCATGGCCTCAAAAGCCACGAATGCAGTGAAGCTGAAAAATGCTATTGGCTTGGTTCTAGGCTGTGCTTTGCCAAGAGAAGCTTTTGTAAAGGTTGCTTTTGTAGACTTTTCAAAGCAGTCACACTTTATCTTGGCCAGAAATTATCTAAATGTCCCCAATGGAATGGTCCAAAAATTCCAGAAAATTCATTAAATTAAATACAAATCCTAAAAGGTTCACAGATGTTTCATATCAAACATAAAAAGGTGTGGTTGATAGTAATATTCTTAGTTGCACAAAGAATTCCATTTAAAACTTCAATGGAAGATTGATTATGTAAATTATAATACATGTACATGAGAAATATTCTGCAGCAATTAAAAGAAAAAGGTAAAATTATAAAAGCTAATAGAGAAAAAATCTTCAAGATATGTTAATGGAAAAAAGCAAGTGGAAAACCATGAGTTCCAAAAGATAAATAGATAGATAAAGTCAAAAGGAGAATTTCATATTTGAGATTTTACCTTCTGCCAGTATTTTAAAATAAAATTAAAATTTGTCAGAACTGAATTATTACAGTAACAGATATTATCTTATCTTAAATTAAATGAGATTTCTCATACTGGAAAGTGAGGATAATGAGGAGTTAGATAATTTGTGAAAACTATTGATTCACTAATACTCAAAAAGAATTTGTACATTAACATAAGGTTGGGCTCTCTTAGAAATATAAAAAAGAAAGAACTCTCAAGAGCTTAGATTTAAATAATATAACTCTCATAATTATCATCAAACTACCTAAGAGCAAACTAAAATTTGTGCCCTAATTTACATATTCAATATTTTTCAGAGATGAAAAGCTTCAGTATTTTCATTGATTTTATAATGCAAACAACCTTTGCTTGACACTCTAAAAAAGTTTTAAATGCTCTACTTTTTCTTCTGCAAACTGAGGAGAAAGGACTCTTTTCTTACCACTAGAAACAGTGGGCAATTATCAATAAAATGTTGCAAATTCTTTAGAAAAGAGCCACTGATTATCAACATAAAACAATTATAAGGCAAGATAACTTGGTAGGTGATTACAGAAAGTTTCAAGATTTCTATGTTCATTGTCATTTTAGATCATATACTTCATTCATTTATTCATTCACTAATGTTCAAAAAATGTGAACACAACAGAGTACCTGATCTCCAGTGAGAGAGAAAATAGACAGATATCTAAACAAACCCAAAGTCTGATAAATAATATCAAAAAATTAAAAAGAGTATGGGAATTGCTTCTATTTCTAGTTAAGAAGGGGCCAGATTTAACCTCCCAGCTGAAATAACAAGAAACAAAAGAAAACAGACAAGAATATACGTTACAATGGCTTTCAAGACACTGAACATCAGGCAATGAAGGACAGCAATGCGAAAGAAACAAGAAACCGACTAAGTAAGCCATATGATTGTTCCAGATATATTGCCTCAAAAGAATTTCCAGACCACAGAACAGAGAGGGACAACCCATGCAAAGCCCAGTGGACTCCCTGAGTAGAAGTGGAACTAAAAATCTAAGGATGCTTAAGGTAGCTAGATTTTGCAGGGAAGAGTTCTGGAGAAGAAAATGTTGAGCAGAAAGAGATCCCAGAGGTCTGCAGAGAGTCTCCCTTGAGTACTGATCAGTACATGCATGTGAGGAAACCATCTGAGTCCAGAAAGCCATTCAAAACAATTAGCGGAAATCTGGCATGTACACAGTTCTTGGAATATTTCTTGTTGGCACCAGCCTGACTTGAAAATCTCATAATTCAGGGGCATTAAGTAGAGTTCACAGAAGGACTTTGCCTCATTGGTCAGAAATAAGTAACTCTAGACTAAACTGCTGTACTGCTCCTGCATTACACATCTGAAAAGCAAGATGCAAAAAGATCTGTTTCTAAGCGACTTACCTGAATCCAAAAACAAAGCTCAAAAATATTGATAGAAATATAAAAATATCTAGCACCCAGTAATATAAAATTACAATTTCAAGCATCCAGTCAAAGATGGCCAGTCATGCAAAGAGGCAGGAAAATATGAGCCATGATGATAAGAAAAATCAAAATCAGACCCAAACTCACCCAGATGTTAGAATTAACAGACAAAAACATTAAAACAGATAATATAACTCTATCAACTATACTAACAGTCAAAGCTATGGAAGATATAAAAATAATACCAATAAAATTTCTAGATGAAAATAGTGTCTAAGATAAAATCAATATTCATTGGGATTCACAACAAATTTGACAGTGCAGAAGAAAAGATTAATGAACTTAAATACATCACAGTAGAAACTATCTAAAATGAAAGACATAGAGAAAGAAATGAATAAAAAGAATAGTATTATCCTGTGGGACAACTTCAAATAGCTCATATATAGGTAATTGAATTCTCCAAAAGGGTAAAGAAAAAGGGCACGATACAAAAAAAAAGGCTAAAATTTTTCTGAACTTAATGAAAATTATAATTCCACAGATTCAAGAAGCTCAGTGGCTATAAGGACAAAAAACATGAAGAAAACTACACGAAGCCACATCATAATTAAATTTATGAAAACTAATAATAAAGAGAAAATCTTAACACATCAGAATAAAATAGCATGATACATAAATAGGAACAAAGATAATAATAATAGCAAATTTCTTATAGTAAATAATGTCAGTGAAGTGCTGGTAAAGTACTGAATGAATAAACATCAAATTGCCAACCTAGAATTCTATACACAGAAAAAATAAATTTTAAAAATAAAGACAAATAATGATTTTTTTAGACACACAAAAACACAGAAAATTTATCACCAGCAAACCCACAGTACAGATATGTTAAACATATTTAAACATTCCTTAAATTAAAGGAAGTCCTTTAGGCAAAAGGAAAATAATGCCAGATGGAAATATGAATCTATTTTAAAGAAAGAACATTTGAAATGGTAACTGTCTGGGTAAATGTATGAGATATTTTCCTCATTTAAATATATTTAAAAGATAATCGACTGGCCAGGCGCAGTGACGCCTGTAATTGCAGCACTTTGGGAGGCCAAAGCAGGCAGATCACTTGAAACCAGGAGTTTGAGACCAGCCTGGCCAACACGGCAAAACCCCATCTCTAATAAAAATATAAAAATTAACCAGGTGTGGTGGTGTATGCCTATAATCCCAGCTACTGGAGAGGCTGAGGCACAAGAATCGTCTGAACCTGGGAGGCCAGGTGTGTAGTGAGCCAAGATCGTGTCACTGCACCCCAGCCTGGGCAACACAGTGAGACTCTGTCTCAAAATTAAAAAAAAAAAAGATAATTTACTATTTAGACAAAAATAATAACAATGAATTATAATACCTATAACATATGTATAATAAAATACATGACATCAATAATATAAAGAATAAAAGGAAAGAAATAGAAATAATACTATTGTAAGGTTCTTGTACTACACATTAAGTGATATAATACCACTTGAAGGTAGACTGTGATAACTTGAATATGTATAAAATAAACTCTAAAGCAACCACTAAAACAATAAAACAAACAAAAAGTAAGAGCTAGTAAACTTGCAAAGAAAATGAAATAAAATCATAAGAAATGTTAAATCCCAAAGAAGACAGGAAATTTGCAAAGGGTAAACAAAGTACAGAGGACCAGAAAACAAATGACAAGAAAAAAGACTGAAACTTAACTGTATCAATAATCACATTAAATGTAAATGCTCTAAACATCCTCAATTAAAATAAATTGTCAAATTTATTTCTAGATGAAAATAGTGTCTAAGTCAAATTGGATTTAAAAACAAGGCACAACTATATGCAGCCCACAGGAAACACATTTTAAATGCTTGTGTGCAGGTTAAAAGTAAAGTGATGGAAAAAATATATACCATTCTAATACAAATCAAAGAAAAACCAGAATGAATATAAGACAAGGTATATTTTAGAGCCAAGAATATTATTGACAATAGAGGAAGTCATCACATATTGTTAATGAATTCAACATATATCAGGAGACATAACAATTCTAAAGTTTTTGCATTTAACAACACAACTTCAAAATATATAAGGAAAAAACTGATAGAATTATAAGGAGCAGACAAACCCATAATTACAGTTGGATATTTCAGTACCCTTCTCTCAAAAGTGGGTTGAAAAGTAGCTGGTATATCAGTGAAGACATAAAAGTTTTCGACAACATTGACCTACATTAACCAGCTTGCCCAAGATGGAATTGATAAAACACTCCACACAAGAACAGCAGAATGTACATTCTTCTCAAATGTATATGGAATATTTACCAAAATAAACCAGAGTCTTCGTGATAAAACAAATCCCCATAAGATGAAAAGAATTTAAGTTATACAAATGTTTTCTGACCACAATAGAATTAAATTAGAAATAAATAAGGGAAAAACCTTTGGAAAATCCTGAAATATTTAGAGACTAAATAACAACTTCTAAATAACCCATAGATTAAAGAAGAAATTTAAAAATTAGAAACCGTTTTAATGAAATATAAATACAGACATAATACATCAATATTTGTAGATGCCACTAACACAATAACTAGTGGAGAAACTGTAGCACTAAACATCCATATTAGAAAATAAGAAAGGGTTCAAATCTGAAAGTTTCCACTTTAGGAAACTAAGAAAAGAAGAGAAAATTAAGTAAAAAGTAAGTAGGAAATAAGAGCAGAAATCAATTAAATTTTAAAAATCATGAAACCAAAAATGATTCTATGAGAAAATCAATAACATTAATAAAACTCTAGTCAAATTCATCAAGAAAAGAGAAGATACAAATCACCAATATCAGTAATGACAGATGTGCTATTAACAGAGATGCTACATATATGAAAAAAGAATAAGGAAGGACACAACTTTATGCCAAGAAATTTGACAACATTGATGACATGGCCCAGTTCCTCAATAGACACCAACTACAAAACTCACTCAAAAAAGATAAATATGTTCATTGTGGCACTATTCACAATAGCAAAGACTTGGAACCAACCCAAATGTTCATTAAAGATAGACTGGATTAAGAAAATGTGGCACATATATACCATGGAATACTATGCAGCCATAAAAAAGGATGAGTTCATGTCCTTTGTAGGGACATGGATGAAGCTGGAAACCATCATTCTCAGCAAACTATCACAAGGACAAAAAACCAAACACCACATGTTCTCACTCATAGGTGGGAATTGAACAATGAGAACACTTTGACACAGGAAGGGGAACTTCACACACCGGGGCCTGTCATGGGGTGGGGGGAGCGGGGAGGGATAGCATTAGGAGATATACCTAATGTAAATGATGAGTTAATGTGTGCAGCACACCAAAATGGCACATGTATACATATGTAACAAACCTGCACGGTGTGCACATGTACCCTACAACTTAATAATAATAAAAAAGATAAATAACTCACATAGCCCTAAATTGGTCTGATGACACAATATTGCAAAGAAATCTATCCCCCTCAAGTTGATCTATACATTTACTGCAATCCTAATAAAAATTCCACTGGTTTGTTTTAAAAAAAAAATAGACTAGCTCTAAAATTCATATGGAAATACAAAAATCCTGGACTAGTCAACGTAACTTTGAAAAGGAAGAATAAAGTGGAAATGCTAACTCTGCCTGATTTTTATTTCAAGACATATTATAATGCTGTGATCAGGGCTGGCTTCATGGGCATGTAGCCTGTGTAGTTGCACAAGGTCCCACTGTCAGAAGAGCTCTGTGCTTGGTTGAATGCTCTTTGTCTCTGTCTTGACATTCTTAACTTTTAACAAAGGAACCCATATTTTTATTTTATACTAGATCCCAAAAATTATGTAGTTGGCCCAGGCTACAGGAATTAAGACAGAGTGGTACTGGTATAAAGATAAAGAAATAGGTCAATAGTCTCCAACCATACCACCCTAAATGTACTTGCTCTCATGTGATCTCAGAAGCTAAGCAGAGTCAGGCCTAGCTAATATTTGGATGGGAGAAATAGGTCATTAGATTAACTGCAGTGTCCAGAAATAAATGCACACACATATGGACAACTGGTTTTTTTACAAATGTGCAAAAGCAATTCAGTGAGGAAACTATAATCTTTTTTAACAAGTGATGCTGAAAACATTTGAAATTAATATGAAAAAAATGAGTTTTAATCCTATCTTACACCATATATAACATTAACACAAATAACAGGCTTAAAGTAAAAACTGAAATTATAAAACCTTTAGATCAAAACTTTGGAGAAAACCTATGTAACCTTGGATCAGGCCAAGATTTCTTAGCAACAACACAGAAAGCATGATCCATTAAAGACAATGATAAAGAAGATGTCATCAAAACTAAAAACTTTTGTTGTTTGAAAAGAATGAATTAGAAGACAAGCCATGAACTAGAAGAAAATATTTGCAAAGCCTACATTGGATAAAGCATTTGTACTCTGATATATAAAGAATCCCCAAATTTCAATAATATGAAAACACAGCCCAATTAAAATTTGGCAAAATATTTGAATGAAACTCCTTTAAAGAAAATGTATGCATGTAAAACAAACACATACAAAAGATTCTCAGTGTATCTTTAGGTAAATGCAAGTTACAACCACTATGAATGGCTAAAATTAAAAAGACTGACCATACCAAGTGTTGGTGAGGTGCAGAGAATTTGGAAGTTTTATAATCTACTGGCGGTAATGTAAGACAGTACAAATGCTCTGAAAAATATTATAAGAGTATCTTGAAAAAGTTAAAAATATACCCACTATATGTTCTAGCCATCCCATTCCCAAGTATTTTCCCAAGAGAAAAGGAAAAGCACTTGTCTATACAAAGACTTGCATGCAGATCTTCATTGCAGCTTTATTCATAATACCAAAAAATTGGAAAAAAACTCAATATTCATCAAGTTGTGAATGTATAATAACATTACAATGCATCCATACAATGGAATACTACTCTGTCATAAAAAGAAATCAGCTATTAATACATACAACATAGGTGAATCTCAAAAGCAGTATGAAAAGTTTAAAAAGCTGGCCACAAAAAAAAATGAATATAAAATTCCAGAAAAGGCAAAATTATAGCAATAGAAAACAAATCATTAGTTACCAGGGTCCAAGGTGTGGAGCAATGACATTAATTGACGTGGAACATGAAAGAACTCTTTTTGGATGATAGAAATGTTCTATATCATGACTTTTGTGGTACTTACATGACTATCCACATCTGCCAAAATTCATCAAATTATGCATTTCTAACTGTAAAATTCATTGTATTAATTTTCTTGTATGTAAATTGTAACTCAATGAAGCTTATTTTTTTAAATTACTTATTAGAATGCTTTCCCCAGGATAGGATCCTATTGATTATCCATAAAAACACAAATAAATTTCTCTTTAATTTCTCCCTATATAATACCTGAAAAGGTTGTCTTCATAATTTCACCTGATCTCTGGTTTGGAAGAGCAAATACAGTACTTATCCATGCACAATGTAATACACCAGCTCCAAAATTTCATAGTCTCACCTGGCTTTCTCACCGCATTTTAAACTGTGTAACACAAAACAAACTCAGTATTAACATTCTTTGTTTACCATCTTCCACAGATAGTTCCAGGTCATAGGCATGTAGAAAACATCTCTCTGCAAATTTTTACTAATGTCCCCGAAATCTTGACAGGGCTACTGTTCTCCCTTGAAAGAGTCCTTGAGATCCAGAAGATGGTCTACTACACTGCATACCTTAGAATCTGAACGTTTAGGGCCTCTCAGAGCAAACAGTTTTGTCAGTAAATTTCATGTAACTAGAATCCGTAAATCTCGGGGAAATGTGTTGTTTCATGTTATCTTAGAGCACCTCCTGGTGTTTAGATACTGAAGGTTTAAATCTTGGATACCCAAGTCCTTATTTTTCTCTAGAGCCAGATAAATTATAATAATTCTTCACAGGAAGAATACAGAAATGATTGAATTTATA
This sequence comes from Homo sapiens, assembly GCF_000001405.40. Taxonomy (NCBI): domain Eukaryota; kingdom Metazoa; phylum Chordata; class Mammalia; order Primates; family Hominidae; genus Homo; species Homo sapiens. The sequence goes on along the minus strand of NC_000008.11, from coordinate 31,596,130 downwards.
AATGTATAAATTATTACAAAGAAATAAACTGAGAGATTCTTGATTTGAATCAGCCTCTTCTTTTTCAAAAGAAATAAAAGCAATGTCTACTTACATGATAGTCCTGACTTTAAAAAACAATGAACACATTGGTTTTTAGCAGCAGTTGATGTTTTTTTTAAAAAACACAGTTTGTTTTTAGCCACCCAGCCACCCCTAACCCTACATAGAGTGCTTTCCTTCAAAAGAACTGATTATTGCATTAAAAACTAACAAACATTGTCTTGTTGTGATTGCAGTCCCAGAAGGAGATGAGAGCCAGTCTCATTAAAGTCATTGTGTGGCCAGGTGGCAATTTTTCAGGTGTTTGGTCACGTTTTCATTCTTTCCAGCTGGTAAGATGAACCCAAGCACAGCCTCCTCCAGCCTCAGCTCTACCACAGAGTGGGTGAAAAAACAAAAAACATTGGGTCCAAAAAAGATTAGGATGATAAACAGGGCAGCTGTCCCCATGGGTAATGAACCATTGCCAATCAATGCTAGCCCTGATTGTGCCCTGTAAGCTGGCGTCTGCAGCAGCAGGACCCTTTATCTTAGTCAGGTTCCAAGCAGTTATTAGGGATGGAAAAGGGTCAGAACTGCTTTCACCAGAGAAAGCAGGTTACAATTTGTCAGGGGCAAGAAAAAAAATGGTTTGCAAGAAAACAGCATGGCTCATACAGTCATGCCTATTTAAGGATGAGGATCTAAATTCAATGCCTTTTGCCTCATGCCTACACACGGACCACTCAGTTTTCCCTAAACTTCTGTTAAAGTAATCGAGAAAACTAGGAAACATAAGAGAAAAAAATAAAACAAGGACATATTACATTTTGCTGCATCTCAGCGGCTGAAATAATTTGGAGGCAGGGGAGATTGGGGAGATGAAAGCTAAAATGTCTTAAGATTATCTGTGGATTTCATTTATCCATACTAACCCTCACCCCAATTCCGTAGGTAATCCAGAGTCAACTGGAGTTCATGTCTCCCATATGGTTATGGAACAGCCATGTAAAGAGAGAGGAAAGCTTTTAGAATTGAGTTAAATTTTAAAAGCCTAACATATAACTGATTTCTCACTAATGTCATCTGCCTGTAACTAATAGGTAGCATGTCTTGGTATAAACACCATAAGCTTGAAATTTCAAAATTCATAAATTGGTTAGTTAAAATGATCCTTCTATTTAAGTCTTTTTTCAATTTCTGCTATTTGTGCATTATTAAAATACTTTTTAGTCTACTGAAGAAAATCAGCAAGTGCTTTTTAATTATTCAAACTCCTTTGGAAACCAAATTACTTAATGTAATTACATCTAGGATTTTTAAAAATACTAAGAGCCATTTACAGTTCTTAGGGAATTTGACATACATATTTGACATTTTATAAAGAGACAGAATTGATTTCTCATTTTGACTTATTTTCATTTTGTTGTTCAGAAGAATTACAGAGCAACAATCAGAAAAAAGATGGCAATGCTTATCTTGGAGATAAAATGTGCTCTTTTCAGCTATGTAAATTTTATTTATGAAAATCCATTTTGTTTTGTTGTAGTTACACCCAAATGCATACATAATGAGCATGACATCTCTGGAAAAATAAATAAGGGAAGAATTTGCTCTTACTCAAGTAAAAGAACATTTTATAACTGAAAACAAAACAAATGTAGTTACTCAACATAAATATCCAAGCAGGCATAGACAGAATGCACAACCGCTACTATGAGAGAAAAAAACACTCAGCAATTAACAATATAATTTGCATGTTTTAAAACAATTTTATTTTCTTTTAGAAAGCCAGAATGTTATGAAACTGCTTTTCAATTATCTCCTAATTTTGAGTAAATTGGTAAGTGTTTTGGATGGAAAATGTAAGTGCAGCTGTTCTGACATGAAAACCTCCATAATTTCTTACTTGAGCCAACCAGTAAAGTACTGTCAACCTTTCACAACTTCAGAAAAAGCCTCGAGCTAGCATTTATGCCCATCTCAATATGTAAAGGCTGCACTTGCCTGGGATTTGACTCTGGGGAAATTATTCTGAAAGGAGCAAGTCAGGAAGGTATAAGCACACAGACTTGTAACACAGCAAAACATTTTCCTTCCTAGTGCAATGAAAGAACAGCTGCACATTCCTCATGGCCCACAGTTATGATCTATGCGTACCAACAAAACACACAAATTCTGCTTTTTATATTAGTGTTCCTGCACAACAACAAAATCTCATTTCAAGCAGCTAAAACAAGGCATAAAGTAGAGCTCTCATGATCCAAACAGCTCTCACAGAGGTAACCATAAACTGTGCTTACAACCGCAAGTCTTAAAATAACTTGTAATTAGCATAAAGCCTCTAGGGCTTATCATAAATTGAATCATTTATTTTGAAAAAATTAACCCCTTTTCTTCTGAGAATTATCTCTAATTAAACAATTGAATTGACGTGCGGTCCTTTTTATGTCTCATTTAAGATTAGGATTTGCTCACCTCCATCATTGCTTTTACAAAGCACTGGTATTTTATTTTTCAGCCAGTTTCTCCTTATGAATATATTTATTCATCAGCTGTTCTGTGTTGGCCAAACAGAGAAACTCCTTTGACTCCTTGTAGGTTATCTTTAAGAAATGATACACATGACTGTCATCTAAAATTCTCATTTTTTTAATGAAGGTGTTTGTATACAGTAATTGCTTGTTAAGAGCTCTACTTGGCACAATATAAATACTATATGAACTTCCAAGTCCTGTAAACTTTTGCTGTTATATGAAATACAAAAAGCTGAACTTTCTGAAAGTAGGCAGTCCCATGACACCCCCCCATGCCCCCTCCTGCCATGTTCAGTAACAAAGAAACAGCTAGTAAGTGATGTTAGGTATCCGCTATGGCCAGTAGGAAAGCTTCCTCATTAGGAATTGAATGGAAAACACTTGATTTAATATTTATATGCAAAATAGTTGTTCTATCTTAAAAGTTTGTTAGCTTAAGTAGCCATAATAATCACCCATTATGTTAGTCTCCAAAATCTTGTACTTGCTGTTAGTTCGTTCATGAAATTTTCCTTAAAAATAACAGTTATTGCAAAGATAAATTTTATCTCAGATATTCCCAGAACAATCTCCATCAGTAGAATTCAAAGAAGTGAGTTAATTGGGGCTGGCAGAGACTCCTCAATTCTTCAGCCTCACCTTACTCAGAGAAGCACTGATCCTCATCAAAACCCTTCCACTTATTGCTGTGTCATGTCTGGTACGTCATTCCGCTTCCTGCACCTTGGATTCCTTAGATGGAGGCTACATGAGTATTTCTGATCCTCCGAAGAAAGAACTGAAGTTTACCTTATAAAATTTTAACGATTGCTCTGATAGTGTTTTAATTCCTAATTTAGGTCAAAGTGTATGATGTCAATGTTAAAAGGAAAATAATGACTCTCAGGGACGACTTTCCACAGGTGGAAGCCAGCTTTGCATTTTGATGCTTATAGGTAACAGGATCATGAGGAAATATGGGAACTGTTGGATGGTGATAATAAATGTAGGTTTTTCCATAATCTACACTTTAAGTTGATATAATTGATAGATATATAAACCCATACTGTATTTGTGAAGCCAAAAACACAACAGGAAATACTTATGTCATGGGTATTTTATTACATCTGTGGATATTTGTCTTTGTTTGCTTTTCCTCATGAGAGGATTTTAGCTTTTGGATCCAAGTGTTACAGGTTCACTAGCTGGATTTCCTATGTTCTGCAATTTTCTGAGTAACCTCTATTAATCTAGATTCTCAAGAGACTCGAAGGCTATTAGATCCTTTAAATTGAAGACTTGTCCTTTTGTGTGCTTCACAGAGAATACACATTGAATTTTTATCTTATCCACACAGAGAAATGTTGATTTAAAACAAGTGTATATGGGGCCGGGTGCGGTGGCTCACGCCTGTAATCCCAACACTTTGGGAGGCCAAGGCAGGCGGATCACGAAGTCAGGAGTACAAGACCAGCCTGGCCAACATGGTGAAACGCTGTCTCTACTAAAAATACAAAAATTATCTGGGCGTGGTGGCATGCGCCTCTAATCCCAGCTACTCAGGAGGAGGCTGAGGCTGGAGAATTGCTTGAACCCGGAAGGCAGAGGTTGCAGTGAGCCAAGATCCCACCACTGCATTCCATTCCAGCCTGGCAACAGAGCGAGACTCCATCTCAAATAAAAAAAAAATAAAAAAAAAAAAGAAAGAAAGAAAAAAGAAAGAAAAGAAAAAGAAAAAAAAAGCAGGTGTATATGTAACTTCTTTGAGTTTCTTTAATAACACTTTGTTGTTATTATCAGTTTATCCCTAAAGAGCAGCTTTTAGATATTTTCTTTTCTCAAACTGCCTACTTAAGAGTCATAGCCTCCTTCTATACTATTAGAAAAGAGTAAATTACACAGTGTTAGAAAACATAGAGCCATGGATATAGTAAGGTAAATATACCTAGCATTGTCTCTGATGAAATGCCCCCTTTTTAAAGTACTTAAATGCAAACTGGCTAAAAATAGAATATTTTAAGAAATGTTTTGAATCTTCGTGTATAGTCTATACAACTATTCTAAACCTGATTGAGAATGCCAACACATCTTAAAACAGGTTCCAAAAATAATCAGTCTTGGTTGGGCATGGTGACTCATGCCTATAATCCCAGCACTTTGGGAGGCTGAGGCAGGAGGACTGCTTGAGTCTGGGAGTTCGAGACCAGCCTGGACAACATAGTGAGACCTTGTCTCTGCAAAAAAAATAAAAATATTAGCTGGGTGTGTTGGTGTACACCTGTAGTCCCAGCTACTCAGGTGGTTGAGGCAGAAGAATTGCTTGAGCCGGGGAGTTTGAGGCTGCAGTGAGCCCTGATTGTGCCACTGCACTCAGCCTGGGAAACAGAGTAAGACCCTGTAACAATAATAATAATAATAATTAGTCTTAATCAGTGCAGAAGCCAAGAGGTATTTTGCTACTCCACCCCACCCCACCCCCAATCTAAGTAAAAACCTTATCTTACTTTTAAGTGCAATTTCAAAACAAGCACCTAAGCCACCTCCATTGCCATATTCTCTCCCCAAACCTCCCCTAAGAGAAATTCTGGAAACACACCGTTTTTATTAAGACACCATTTTAATGGTAAAGATAAATTTTCTCATCTTCTCTGTCAAAGTTAATGAGAGCCTGACTAGTACATTGAAAAGAGGACTGGCCTATCATAAGGTAGATTCTTTCCAGGTCTGGATGAACACCTAACAAGCTTGGGCAAGTCCTTCCACATTTTGGGGGTATCAGTTGTTTCCTTCATTTTAACCTAGGGCAAATGGACCAGGTACATAGACTCTAAGAGTCCACACCTGTTGATGTTTAACCTGAGTCATGGTAAACTGTAAAAATACCAACTGAACCTTCTGAATTTGCATATTCACACTAATTATTTAGAATCACTAATAATTTTAGTAGATACTCCTGTTTGATATCATTCAACCCTGATACTAACAAAATATAAAAATATATGGAAAGGTAATAGAAGGTAGGGGAGAATTTAAGTAAAATATTTGATTCTACTGAAGAATAATCTTACAGATTGCAGAACCAAACGGCTTTACAATTTTGTGCAGTAACTTCTGACATTTGTCAATAAAATGTATTTGAGGCGTTCACTAGACAGACTTGAGAACACCACTGGTAATAACTGTCTAGAGTACAATTTGCAGTTAGCAAATAAGATATACATGTTCTGGTAGAACCTATGCTTACTACAAGAATTTTTCTAACGTGAGCCATGTATTTATAATGTAAAAGAGGGGGTTCTGAATACATCATCTAAGGCTAAAAGAATCATTCATGGTGTCCCTGGAAGCCTGGGTAGAGAGGATGGAAAATTTCCTAGGTCAAAGTCCATTTCTGTCAATAAGATTTTGCATACATGGATCATGTGAATCTATCTTCTTGGTGGGTATAGAAAGTGTTTAGATAGGGAGACACGGAATTGTGATGCTTAACAACCATTTCCTAATAGAAACTCTCACCTCTTGACAGGGATACATTTTATCATTTCAAAAATATGATTTTCTTGAAAACTTCAGAAAAAGATTTCGTATCCTCCCCTGATAAAAAAACATTTTAACACCTTTAGTGTGCAATTTTCCATAGCTCATTATTTCTGTCCTTCCCTCTCTCTCTTTCTGTAGATGTAAGATATTGTTCTGTTGCCCAGGCTGAAGTGCAGTGGCACGATCACAGCCTACTACAACCTCAAATTCCTGTGTTCAAGCAATCCTCATGTCTTAGCCACCCAAGTAGCTAAGACTAGAGTTGTATGCCACCACACCCAGCTATTTTTAAAAATTTTTTTTGTAGAGACAGGGTCTCACTATGTGGCCCAGGCTAGTCTCAAACTCTTGGCCTCAAGTGATCCTCCCACCTCAACCTCCCAAACTGCTGAGATTACAAATATCAGCCACTACGTCCAATTCTGTGTCCTTCTCTATGAAAATATCACTTCCTTTTATTGATATTATTTTTCTCATTTATTCACATAATGTTTGGTCTGGATGCTAATCCTTGTCCTGCTGCTAACTTCCATTTGTTCCTCTTAACCTCTCTAGGATATATATTTCTCTTGCTATAAAGTTAAAGCCTTGAATTGTGTAATTTTAAAAAATTATTTTAACCTTTTCACCATAAAATACAATAAGTAGAGAAAATCTACATTTAAAAATGTGTAGCTAAATGAATGATTACCACCCTTCTAAACACAACCCAGTTTAAGAAATATAACTTTTTCAGCCACTTGAGCCGCTCTTCATAAGCCTTGTTCCAGACACAGTCCTCCTCTCTCCTCAATATTACTGACACTCTGATCTTTACCTTACTCACCTAGGTATCTTTATACCTTTATAGACCAAGGGGGCATCCACACACATCATAGTTTTTTCTTCCCTTGTATCCCATCTCTATTACTATAATAATGCTGCATAACAAACAACCACAAAATGAACTACAGTAGTACACAGCAGTAAGTTCTAACGACGTCTGGAGTAGTCAGTTGGGAGCACTACTGATGTTAGCAGAGCTCGCTCATATATCTGCATTTATAGGCTTCCAGCTCCTTGATGCTGGCCTCAGCTTGGATGATCTTGATGGCTTGGCTATATTCCTTCTATTTCCCAGTTCCCAGCAGGCTGAAGTGCAGAAATGAAACAGCCAAAAAAAACTAAAGCCAACAACAAAAAGCAAATATATAAGACATTCTGAGGCTTAGGTTTGTATTAGCACACTGCCACTTCTACTTCCTCCTAGGAAAAAGCAAGTTACGTGGCCATGTACTGTGTCAGAATGGAGGAACACTGCAAAGTAAGATGGCAAAAGACATGAATATAGGGAGCAGTGAAAAAATGGAGCCATCTTTACCATCTACCATAGTCTTTACTCATGACTACAATTATTCATTCCCACATACATGCTGAGATATATTTAGTGAGTGGTGACACTCACAAGACTCCCTAAAACATCTCATCCCACAGAGCATCAAGTTTAAAATTCAGCAACTTGTGGTAGACATATATCAGGACTTGATGCAGATTAGGTTTCCTGGAACGTATAACCTGAGAAAGAAATTAGCACGCCTTATAATTATTTGGGAGTACTCTTGAGACAAACACTTGTAGAAAACAGTAAAAGAAGGATCAGACAGATGGAGATGTTGATCTGTGATTCAGTTCCAAGATAGCCCCAGGTAACCCAAAAGAAATTCTACAGCTTAGAGTGGCCCCTCATAATTTTGGGTATAAAGGGCTGGAACTTCATGCCCAACGTGAATCAGAGCAGTCCCTGTAAGAATATATGACCTTGGGAAATAAGCCATTGGAAAAGCCCAAAGGAGGGATGACAACTAAGGACTATCTTTCACGAGCACTCCCAGCAGATGAGAACATAAGTCCTTCATTCCTGAGGGGTATCTAGGCAGAACAACACACTCTCCACCACAAGTATAGATATGGGTCGTCCCCATCTAGAGGCCTATGAATTAAAAGACGAATCATCATATAGTGGTGAAATCAGGCGAAATCAGGCAAAATAGTCACAATAAACACTGCCATTCACACAGGGAAAGAGAGGAGGCACATTGTACTCACTGGTACATAGCAATTCTACAATCCCACTGGATGGCGGGTCTATTTTTAGGATGAATAATATTTTCTGATAATGCCCCAGTTTGGCTTCCTGGGAGTGGCTCCTCAGTCAGTTGTTTTCCACAGCCCTTGGCTCCATGTTCTTGGAATTCTTCTTTTTCCATCACCCTATTTGGCCATTTTTGAAGAGAACATGAAAAAATATACCCTTTGAACGACTTTCTCAGCCTGCTTCTTGCCTGTAGAAAGTTGAGGTTCCATATGTCTTTCAGCATTTTGAACAGTCCACATTAATGGCAGTTTTACTAGTATAGCAGCATAAAAACTTTCTGGGTTTCCTATGGTCTTTAATCCAGCCAATGTCATTTCCCAAAAGCTGTCAACCGAATTACTAAAATCCCCCCACCAATTTAATTACTGCTACAGCTACATTTGGCATGTCAGACTACAGTGGGAAATATTCTTATGATTTCTAGAAGCCAGAATTCTAGGTCATGGAGGAAGATAGCAACTGTCTGGGTTCCTGTCTACAACTAAAAGCAATAAAGAGAAATAATAAGAAAAATGAAACTATGCAAATTATGCCCTCAGCATAAGCTGAACATAGAGAATACCCAAACTTCATGATAACTGTAAGTAACAAAAAGAATAAACACCAAATCCCCATGCATGTTTTCTCATGGTCTTACCCTGCTGGCCACTTTTGTGGTAAACAAAAGCATACCTAGAAAAATATTAAAAGGCAAAAAAGACACATCATGCAGAGGGAGAAAGAGAAACATAGCAAATAACTTAAAATATACATAACTATAAACTATTGTGTCAGAGTGTAAAATAAAAATTGCAACCATATCAATATAAATATAAATGGGCTAAATATAAATGTAAAAAAATGGGCTAAACTATTAATAAAAGGAAAGGATTTTCAGTTTGGTACACAGAGCAAGATGTAACTATATGCTACATACAAAAAACATACATAAAACAAGGTGAATCAGAAAATCTAAAATTAAGAGATGAACAAAACATTAAAGTCAATGGAAACAATAAGAAATCAGGAAATGTAATCTGCTATCAGCCAAACTAGAATTCAATCCAAAAAAATTAAATATAACGAAAATGCTAAAAGTCACAACTTAATACTAAAGAGTTGTAAGATCTAGACAACATGTAAAACAGGGTAGATTTTATAACCATATACCAAACTTTATAAGCATATACCAAACTTACAGCCATACAGTAAATAATACACCTCTTCTCAAGTGCAATAAAACATTTACAAAACATAATCAAATATTAAGTCACAAAGAAAATATCAGTAAGTTTCAAAAAGTAGAAATATCACAACAATAAATATCATAATGCAATAAAAACTAGAAATTGTTAACAGAATTAAAGAGCAAAAAGACTCTTCCACGCAAATTTTAAGAAAAAATGTTTATTAGAAAACATTCTACCTAAAGGGAAAATACAAACTTACATGACAAAATTTCTGAAAAATAATAATGGAATGATGTATTGAAATTAGTATTTAGAGGAAAAGTCACAGAACTAAATAAACTAAATATTTCTGATTTAAAAATTTTTAACGAAATTAAGAAATTAAAAACCCAGCTCAAAAAACAATAAAAAAGTAAAAAGAAAGCACAAAGAAGCATAAAATTAGATAAAAGTAGAAATTAATCAATTAAAAATAGAAAAACAGTAGACTTATTAATCGAATTCCTATACTCTGGTTTCTCTTAAGATTTGATATAAATCTTTTGCCATTGAAATCAAATTCCTGTAAGTTTGAAGAAATTAATAAAATAGAGGAGAAATTATAAAATAAAAAAATAGAAGATGACAAGGGGAAACAACCACTGAAACAAAAATTTAAAATATCGTGACTATTTTGCAGACCTCTATGCAAATAGGTTTGAAAACAGAGGAAATGGATAATTTCTTAGGGCAATAAAATAAATGATATTTGACTCAGTTATAGATAGACAACATTTTCCATAGAAGATAAAAAGTAAGTTATTAAGAAAAACATCAACAAAAAAGCACCTTGCCCAGATAACTTTGGAAAAAAATTCTACCGAATCATCAAAGATTTGATATTTCCAATGTTTTATAGAGTGCTGCAGAACATTAAAGATGAATAAAAAGTTCCCAATTTTTAAGAAGCAAGTACTACACTAATACCTAAATCTAAATTTTTAAAAATACAAAAAAAACCTACAGAGCAGTATGTTTATGGATATTGATGTAAAAATACCAACTAAAACATTAGCAAACAGAATCTTATACATTGTGAAATCAATACAACACAACTAAGTGGAATTTCTTTCAGAATGCAAAGTTGGTCCAATATTAGATAACCCATTGGTATTATAATCCACATTATTAAATCTAAGAAAAAAAATTATGTATCTCCATAGATAATGAAAAATCCTCTGATGAAATTCAATACTGATTCCTGGTGAAAACACTAAAAAAAAAAGAAACTTAAAATTTCTTTCTTAGCATGATAAGATAGATAGATAGATATCCTAAGCCAATATCTTACTAAATGGGAAAATATCAGAACCATTTTCATTAAGATTATAAACAAGACAAGGATGACCACCATCCTTATGACTATACACCATTGTATCAGAGGTATTACCTATGCAATTAAAGAAGAGAAACCAATTAAAGGTATAAGAATTGGTAAAGAAGGAGTAAAATTATTGCTACTCGCAATAATATTTGGTTGGTGCAAAAGTAATTGCAGTTTTTCCAATTAAAAGTAACAGTAAAAACCACATTTACTTTTGCACAAACCTAATAGTATGCCTAAAAAACTTTAGAGAAGCAATGATACAAGAAGCGTTACCCATGAAATAATTCAATGAAGTTGCAGAATATAAAAATAATATGGTGAAATCAGCAACCTTATTTAAAGGAGCAAACCTGTTAAAGATTATAATGGTAGAGAAAACCTCATTTGCAATATCAACAAGGAGAGTAAGTATATAGGAATAAACTTAGCAAATCATGTGTGAAACCTGTATGAAGAACTTTAAAACAAAGAAACTTCCAGGTTCAGCTGCATGTAAAGGGCTTGGATATTATCACTTCTGTCTACAGCAAGAAAAATTTGTAAATCAATGACTTTTCTTGGACCCATAAGGAAATTGAAGTTTCAGCATAAATCAATACCCCCAAATCCAGAGAGACAGGCATTTACAGAGAGGCACAGCTAAGATCTGCTTACCTGAAACTTAAGCTTCTTGAGCCATCATCCGGTAGGAACACTTAAGTAATTATTTTGGTGAATTGCTGGAGACTGAGCGTGAACTAACATGAGCATGAGAAACTCCTTGATGGCTGAGGTCTGAGGCAGACCCCTAAATTTTCAGGAGCTTTATCTCCAGGAAACCCAACAGATAATCATCCCATCATGCCTCCGAAGGGAGAGGGAAAGAGGAATAATTGTAATCTTTGAGCCTTCTTTAAAATAAAGGCCTACTATTTAAGAGAAGAGGCATTTTTTGAGGTTATGTTACATGAGGGACGGTCATTCCACCCATTCCAAGCCCTTCTAGCTTTCCTGTCTCACCTCAGATAAAAAAATAATCAACAGGAGCCAGGGCTTCAACGAAATGGACTAGGAAGACTGCATCCAAGAAAGGGAGGAGGGAGCAGAAAGAAAAGAAAAAAAAAGCTGTACCACTGGGAAGACAGTGTTGATGGTCATAGCCAAAAGGTACAGACCATTCCCCTTCACCAAAACACTGAGATGTAATTTTAACATTATATATAGACTGCTATTCCTCCCCACCTTTTACTACCAAACCATCGAGCTCCAGTATAATAATAATTGATTACATACAAAAGAGCTACAAGACACTGACTTTCTCTGAAGAAGAGAATTTAGGAATCCCTCAAGGATAGAGGCAAAAACAAGGACACTGAATGGTTCTGAAATCTGTGGCAGCTATAGCTACAACAAATATTAAACCCATATTAACATAAATTTTCTCACTAAAAACATATTATCTCAGCCCCTAGTATACAATACAATGTCTAGCTTTCAATACAATGCTATGAGGAATACCAAAAGACAAGAAAAACAGTCCGAAAAGACAAACCAATCATCAGAGTCAGACTCAGATGTGACACAGATGTTGGAATTATCAGATGGGGAATTTAAAATAACTATGATTAGTATGTTAAGGGCTCTAACAGAAAAAGATAGACAACATATAAAAATGCGTAATGTAAGAAGATAGGTGGAAACTCTAAGAAAGACTCAAAAGGAGGTGTTAGAAATCAAAAACATAGTAATAGAAGTAAAGGATTCCCTTGATGAGGTCATCAGTAGGCTGAACATAGCCAAGGAAAAAATCAGTGAGCTTGATGATAAGGCAATAGAAACTTCTCAAACTGAACTGCAAAGAGAAAAAAAAGAAAGAGGGAAATGAACCCAACAAAACAGGACGTCCAAGAACTGTGGGACAATTTCAAAAGGTGTAACATCAGTAGAAGAAGGAAAAAATGAAGCAGAAGAAATATTAGATGTAATAATGGCTGAAAACTTTCCAAAAATAATGACAGAAACTGAAACAGACCCAGAAAGCTCAGAGAACACCAAATAGTATAAGTAACTGATATGGTTTGGCTGTGTCCCCACCCAAATTTCATCTTGAATTCCCACATGCTCTGAGAGGGACCTGGTAGTAGGTAATTGAATCATGGAGGCAGGTCTTTCCCATGCTGTTCTCATGATAGTGAGTAAGTCTCACAAGATATGATGGTTATTATAAGGGGGAGTTTTCCTGCATAAGCTCTCTCTTTGCCTGCTGCCATCCATGTAAGACGTGACTTGCTCCTCCTGGCCTTTCACTTGATTGTGAGGCTTCCCCAGCCATGTGAAACTGGAAGTCCATTTGAGCCTCTTTCTTTTGTAAAATGCCCAGTCTCAGGTATGTCTTTATCAGCAGCGTGAAAATGGACTAATATAGCAACCCTCACCCCCACCTTCAAAAAACCACCCCTGCACCTATCATATTCAAACTTCAGAAAACCAAAAACAGAGAAAACCTTAAAAGTAACCAGAGGAAAAAACATATTACCTGTAGAGGAACAAAAATAAGAATTACAGTGGACTTCTCAGAAACCATGCAAGCAAGAAAAGAATTGAATGAAAAGAATGGAGTGAATATTTAAAGTGTTGAAAGAAAAAGAATCCACCAACTTAGAATTGTATATCTAGCAAAATGACCCTTCAAAATTAGGAGAGAAATAAACACTTTATAAGACAAACAAAAACTGAGGTAATTCATCACCTGCAGACACAGTAAGAAAAGTTTAAAGAAGTTCTTCAGGCAGAAGGAGAATCATGTGGTTCAGAAACATGGATCTACAAGGAAAGAGAGAGAAATGAGAGAATAAATTAAGGTAAAACAAAATATTTTATTTTTCTTATACTTAAGTGGACTAATAGATGACTGTTTAATGATAGCAATATAATAAGTAATTTCAGCATATAGATCAGTGAAATGGGCAGGAGGGAAGAATGGGGAATAATATTCTATTATAAAGCAACTATAGTCTACATGAAGTGGCATACTGTTATGTGAAGTTAGACTTATATTAGTTAAAACATATATTGTAAACTCTAGAGCAATCTCGAACTCTTTAAAAGTATAATTGATATGCTAAGAGAAGGGATAAAATGGAATCATATAAAATGCCCAGTTAAAAACACAGAAGGCAGAAAAAGAGGGGAAAGAAGAAACAAAGAATAAATGCAACAGATAGAAAACATTTATAAGCACGGTACCTGTAAGTCTAAATATATAAATAACCATCACTTTAAGTGTAACAAACTGGTCTAAATACACCAAATAAAAGAGATTTTCAGAGTTGATAAGAAATTAAGATACAATCTATGTTGTCTATAAGCAGTCCACTTTAAATTTTAAAAGACTCAGATTAAAAGTAAAGGGATGAAGAAGAATATACAATGCTGACATATATCAATAGAAAGCTGGGGCAGCTATATTAAGGTCAGACAAAGCAAATTTCAAAACAAATAAAATAAGCAGGAGTAAAAAGGAGCACTGCATAATGATAAAGGAGTCAGTTCTCCAATATCTTTGTGAAGATATATTCACCTAACAACAGAGCATCAAAACATGTGAGGCAAAAACTGAAAGAACTGAAAGGATAATTAGACAAATACTCCATTATAGTTAGAGACTTCAACACTTCTATTCAGTAATTAGTAGGAAAAGTAGAGAGAAAATCAATAAGACCATAGATTATCTGAATTATCAATCATTATCAATCAACTTGATCTAATTGATATTTATAGAATATTCCATCCAATAACAGCAAAATGCATAATCTTCTAAAACTCAGAACATTCACCAAGACAGACTACATCATGAGCCATAAAACACATATTAACATAGGTAAAAGAATAAAAATCATACAAAGTATGTTTTTAGACCACAATGGAATTAAGCTAGAAATCAATAACAGAAAAATAGCTGGAAAATCCCTAGATATTTGAGAATTAAACAGCATACTTTAGAATAAGCCATGAGTCATGAAAGAAATCTAAAGAGAAATCTAAATATATTTGGAAATAAATGGATCCAGGATACACGGTCAGTATTTAAAAGTAAATTGCTTTCCTACGTACCATCAATGAACAATTGGAATTTGAAATTTTAAAACAATACCACTTGCCACTGCACCAAAACTAGAGAGGAAAAAAAAGAAAAGAAATATTCAGGGATAAATCTAACAAAATATGTATAAGTAGAAAACTACAAAGCTCTGATGAAAAAAGAAAATATAAAAAATATATAAATTGATAAAAAAAATTATGTTCATGGATTGGAATATCCAATACTGTCAAGATGTCAATTTTGGGCCGGGCACGGTGGCTCATGCCTGTAATCCCAGCACTTTGGGAGGCCGAGGCGGGCGGATCACGAGGTCAGGAGATCGAGACCATCCCGGCTAAAACGGTGAAACCCTGTCTCTACTAAAAATACAAAAAATTAGCCGGGCGTAGTGGCGGGCGCCTGTAGTCCCAGCTACTCGGGAGGCTGAGGCAGGAGAATGGCGTGAACCCGGGAGGCGGAGCTTGCAGTGAGCCGAGATCCCGCCACTGCACTCCAGCCTGGGTGACAGAGCGAGACTCCGTCTCAAAAAAAAAAAAAAAAAAAAAAAAAAAGATGTCAATTTTGCCCAACTTTATCTATAGAGCCAAGGGAATCCAATCAAATTCCTAGGAATCTATTTTGTAGATATCAGCAAGCTAATCCTGAAGTCTATATGGAAGGGCAAAAGGTCTACAATAGCCAACATAATACTGGAGAAATGTAACAAGTTAGATGACATACTACTGAATTTCAGGACTTACTACAAAGCTACCATAATCAAGGCAGGATCGTATTGGCAAAAGAATAGATATATAGATGAATTGAATAGAACGGAGACCCCAGAAAAAGACACACACAAATAAAGTCAACTGAGTTATGTCAAAAAAATTCAATAGAGAAAGAAAAGTTTTTTTTATAAAATAATGCTGAAAAAATAATGTCCATATGTGAAAAAATTAATCCAGATACAAGTCTTATACCTTTTACAAAAATTATCTAGAGTGTAGACCTAAGTGTAAAGTGTAAAACTGTGAAATTTCTATAAGGAAACAGGAGAAAATCTACAAGACCTTGAGTTTGATAAGTTTTTAACACAACACCAAAAGCAAAATCTATGAGAGAAAAAAATTGGTAAGTTTATTGATTTTGTAGCAATTGTGAAAGGAAGTTCTTTTAGGATTTGGCTCTCTGCTTGCCTATTGTTGGTGTATAGGAATGCTAGTGATTTTTGCACATTGACATTGTGTTCTGTGACTTTGCTGAAGTTGCTAATCAGCTTTAGAAGCTTTGGGGCTGAAACAATGGGATTTTCTAGATATAGGATTATGTCATCTGCAAACAGAGACAGTTCCTATTTGAATACCCTTTATTTCTTTCTCTTGCCTGCTTGTCCTGGCCAGAACTTCCAATACCATGTTGAATAGAAATGGTGAGAGAGGGCATCCTTGTCTTGTGCCAGTTTCCAAGGAAAATGCTTCCAGCTTTTGCTTATTCGGTATGATATTGGCTGTGGGTTTGTCATATATGGCTGTTACTATTTTGAAGTATGTTTCCTCAACACCTAGTTTATTGAGAGTTTTTAACATAAAGGGATGTTAAGTTTTATCAAAGGCCTTTTCTGCATCTATTGAGAAAAACATGTGGTTTTTGCCTTTAGTTCTGTTTGTGTGATGAATAACATTTATTGATTTGCATATGTTGAACCAACCTTGCATCCCAGGGGTGAAGCCAACTTGACTGTGATGAACAACTTTTTGATATGCTGCTGGATTTGGTTTGCCAATTTTTAATTGAGGATATTTGCATCAATGTTCATCAAGGATATTGGCTTGAAGGTTTTGTTGTTGTTGCTGTTATTGTTGTATCTCTGCCAGGTTTGGTATTAGAATGATGCTGGCCTCATGGAATGAGTTATGGAGGGTTCCCTTCCTTTCAATTTTTTGGAATAGTTTCAGTAGAAATGGTACCTCATCTTCTTTGTACCTCTAGTAGAATTCAGCTGTGAATCCATCTGATCCTGGGCTTTTATTGGTTGGTAGACTAGGTAGTGCTGCCTCAATTTTAGAACTTGTTATTGGTCTATTCAGCAATTCAATTTCTTCCTTGTTCAGTCTTGGGAGGGTGAATGTGTCCAGGAATTCATCCATTTCTTCTAGATTTTCTAGTTTATATACATAGAGGTACTTATAGTATTCTCTGATGGTAGTTTGTATTTCTGTGGAGTCAGTGTGATATCCCTCTTATCAATTCAAATTGTGTTTACCTAGGAATACAGCTAACCAGGGAAGCAAAGGACCTCTTCAAGGAGAACTACATGCCACTGCTTAAAGAAATCAGAGAGGACACAAATGAATGGAAAACACATTCCATGCTCATGGATAGAAAGAACAAATATTGTGAAAACAGCCATACTGCCCAAAGTAATTTATACATTCAATGCTATTTCCATGAAACTACCATTGGCATTCTTCACAGAATTAGAAGAAAACTATTTTAAAATTCATACAGAACCAAAAAAGAGCCCGAATAGCCAAGACAATCCTAAGCAAAAGAACAAAGCTGGAGGCATCATACCCAGCTTCAATACCCATCAATACCCAACTTCAAGCTATACTACAAAGCTACAGTAACCAAAACAGCATGGTACTGGTACAAGAATAGACAAATAGACCAATGGATCAGAATAGAGAACTCAGAAATAAGACCACACACCTACAACCATCTGATCTTGACAACCCCTGACAAAAATAAGCAATGGGGAAAGAATTCCCTATTTAATAATTGGTACTGGGAGAAATGAGTAGCCATATGCAGAAAATTGAAACTGTATCCCTTCCTTAAACCATTTATAAAAATCAGCTCAAGGTGGATTAAAGCCTTCAACGTAAAACTCAAAATTTAAATGTAAAACTCTAGAAGAAAATCTAAGTAATAACATTCAGGACATAAGCATGGGCAAAGATTTCATGATGAAAATGCCAAAAGCAAACGCAACAGAAGCAAAAACTGACAAATGGGATCTAATTAAACTAAAGAGCTTCTGCACAGCAAAATAAACTATCATCAGATGGAAGAGTTTGAACAACAAAATAAATCAGTGTTGAATTATAATCCAAAGTATATCTATGAGTCCATACTAATATAAATCAATGATTGAATAAATTAATGGGGAAAAACAGACAAATCTCCCATGCAGAATTTATATAGACATTCTGCCTTCAAGCAGAGGGAGCATAACTCCCTACTCCTTAAATGTTAGCCTTGCATAGTGATTTCTTTCTAAAGAGTACAGTAGGAAAAGCAGAGGGGGAGTAACTTATGAGTGGAGAAACCTGACCCACATCACCTCAGTCAGGGGAGCAAGATCAACATCAACAGTGATGTCATGTTGATAGTATGAGGCCTTCTTCCCAAAAATCCTTATACTGACTTTAATGAGAAAAATGTCAAACAAATCCCAATTAAGAAACGTTCTACAAAATACCTGACCAGTACTCCTCAAAACTATCAAGGTTATCAAAAACAAGGAAAGTCTGAGAAAGTGCCACAGCCAAGAAGAGTCCAAGAAAATGATGAATACATGTAACGTGGTTTCCTGGATGGAATTCTGGGACAAAAAAAGGGGGGACATTAGGTAAAAACTAAGGAAATCTGAGTGAATTATGAACTTTAGTTAATAATAATATATAAATATTTGGCTAATCACAAAAATCTACCATATACTAATATAAGATGTTAATAATAGGAAATGCTGAGAGTGTCTGAGCCCAGTGTCAAGGGGTAGAACAGGTAACCCCTCCTATGGTGGAGGGGTACTGTAACATTAGACAGCAAAAGGCATGAACATCAACAAGATGAGGAATTATAATCTCTTCAATGTGATAGATACCTAAATCTCTTTGAATGTGCAAGTTTTCCCTCTATCTCTTCTATCTTGCCCTCTATCTCTTCTATTTTATCCTTAAAATTTACTTGATGAAGGTTGTTTTTCTATAAATGTTCTCACGATATGGGTTTGGCTGATTGAATTCCCATAGAGTAGTTCCATGTATCTTCTGGCTGCTATGTAACTTGTAAATTCGTTGTTGGATCCAGATGATTGATCAGAGGCAAGTATCTGTTTTGGGTATGACCCTAGGTAGTGGTACGATCTTTCAGCAAAAGGCACATAGTGTCTAGTTGTCTCTCTTTTTGTGATGTTAGCAGCCACAGATGCTTAATACTTAGATCTTAAGTGGTTGCAAATAGTGACATTCTTTGGGTTTTTTTTTAACTTTTAGAGATTTCTAAAATCAACTTTACTGGGTTATATACAATAAAATTTACGAATTTTAAATGGCAAGAAAAAAGTTTGCCAAAATAAAAATGCATGATTGTAATTGGTCCGTTGAATTTTGCTGTCTTACATGCAAATGAAAGCATTATCTATAAAATCATTCTTTCCCCTTTATTTACGGAGAACAAAACATAGTTTTTCAAAGAACAAAACTGTGGGAAAATGTATCTCTTTTTCTGTTCACTTACATCACTGGTAATCCTATCCTGGCATAAGAGAGAGTAACATTAAACTTCAGACTGAAATACAGTTTCTAGATCTCTTTCATTTGTATAGCTCATCATACTTTGAAACAACATTTGTTTTCTCATTTGATACAAATGACCACATCATAAGAAGGCAAAGTAGATATTGCCAATACCATAGCTGTATTGAATTTGGACAATGAGGGAGGTGAATTTGGGGGGAGAAAATAAGAAATAAATATGTAAAAAATAAAATAAGCATGCATATGTATGACAGAAGATGAGGAAAACGTATTGACAAAGCTCATAATGTTGGGTAGAAGTGACCATTATCAGTTTGAAAATACATTCAGGTTTTTAGGCTTTGAGAAGAGTCACATAGCTAGGGCCAATAAAAATATATAGAAACCTATTCACAAGCAACAACAAAAAACTCTCTTTGTGAAAATCAGACTGAGAAATTGGAAAGTAAAATAAACTAAATTCCTTTTCCCAAGTCAGACTTTTACATTTTTTCAAAGGTTTATCTGCATTGGCAGGAATAGAAAGAACACTGGAGGAAAAAAGAACTGGCTTTAAGTCCCAATTCTACCATGTACCTGGGTGACCTTGGGTGATTTGCAAACCTCTGTGCTCTAATTACCTCATTTGAATAATGAGAAAATAATGTCTATTTCTGAGGACTGTAGAAGAAACTAAATAAAATGGCGCATAGAATATTCTGGGACAAACACTATTTCTAATGAAAGCTCAGCTCCTACAACTTTGTGTGGGGTCACCGGGACCCATTCACTAAGGTACTTGGGCTCCTTTTCTCTCAATAACTCAGAAACTGTTCCCAAGGAGAGAAAAACTTACAATTTTATTCACCTTCAGTAACTTCTTCAGCCAAGACAAACTGGCAAATGGATTATGCAACCAGTATATTATTATGAAAATTGACATTAGCTATGGTCCAGAAAAACTTATCCAATTTAAAGCAAAAACAAAATCATTTCTCAAAAAACAGGCTTCTCCTTTCTGCCAAAGTTTTTTAGTTTGTTCTCTAAACAGGACTCCAATTATCATTTTGATACAAAGTTTGTAAATGTCTTTGATTATAAAATGTTATCTATACAAGTTACATAGCAGTAATACTTATGGATTATATTATCACATAATTATTTATCCCCATAAATAAATAACAAAAGCAATAAATCATAATTTTTACTTCAAGGCCTCAAAACCACTCCTCTCAAACAGAACACTGAGCAATAAAAGAAAATTGCAGAATATAGAAAGTATAATGCTATTTACATAAATTTTAAAATATGGAAAAAATATTTAGTGCTTTACCATTTGTATTATATATGATACATATATTGATTTAAAATGTGTGTGTATCATAAATATAATATAAAAAACACCAACCTCCCCTGGGGAAGGAGAGGAATTATTAGGTAGAAACTTCAAATGTATCTGTAATATATTGTTTCTTAGCAAATATCTGAAGCACAGATGGTAAAATGTTATGATTTGAAAAATCTAGCTATTAAGAAAAAAGGTGTTTATTATATTTCTCATTATACTCTGCTATATTATGTGAGAATTTTAGAATTATTAAAACTAAAGCAATGTATGTGCATAAAAAATGCTTTAAATGATAATAAAGAGTACAATATGAAAATTTAGGCCTTCCTAATCTATTTCTACTATCCCAGGTTAGCTTGCTGAAATTATCACTTTTGATCAAATACGTTTTAGTTCTTCTACAGTTATCTCAATTAAAATATATACTACTTGTCCTAATTTTATTAATTTGAAGGAAAATCTATTAACATCCTTCCATAAAACATAGAAGAACTAGCTCCCTGACACTGTGCTCTTTCATCCCCCTCCTCCTCTCAAATTTATTGGTCATCGTTCAGCAATTTGAAACTCTAAGTAATGTTACTTTGGCAAGATATTCATCAATTATAAGGCCCAAAGACCCTCACCTTGCCCTTGTTCTTGGCAGTTTAAATCTCATTTGTTTTTTTTTCCTTTGGTAAGATTATAATTTGGAGAAGAAATGGAATAATTGAACTAGAAGCCCATGATCATCTTTTTATTATTTTTAATTGTGGTAAAATGCACATAACATGAAATTTACCACCTGTATTATTCCATTTTCACGCTGCTAATAAAGGCATACCCAAGACTGGGTAATTTATAAAGAAAAAGAGGTTTAGTGGATTCATAGTTCCACATGGCTGAGAAGGCCTCACAATCATGCCGGAAACCAAAGGAGGAGTCAAGTCATGTCTTACATGGCAGCAGGCAAGAGAGTGTGTGCAGGGGAACTCCCTTTTATAAAACCATTAGATTTCATGAGACTTATTCACAATCATGAGAACAGCATGGAAAAGACCCAACCCCATGATTCAATTACCTTCCACCAGGTCCCTCCTATGACACGTGGGAATTATGGGAGCTACAGTTTAAGATGAGCTTTGGGTGGGGACACAGTCAAACCATATCACCACCTTAATTATTTTTAAGTGTACAGTTAAGTGGTACTGAGTACATTAATATTGTGCAACCAGCACTACCATCCATCTTCAGAACTCATCATCTTGCAAAACTGAAACTCTGTACTCATTAAACACTAACTGCCCATTCCCCTTCCCTCCAGCCCCTGGAAACCACCATTCTACTTTCTGTCTCTATATTTCAGTACTCTGGGTACCTCATATAAGTAGAGTCATACAGTATTTCTGTTTCTGACTGGCCAATTTCACCTGGCATACTGTCCTTAAGGTTCACCCATATTTGTAGCATGTGTCAGAATTTCCTTCCTTTCTAAGGCTGAATAATATTCCATCATAGGCATATGCCACATTTTGTTTATCCATTCATCCATCAATGGACATTTAGGTTGCTTTCACCTTTTAGCTATTGTCAATAATGTTAATATGAACATAGGTGTTCAACTATCTCCTCGAGACCCTACTTTCAATTCTTTGGGGTATATACCCAGAAGTGGACTTGCTGAATCACATAGTAATCATTTTCTCATTTTTTGAGGAACCACCATACTGTTTTCCATAGCAGCTGTACCATTTTACACTCCCACCAACAGTGAACAAGGGTTCTAATTTCTCCACATGCTAGCCAACACTTTTTATTTTCTGCTCAGTTTTGTTTGTTTTGCTTGTTTGTTTTGAATAGCAGCCAACCTAATGAGTGTGAGGTGCTGTCTCATTGCGGTTTTGATTTGCATTTCCCTAATGTTAGTCATGTTGAACATCTTTTCATGTGCTTGCTGGACATGAATATCTTCTTTAAAGAAATATCTATTCAAGTATTTTGCCCATTTTTGAATTGGGTTGTTTTTTGCTGTTGAGTTATAGGACTTATTTTATATATTCTGGATATTAACCCCAATCGGATATGTGATTTGCAAATATTTTCACCCATTCTGTGTGTTGCTTTTGCACCTTTGCACCCTGTTGAATGTTCCTTTGATGCACAGTTTTTAATTTTGATGTAGTTTTTTTATCTATTTTTTTTCTTTTGTTGTCTGTGCTTTGGGTGTCCTATTCAAGAAATCATTGCCAAATCCAATGTCATAATGCTTTTCTCCTGTTTTCTTTTAAAAGATTTTTAGTTCTAGGTCTTACATTTAGAACTTGGATCCATTTTTATTTAATTTTTGCATATGGTATAAGGCAAGAATCAAATTTTATTCTTTTGTACGTGGATATCCAGTACCCCCACCACTACGACCATTTGTTGAAAAACACTGTCGTTTACCGGATTGAATGCTCTTGGCACCCTTGATAACATATATGAGAGATTATTTCTGGTCCCTCTCTTCTACCCTCTTGGTTTATTTATCTATCTTTATGCCACTCTGTTTTGAATACTAGAGCTTTGTAAATAAGTTTTGATAGCAGAAAGTGGGATAACTCATACTTTCTTCTTCCTTTTCAAGATTATTTTGATTATTCAGATCCTATAAGATTCCATATAAATTTTAGGATAGGTTTTTCTTTCCTTTTTTGTCTTTTCACTTTATTAATTCATCCATGTTGCTGCAAATGACATAATTTCATTCTTTTCTGTGGCTAGATAGTATTCCACTGTGTATTTGTGTGTGTGTGTGTGTGTGTGTGTGTGTGTGTGTACATACCAAATTTTCTTTATCCATCCATTCAATGATGGACATTTAGGTTGACCCCATACCTTTGCTGTTATGAATAGTGCTGCAATAAACGTCCAAGTGCAGGTATGTCTTTGACATACTGATTTCTTTTCCTTTGGATAAATATTTGGTAGTGGGATTGTTGGATCATATGGTAATTCCATTTTTAGATTTTTGAAAAAAATCTCCATACAGTTTTTCATAATGGCTGTGCTAATTTACATTCAAACCAACAGTGTGTAAGAGTTTCCTTTTCTCTGCATCATTCCCAGCATCTGTTGCTTGTCTTTTTAGTAATAGCCATTCTAACTAGGGTAAGATGGTATCTCACTGTGGTATTGGTTTACACTTCCCTGATGCTTAGTCATGATGACCACTGCTTTGTATACCTGTTGGTCATTTGTATGTTTTCTTTTGAGAAATGTCTGTTCATGTCCTTTGCCAACTTTTTAATGGGATTCTTTGTGTTTTTTTAAGTGTTGAGTTGTTTGAGTCCTTGTATAGTCTGGATATTAGTCCCTTGTTGGATGAGTAGTTTGCAAATATTTTCTCTAACTCAACAGGTTGTCTCTATTCCTGCAAAAATGTTTTGGGGTTTTGATATGGATTGCACTGAATCTGTAGACTACCCTAGGTAGTATCAACATCTTAACAGTAATATGTCTTCCAATCCACAAACATAGGATGATTTCCCATTTATTTGTTTTCAGCAATATTTTGTAATTTTCAGGTATAAGCCTTTCATCTCCATGGCTAAGTTAATTAATATGTATTTTATTATTCCCAATGCTATTTTAAATGGAATTTGTTTTCTTAATTTCCTTTCAAAGTTGTTCATTGCCAGTGTATAAAAAACAAAATAATTTTGGTGTGCTGATTTTGTATCCTGCAACTTTGCTGAATTCATTTAATAGTTCTAAGAGGTTTCTGTGTATGTATGTTAATCTTCAGGGTTTTCCACATATATGATCATGTAATCTGCAAAGACAGAGAACAACTGAATGTCTTTTATATCATTTTCTTGTCTAATGCTCTGATTAGGACTTCAAGTACTGTGGTGAATAGAAATGGTGACAGGGGCACCTCTCACCATTTTATCTTGTTCATAATCTTAAACGAAAAGATTACAATCTTTCTTTTTTTATTATTATTATACTTTAAGTTTTAGGGTACATGTGCACAATGTGCAGGTTTGTTACATATGTATACATGTGCCATGTTGGTGTGCTGTACCCATCATCTCCTCATTTAACATTAGGTATATCTCCCAGTGCTATCCCTCCCCCCTCCCCCAACCCCACTACAGTCCCTGGTGTGTGATGTTCCCCTTCCTGTGTCCATGTGTTCTCATTGTTCAATTTCCATCTATGAGTGAGAACATGTGGTGTTTGGTTTTTTGTCCTTGCGATAATTTGCTGAGAATGATGGCTTCCAGCTTCATCCATGTCCCTACAAAGGACATGAACTCATCGATTTTTGTGGCTGCAAAGTATTCCATGGTATATGTGTGCCACATTTTCTTAATCCAGTCTATCATTGCTGGACATTTGGGCTGGTTCCAAGTCTTTGTAACTGTGAATAGTGCCAAAATAAAGATACATGTGCATGTGTCTTTATAGCAGCATGATTCACAATCCTTTGGGTATATGCCCAGTAATGGGATGGCTGGGTCAAATGGCATTTCTAGTTCTAGATCCCTGAGGAATCGCCACACTGTCTTCCACAATGCTTGAACTAGTTTACAGTCCCACCAACAGTGTAAAAGTGTTCCTATTTCTCCACATCGTCTCCAGCACCTGTTGTTTCCTGACTTTTTAATGATCGCCATTCTACTGGTGTGAGATGGTATCACATTGTGGCTTTGATTTGCATTTCTCTGATGGCCAGTGATGATGAGCATTTTTTCATGTGTTTTTTGGCTGCATAAATGTCTTCTTTTGAGAAGTGTCTGTTCATATCCTTTTTGAATGGGGTTGTTTGTTTGTTTCTTGTAAATTTGTTTGAGTTCATTGTAGATTCTGGATATTAGCCCTTTGTCAGATGAGTAGGTGGCAAAAATTTTCTCCCATTCTGTAGGTTGTCTGTTCACTCTGATGGTGGTTTCTTTTGCTGTGCAGAAGCTCTTTACTTTAATTAGATCCCATTTGCAATTTTGGCTTTTGTTGCCATTGCTTTTGGTGTTTTAGACAAGAAGTGCTTGCCCATGCCTATGTCCTGAATGGTAATGCCTAGGTTTTCTTCTACGGTTTTTATGGTTTTAGGTCTAACATGTAAGTCTTTAATCCATCTTGAATTAATTTTTGTGTAAGGTGTAAGGAAGGGATCCAGTTTCAGCTTTCTACATATGGCTAGCCAGTTTTCCCAGCACCATTTATTAAATAGGGAATCCTTTCCCCATTGCTTGTTTTTCTCAGGTTTGTCAAAGATCAGATGATTGTAGATGTACGGCATTATTTCTGAGGGTTCTGTTCTGTTCCATTGGTCTATATCTCTGTTTTGGTACCAGTACCATGCTGTTTTGGATACTGTAGCCTTGTAGTATAGTTTGAAGTCAGGTAGTGTGATGCCTCCAGCTTTGTTCTTTTGGCTTAGGATTGAGTTGGCAATGCGGGCTCTTTTTAGGTTCCATATGAACTTTAAAGTAGTTTTTTTCCAATTCGTGAAGAAAGTCATTGGTAGCTTGATGGGGATCGCATTGAATCTATAAACTACCTTGGGCAGTATGGCCATTTTCATGATATTGACTCTTCCTACCCATGAGCATGGAATGTTCTTCCATTTGTTTGTATCCTCTTTTATTTCATTGAGCAGTGGTTTGTAGTTCTCCTTGAAGAGGTCCTTCACATCCCTTGTAAGTTGGATTCCTAGGTATTTTATTCTCTTTGAAGCAATTGTGAATGGGAGTTCATTCATGATTTGGCTCTCTGTTTGTCTGTTATTGGTGTATAAGAATGCTTGTGATTTTTGCACATTGATTTTGTATCCTGAGACTTTGCTGAAGTTGCATATCAGCTTAAGGAGATTTTGGGCTGAGACAATGGGGTTTTCTAGATATACAATCATGTCATCTGCAAACAGGGACAATTTGACTTCCTCTTTTCCTCATTGAATGCCCTTTATTTCCTTCTCCTGCCTGATTGCCCTGGCCAGAACTTCCAACACTATGCTGAATAGGAGTGGTGAGAGAGGGCATCCCTGTCTTGTGCCAGTTTTCAAAGGGAATGTTTCCAGTTTTTGTCCATTCAGTATGATATTGGCTGTGGGTTTGTCATAGATAGCTCTTATTATTTTGAGATACGTCCCATCAATAACTAATTTATCGAGAGTTTTTAGCATGAAGTGTTGTTGAATTTTGTCAAAGGACTTTTCTGCATCTATTGAGATAATCATGTGGTTTTTGTCTTTGGTTCTGTTTGTATGCTGGATTACATTTATTGATTTTCGTATGTTGAACCAGCCTTGCATACCAGGGATGAAGCCCACTTGATCATGGTGGATAAGCTTTTTATGTGTTGCTGTATTCGGTTTGCCAGTATTTTATTGAGGATTTTTGCATCAATGTTCATCAAGAATATTGGTCTAAAATTCTCTTTTTTGGTTGTGTCTCTGCCAGGCTTTGGTATCAGGATGATGCTGGCCTCATAAAATGAGTTAGGGGGGATTTCCTCTTTTTCTATTGATTGGAATAGTTTCAGAAGGAATGGCACCAGCTCCTCCTTGTACCTCTGGTAGAATTCGGCTGTGAATCCATCTGGTCCTGGACTTTTTTTAGTTGGTAAGCTATTAATTATTGCCTCAATTTCAGAGCCTGTTATTGGTCTATTCAGAGATTCAACTTCTTCCTGGTTTAGTCTTGGGAGGGTGTATGTGTTGAGGAATTGATCCATTTCTTCTAGATTTTCCAGTTTATTTGCATAGAGGTGTTAATAGTATTCTCTGATGGTACGTTGCATTTCTGTGGGTTCGGTGGTGATATACCCTTTGTCATTTTTTACTGCGTCTGTTTGATTCTTCTATCTTTTCTTCTTTATTAGTCTTGCTAGCAGTCTATCCATTTTGTTGATCTTTTCAAAAAACCAGCTCCTGGATTCATTGATTTTTTGAAGGGATTTTGTGTCCCTATTTCCTTCAGTTCTGCTCTGATCTTAGTTATTTCTTGCCTTCTGCTAGCTTCTGAATGTGTTTGCTCTTGCTTCTCTAGTTCTTTTAATTGTGATGTTAGGGTGTCAATTTTGGATCTTTCCTGCTTTCTCTTGTGGGCATTTAGTGCTATAAATTTCCCTCTCCACACTGCTTTGAATGTGTCCCAGAGATTCTGGTATGTTGTGTCTTTGTTCTCGTTGGTTTCAAAGAACATCTTTATTTCTGCCTTCATTTCGTTATGTACCCAGTAGTCATTCAGGAGCAGGTTGTTCAGTTTCCATGTAGTTGAGCGGTTTTGAGTGAGTTTCTTACTCCTGAGTTCTAGTTTCATTGCACTGTGGTCAGAGAGACAGTTTGTTATAATTTCTGTTCTTTTACATTTGCTGAGGAGTGCTTTACTTCCAACTATGTGGTCAATTTTGGAATAGGTGTGGTGCGGTGCTGAAAAGAATGTATATTCTGTTGATTTGGGGTGGAGAGTTCTGTAGATATCTATTAGGTCTGTTTGGTGCAGAGCTGAGTTCAAATCCTGGATATCCTTGTTAACTTTCTGTCTCATTGATCTGTCTAATGTTGACAGTGGGGTGTTAAAGTCTCCCATTATTATTGTGTGGGAGTCTAAGTCTCTTTGTAGGTCTCTAAGGACTTGCTTTATGAATCTGGGTGCTCCTGTATTGGGTGCATATTTAAGATAGTTAGCTCTTCTTGTTGAATTGATCCCTTTACCATTATGTAATGGCCTTCTTTGTCTCTTTTGATCTGTATTGGTTTAAAGTCTGTTTTATCAGAGACTAGAATTGCAACCCCTGCCTTTTTTTTGTTTTCCATTTGCTTGGTAGATCTTCCTCCATCCCTTTATTTTGAGCCTATGTGTGTCTCTGCACGTGAGACGAGTCTCCTGAGTACAGCACACTGATGGGTCTTGACTCTTTATTCAATTTGCCAGTCTGTGTCTTTTAATTGGCACACTTAGCCCATTTACATTTAAGTTTAATATTGTTATGTGTGAATTTGATCCTGTCATTATGATGTTAGCTGGCTATTTTGCTCGTTAGTTGATGCAGTTTCTTCCTAGCATCAATGGTCTTTACAGTTTGTCATGTTTTTGCAGTGGCTGGTACCAGTAGTTCCTTTCCATGTTTAGTGCTTCCTTCAGGAGCTCTTGTAGGGCAGGCCTGGTGGTGACAAAATCTCTCAGCATTTGCTTGTCTGGAAAGGATTTTATTTCTCCTTCACTTATGAAACTTAATTTGGCTGGACATGAAATTCTGGGTTGAAAATTCTTTTCTTTAAGAATGTTGAATATTGGCCCCCACTCTCTTCTGGCTTCTAGATTTCTGCCGAGAGATCTGCTGTCAGTCTGATGGGCTTCCCTTTGTAGATAACTCGACCTTTCTCTCTGGCTGGATAGGTTTTTGGTGTGGATTTCCTTCCTGTTTGTTAGTTTTCCTTCTAACAGTCAGGACCCTCAGCTGCAGGTCTGTTGGAGTTTACTGGAGGTCCACTCCAAACCCTGTTTTCCTGGGTATCAGCAGCGGTGGCTGCAGAACAGCAGATATTGGTGAACCACAAATGCTGCTGCCTGATCGTTCCTCTGGAAGTTTTGTCTCAGAGGAGTACCCGGCCATGTGAGGTGTCAGTCCACCCCTACTGGGCGGTGCCTCCCAGTTAGGCTACTCGGGGGTCAGGGATGCACTTGAGGAGGCAGTCTGCCTGTTCTCAGATCTCAAGCTGCATGCTGGGAGAACCACTACTCTCTTCAAAGCTGTCAGATAGGGACATTTAAGTCTGCAGAGGTTATTGCTGTCTTTTGTTTTTCTGTGCCCTGCCCCCAGAGGTGGAGCCTACAGAGGCAGGCAGACCTCCTCGAGCTGTGGTGGGCTCCACCCAGTTTGAGCTTCCAGGCCACTCTGTTTACCTACTCAAGCCTAGGCAATGGTGGGCACCGCTCCCCCAGCCTCACTGCCACCTTGCAGTTTGATCTCAGACTGCTGTGCTAGCAATGAGCGAGGCTCTGTGGGCATAGGACCCTCCGAGTCATGTGCAGGATATAATCTCCTGGTGTGCCATTTGTTAAGCCCATTGGAAAAGCACAGTATTAGGGTGGGAGTGACCTGATTTTCCAGGTGCCGTCTGTCACCCCTTTCTTTGACTAGGAAAGGGAATTCCCTGACCCCTTGCACTTCCTGGGTGAGGTGATGCCTTACCCTGCTTCAGCTCATGCACGGTGCACTGCACCCACTGTCCTGCACCCACTTTCCTACACTCCCCAGTGAGATGAACCCAGTACCTCAATTGGAAATGCAGAAATCACCTGTCTTCTGCATCGCTCACACTGGGAGCTGTAGACTGGAGCAGTTCCTATTTGGCCATCTTGGCTTCACCCCCCCAATCTTTCAACAGTGAGTATAATATTAGTTATGGGCTTTTCATATATGGTCTTTATTAGGTTGAGGTAGTTTCCTCTTATTCCTAGTTTGTTGCATGTTATTATCATGAAAAGTGTGTTAATTTTGTCAAATGTTTCTTCTCATCAATTGAGAGAATTATGTGAGTTTTTTCTTCATTCTGTTAATATGGTATATTACATTGATCAATATTCATATTTTGAACATAGGTGTTGAAACCTTTTAATGTACTGTTGAATTTGGTTTGCTATTATTTTGTTGAGGATTTTTGGATCAATATTCATCAGGGATATTGGTCTTGCAATGTTTTTTTCTGGCTTTGACCTCAGGGTAATGTTGGTCTCATAGAATAAGTTTGAAAGTGTTTCCTACTTATATGTTTCTTGGAAGAGTTTGAGGGAGACAGATGTTAGTTTTTTTTTTAGTGTTTGTGAGAATTCAGCAGTCAAGCCATATGCACCTGAATTTTTCTTTGTGGGGAGGTTTTAAGTTGCTAATTCAGTCTCCTTAATAGTTATACACCGTTGAGATTTTATTGCTTCAAGACTCAGACTTGATGAATTGTTTTTTCTAGGAATATATCCATTTTATCTAGGTTATCCTTTTTCATAATACTTACAATCATTTTCATTTCCATAAAATTGGTTGGAATGTTCCTGCTTTCATTTCTAATTTTAGCTATCTGAATAGTATCTCCTTTTTCCTTAGTCAATCTAGCTAAAGTTTTGTTTGTCAATTTTGTTGACCTTTTGGAAGAAACAACTCTTGATTTCATTAATTTTCTGTATGCTTTTTCTATTTTCTTCTAATCTGTGTTGTTTATCTTTTTCTATTTTCCTTTGTTTTTACTTTTATTTTAGATTTGGGGGTACACATACAGGTTTGCTACATAGGTATATTGCATGATGCTCAGGTTTGGTGTATGATTGATCCTGTCACACAGATAGTAAGCATAGTATACAACAGATAGTTTTTCAGCCTTTGCCCTTCTACCTTTCTCCCTCCTCTAGTGTCTATTATTCCCATCTTTATGTCCATAAGTACCCAATGCTTAGCTCCTGCTTATAAGTGAGAACGTACAGTATTTGGTTTGTTTCTGTGTTAATTCACTTAGCATAATGGCCCCCAGCTGCATCCATAATAACACAAAGGACAAGATTTCATTCTTTCTTATGGATGTACAGTAGTCCATGGTGTATATGTACCATATATTATTTATCCAATCCTGTTGATGGGCACCTAGGTTGATTCCATATCTTTGCTATTGTGAATAGTGCTGCAATGAACATATGAGTGCATCTATCTTTTGGGTAGAACCATTTATTTCTCTTTTGGTATATACTCAGTAATGGGATTGCTGGGTCTAATGGTAGCTCTATTTTAGTTCTTTGAGAAAAGTCCAAACTGCTCCCAACAATGGTTGAACTAATTTACATTCCCACCAATTGTGCATAAGGGTTCTCTTTTCTCTGCAGCTTCACCAGTATTTATTGTTTTGGACTTTTCAATAATAGCTATTCTGACTGGTGTGAGATACTGTTTGATGAGGTTTGGTGGCTTCCCCACCCAAATCTCATCTTGAATTATAGTTCCCATAACCCCCACATGTCATGGGAGGCACCTGGTGGGAGGTAATTTAATCATGAAGGTGGTTACCTTCATGCTGTTCTCATGATAGTGAGTTCTCACGAGATCTGATGGTTTTATTTCCCCCTTTTGCTCAGCAATTCTTGCTGCTGCCATGTAAAGAAGGACATGTTTGCTTCCCCTTCGGCCATGATTCTAAGTTTCCTTAGACCTCCCAAACCATGCTGAACTGTGGGTCAACTAAACCTTTTTCCTTTATAAATTACTCAGTCTTGGTTATGTCTTTATTAGCAACATGAGAACAGATGAATACGGTATCTCACTGTGGTTTTGATTTCATTTCTCTTATGATTAGTGATGTGGAGCATTTTTTGATATATCTGTTGGATATTTGCATGTCTTCTTCTGAGATGTGTTTCTTTATGTCTTTTGCCCAATTTTTAAAATGGGATTATTTGTTTCTACTTGTTGAATTATTTTAGTTCTTTATAAATTCTGGATATTAGATCTTTGTCAGATGCATAGTTTGTGAATATTTTCTCTCATTCTTTAGGTTATCTTTTTATTCCATTGATAGCTTCTTTTGCTGCGCAGAAGCTCTTTAGTTTAATTAGGTCTCACTTATTGATTTTTATTTTTATTTTTATAAAATTGCTTTTGAGGACTTAGGCATAAATTCTTTGCCAAGGCCAACGTCCAGAAGGATATATCCTAGGTTTTCTTCTAGAATTTTTATACTTTGAGGTCTAAGTGTTTAATCCACCTTGGGTTAATTTTTATATATGGTGATAAATTGGGGTCCAGATAACTAGCCAGTTATCACAGCACCATTTATTGAATAGGGAGCCTGTTTCCCACTGCTTATTTCTGTTGACTTTGTTGAAGATCAGTTGGTTGTAGGTGTGCGGCTTTATTTCTAGGTTCTTGATTTTGTTCCGTTGGTCTATATGTACAATTTTGTACAAGTACCATGTTGTTATGCTTACAGTAACATTGTAGTATAGTTTAAAATTAGGTAATATGATGCCTCTAGCTTTGTTTATTTTTGTTGTTGTTTTGCTTAGGATTGCTTTGGCTATATGGACTCTTTTTTCCAGACAAATTTTATAATAGCTTTTTCTAATTCTATGAAAAATGACATTGGTAGTTTGATAGGAAACTACCAATGATAGCATTGTATCTGTACATTGCTTTGAGCACTATGTCCATTTTAACAATACTGATTCTTCCAGTCCTTGAATGTGGAATGTTTTTCCATTTGTGTCATTTCTGATTTCTTTTGGTAGTGTTTTTTTAATTATCTTTGTACCGATCTCTCACCGCTTTGGTCAGATGTATTTTATTTTATTTTATTTTATTTTATTTTTTATTTTATTTTATTTTTATAGCTATTGTAAATGAGATTGCATTCTTCATTTGTCTCTCAGCTTGAACACTGTTGATATATATAAAAATGTTACTGATTTTTGTACATTGATTCTGTATACTGAAACTTTACTTAAACTCTTTTATCAGTTCTAGAAGTTTTTTGGCAAAGACTTTAGGGTTTTCTAGGTATAGAATCATGTCATCAGTGAAGGGAGATAGTTTGACTTTTTCTTTACCTACTTGGATGCCTTTTATTTCTTTCTCTTACCTGAATATTCCAGAAAAGATTTCCAGTTTTATACTGAAAAGGAATAGTGAGAGAGGGCATCCTTGTCTTGTTCCATTTCTCAGGAAGAATGCTTCCAGCTTTTGCCCAATCAGTATGATGTTCACTCTGGGTTTATCAGAGATGTCATTATCTTGAGGTATGTTTCTTCAATGCCTAGTTTCTTGAGGGTTTTTATAATAAAGGTGTATTGGACTTAATCAAAAACGTTTTCTGCATCTATTAAAATGATCATATGTTTTTGTTTTTAATTCTGTTTATGTGGTGAATGACATGTATTCTTTATGTGTGTTCAACTATCCTTGCATACAAGGAATAAAGTCTACTTGGCTGTGGTGAATTATCTCTTTGATGTACAGCTGGATTCAGTTTGCTAGTAATTTTTTAAGGATTTTAGCATATATTTTCATCTGGGATATTGGCCTATAGTTTTCTTTTTTCATTGTGTCTTCTCCAGGTTTTGGTATCAGAGTAATGCTGACTTTGTAAAATGAGTTAGGGAAGAATCCCTCCTCCTTGATTTTTTTTGGAATAGTTTCAGTAGAATTACCAGCTCTTCTTTGTGCTTCTGGTAGAATTTGGTTGTGAATCCATCTGGTCAGGGCTCTTTTTTATTAGTAGATTCTTTATTACTGATTCAATTTCAGAATTCATTATTCTGGGTTTCAATTTTTTCCTGATTCAAACTTGGAAGGTTGTATTTTTCCAGGAATGTTTCCATTTCCTCTAAATATTCTAGTTTGTTTCCATAGATCTGTTCATAATAGTCTCTGATAATCTTTTGTATTTCTGAGAGACCAGTTGTAACATCATCTTTGTCATTTATGATTGTGTTTATTTAGATCTCCTTTTATCTTTGCTAATATGGCTAGCAGGCTATCATTCTTGTTTATCCTGTCAAATAATTCATTTTTGGTTTGTTAATTGTTTGTATGGATTTTGGGGTGTCAATTTCATTCAGTTGTGCTCTCATTTTTGTTATTCTTTTATTCTGCTATCTTTGAGGTAGATTGCTCTTATTTTTCTAGTTTCTGTAGGTGTGATGTTAGATTGTTCATGTGAGATCTTTCCAATTTCTTGATGTAAGTGTTTAGCATTATAAACTTTCCTCTTACCACTGCTTTTACTGCATCCCAGAGGTTTTGGTATGGCATGTCTCTATTTTCATTTATTTCAAAGAATTTTTTAATTTCTGCCTTAATTGTGTTGTTTACCCAGAAGTCATTTCAGAGCAAGTTGTTTAGTTTACATGTAATGTTGGTTTTGAGGTATCTTCTTGGTATTCATTTCTATTTTTATTCTACTGTGGCCCAAGACTATGGTTGGTATAATTTCATCTTTTTTAATTTATTAAGACTTTCTTCATGGTCAAGGCATGTGATTAATCTTGTAGTATGTTCCCTGTGCAGATTAGAAGAATATACATTTTGTGGCTGTTAGGTGGAGTATTCTGTAGGTATCTATTAGGCTAATTGGTCAAGTGTCAAGTTTAAATCCAGAATATCTTTGTTAATTTTCTGCCTCAACAATCTTTCTAATGCTGCCAGCAGAGTGTTGAAGTCCCCCAATATTTCTGTGTGACTGTCTAAGTCTTTTCATAAGACTAGAAGTACTTTTTAATGAATCTTGGTTCTCCCATGTTGGGTGCACCTATATTTAGCATAGTTAAGTCTTCCTGTTTAATTGAACCCTTTAACATTATGCAATGCTCTTCTTTGTCCTTTCTACCATTGTTCGTTTAAAGTCTGTTTTATCTGATATGACAGCAGCTATGCCTGCTCTTCTATGTCTTCCATTTGCATGATAGATCTTCCTCCATTCCTTTCCTTTGAGCCTTTTGGTGTCATTATATGTGAGAAGAGTCTCTTGAAGACAGCAGATGGCTGAGTTGTTTTACATTCAAGCTTAATATTGATATGTGAGGTTTTGATTTTGTCATGGTGTTGGTAGCTGTTTTCTTTGTACTCTCAATTATGTAGTTGCTTGACAGGTTCTATGAGCTATGTACTTAGGTGTGTTTTTTTGGTAGCAGATACTGTTCTTTTGTTTCCATGTTTAGAACTCCCTTACAGATATCTTGTAAGGCTGGTCTAGTGGTAACAAATTCCTTTAGCAATTGATTGTCTGGAAAATATTTGATTTCTTCTTTGCTTATGAAGCTTTGTTTAGTGATTTACAAAATTCTAGGTTGGAATTTCTTTTACATTAAGAACACTAAAAATAGGCCCCCACCCTCTCCTGGTTTGTAAGTTTTCTGCCGAGAAGGCTTCTCTTAGCTAGATGGGTTTCTTTTGTAAGTGATTTGTCCATAATTTCTAGCTGCCTTTAAGCTTATTCTTTTGTGTTGACTTTGGAAAGAATCATGATTATGATCCTTGGAGATGGTCATCTTGTAAAATATCTAATGCAGTTTCTCTGTGTTTCTTGGATTTCTTAGAAAAAAAACAATGACTTTGAAAAGAATGATGACTGTGCCTTGGAGATGGTCATCTTGTATAATACCTATTGCAGTTTCTCTGTATTTCTCAGATTTGCATATCAACCTCTCTAGAGAGATTGGGAAATTTTCGTTGACTGTATTCTCAAATATATTTTTCACATTGCTTATTCTCTTTCTCAATTAGGAATGCTAGTGACTCACAGGTTTAGTCTCTTTACATTATCCCATATTTCTTAAAGACTGCATTTTTTTTAATTCTTTCTTTATTTATTTTTGTCTGACTTGGTTGATTCAAAGGATTGGTCTTCAAGCTCTGAAATTCTTTCTTCACCTTGCTCTAGTCTGTTGTTAATGCTTCAAATTGCATTTTGAAATTTCTGTAGTGAATTTTTTAATTCCAGAAGTTCATTTTTGTCCTTTCTTAAAATGACCATGTCATCTTTTTGGATCATTTACTGGCTTTCTTGAATTGGATTTCAACTTTCTCTTGAATATCATTGAGCTTCCTTCCATCCAGATTTTGAATTCTATGTCTAACATTTCAGACATTTCAATCCGGTTAAGATCCATTGCTGGGGAGCTATTGCAATCCTTCAGAAGTAAGAAAACACTCTGACTCTCTGAATTGCTGGAGTTCTTTCCCTGATTACATTTTATCTGGGGGTCTGTTGTTTACTTTTCTTTTTGTAGTTTCTGTTGTGCGAATGGGGCTTTTTGTTTCTATATTTTTTCCCTTGAGGATTTGACTGTGGTTTTTTTTGTTTTTTTTTTTTTTTAGAGAGAAGTCTCGCTCTGTTGCCCAGGCTGGAGTGTGGTGGCGTGATCTTGGCTCACTGAAAGCTCCACCTCCTGGATTCATGCCATTCTCCTACCTCAGCCTCCCTAGTAGCAGGGACTACAGGCACCTGCCACCACACCTGGCTAATTTTTTTGTATTCTTAGTAGAGATGGGGTTTCACCATGTTAGCCAGGATGGTCTTGATCTCCTGACCTCATGATCCGCCTGCCTCAGCCTCCCAAAGTGCTGGGATTACAGGCATGAGCCACTGCATCCGGCCTGACTGTGGTACTTCTAGTGCATAATCTATTGGCTTCTTTTCTGGGTGCTTTCAGAGGGCCAAAGTTCTGTGTGGGTTCCTTAGTTGTGGCTAGTTTCCTGCTTTGAGTTTCACAGGCTTTCTATGCTGAAGAAATTTATTTTTGTTTGGTGGTATAATTCAAGCTTTGATACAGTAGATAGCACTTAAGAATATGGGCCAGCAAATAGGCTCTTACTGAGCTGTGGACCACTTTTGTATTTCAGCGATTATGCAGCAGTGCTCTGGGGAGGGGGAGATGGGGCAAGAGATGACCCTCTCACCAAGGCTGTTCCCAGACCTTGGAGAAACCCCCTTCAATCACTGGCACCATATCTACATCTCCTTAGCCCAAAAGGGGCCCTTGTAGGCTGCACTCGGCCCTCCATTAGGGGTGGCCAATGCCAAAGATTAGGTCACAAGGACAGTTGCAACTCTCTGTGAACCTGCTAGTCCTCTGAGTTTGGGAGAGTCACACCAGGTTGTGGGATATGTCTGGTGGTGGTCTCGTGATGCAGTGGGTCAAGGGTGGAGGATCCCTTGGTAGGGCTGTGGTGCCACAGGTGTGCAGTTGGTGTGATGCCCTTGCCCTGGGATCTTTTAGCCCAGCAAATGGCTGTGGAGTCCACCCAGCTCACCATCTCCCTACCAGGT
Organism: Homo sapiens; assembly: GCF_000001405.40. Classification (NCBI taxonomy): domain Eukaryota; kingdom Metazoa; phylum Chordata; class Mammalia; order Primates; family Hominidae; genus Homo; species Homo sapiens. The sequence continues at coordinate 31,558,676 of NC_000008.11, read as the reverse complement.
CTCCCTCCAGTGTCTGCCACAGGAGCAGGCCTGAACAGCTAAACTCGTCCAAAACCTTCTGTGCCCAGATCACTGGGCTCTTCCAGGGCTCCCTCAAACAGAAGCTGTGGCTGGCCAACAGACTACACCTTGCCCAGACCAGTTTTGCAGAGGGAGGAACATCTAGCACTCACACTGACACAGGAACCCATGCCTCATTCTTCTCTGTGTTTTGAGAGTGGGGCTCCTTCCTGCTTGAGCTCTGGCCACAGATTTCAGCTCAATACCCTTGGGTGGTATGATTGAACTCTGGGGGGTTGGGACCATCCTGCAATTTTGTCTTCAGGCTCCCTGGGGTCAAGCACCAGCAGTGCTGGGGATATGAACTGCTCCCAGGAAGCTGCCAAAACACTCAGGTGGGTTAGTAGAGGCTGTGCTGTACGTACCCTTTTGAAGGAGCATGAGGCCAGCAGAAAAGACGGCATGTGGATCAGATGTGCCCTGGTCCCATGAGAAAGGTAGCCCTCCTCTCTCCCAGCCTGACAGTCAGCAAGGGCTACACTTACTCAGGGAAAGACGGAGAGTCTTGAGGGATGGGAACTTATGGTTGCATTTTGCTGTAGCTGCCCTGTGCACTGCAAAACCTTCTGGGCTCCATGCAGGTTTGAGCTCTACCTCTGCCTACTCTTCAGGCACTTCCCCCTGCCAATTCAAATGTCCGTTGGGGTCACGGGCTCTCTTGTAGCTAGGATCCCAGAGGTCCATGGCAGGGGTGTGGTGCCCCAAAGTTCCTTCACTCACCCCTTCCTTGCGACCTGTTCAGGACCAGAAGCCAGTCCTGCTACTCGATGACTCTGTGCAGGCTTCCCAGCTTCCTCCCTCTTCAACCTCAGTGTCTCTGTGTTTATTGATTTTAAGTGTTTTCTCTCAAAAGATCTGTATGAAGTCTGATGATTTACTCAATATTTTGAGTTCTCTTTGTGGGATAGATGTTTCCTGGCTGCATCTAGTCAGCCATCTTAGCTTTTTCCCTCTCTATTTTCCTTTTTCTCTTTTTTTTTTTTTTTGAATTTTAATATTTATTTATTTTTCTTTTTTTTAATTATACCTTAAGTTTTAGGATACATGTGCACAACGTGCAGGTTAGTTACATATGTATACATTCAGGTTATTTATTTGCATTTTTTAATGTAAGCATTTATAACTGTAAACTTCTGTCTTAACACTGTTTTTCTTACATTCCACACATTTCAACACATGGTGTTTTTATTTTCATTTGCCTCAAGATATTTTACAATTTCCTATGTGATTTCACTTTGACCCATTCATTGTTGAATATCGTGTTGTCTAACTCACATATTTGTAGAATTTCCAGTTTTCCTTCTGCTGTTGATTTCTAGTTTCATTCCATTGTAATAAAAAAGATACTTTCTGTGATTTTAATCTTTTAAAATTTATTAAGCCTTGTTTTGTATTTTAACATGTGATTTATTCTAGAGAATGTTCCATGCATACTTGAGAAAATATGTATTCTGCTGCTGTTGGGTGTAGTGTTCTGTATCTATTGGCTCCAATTTGTCTATAGTGCTGTTCAAGTTCTCTATTTCCTTATTGATCTGCCTGATTTTTCTATTCATTATTAAAGGTCGGGTACTGAAGTTTATTACTAAAATTGTAGCACTGTCAATTTCTCCCTTCAATTCTGTCCACTTTTTATTTCTGTATTTAGGAGCTCTAATGTTTGATTCATAAATGTTTATGATTATTATATCTTCTTGGTGAATTAACCCTTTTATCATTCTACAATGTCCTTCTTTGTCTCTTGTAATAGTTTTTTATTTAAAGTCTATTTTGTATGATATTAGTATAGCCACCTCTGCTCTCTTCTGGCCACTGTTTGCTTGAAATATGTTTTTTTTAAATCTTTCACTTCCAACTATATGCTCTTGTACACAGTATATAGTTGGGTAGTTTGATTTCTTTTTCCATCCTGCCCATCTACCAATCTATGTCTCTTGACTGGGGAATGTAATCTATTTACATGACTTGAAAGTAATTACTGATATGAAAGTTTTTACTATTACCATTTTGTTATTTGCTATCTATATATCTTGTGGCTTTGTTATCCCTCTTTTCCTCCCTTACTGCTTTTTTTGTGTTTGATTTTTTTGTAATGATATGTCTTCATTTCCTTCTCATTTCCTTTTGTGTATATTCTATAGATATTTTCTATGTGATTACCATGGGGATTATATAATGTCCTAAAGTTGTAACAATCTATTTTAAAATAATGACAACTTTAACCAAATACAGAAAAAATGGTACTCCTTTATTGCTCTGCCTACCCCCCACTTTATGTTGTTTGTTGATGTTACAAAGTAAACCTTTATATATTGTGTATTCATTAACATAGATTTATAATTTTTTATTTTGTTTTTTAAGTCCTATAAAACAAAAAAGTGGAGTTATTGATCATAATTACAACAATAGTTTTTAAATTTGTTCACGTGTTCACCTTTACTTGGAAACTGTATGTTTTCCTATGGTTTTGAGTTTCTGTCTAGTGTCCTTCCATTCCAAATTGAAGAACTTTCTTTAGCATTTCTTGTAGGCAGGCATAATGACATTTAACTCTTTCAGCTTTTGTTTATCTGGAAATGTCTTAATTTGTTCCTCATTTTTGAAGGATTTTTGCCAACTATCAAATTTTCAGTGGACAGGATTTTTTTTCCAGCACTTTAAATATGTCACTCCACTACTTTGAAGCCTCCAAGATTTCTGGGGAGAAATCTTCTGATAATCTTATTTAGGATCCTGTGTACATGAAAAATAGCTTTTCTCTTATTGCTTTCAAGATTCTTTGTCTTTCACCTTCCAGTTTCATTTTAATGTGTCTTAGTGTGGGTCTCTTTTGGTTTATCCTAGAATGTATTGAGCCTCTTGAAAAGTATTTCCATGTTTTTCCTCAAATTTGATATTTTTTTCAGCTATTATTTCTTCAAATAAACTTTCTTCCCCTTTCTCTCTCTCTCTTCCCTTTCTAGGACTCATGTAATATGTATATTGGTCCACTTACTGTTATTCCGTAAGTCTCTTAGGCTCTGTTCACTTTTCTTCATACTTCCCTTTTTTTTGTCCTCAGACTTCTTACTTTCAAATGACCTAGCTTCATGTTTGCTGATTCTTTTTTCTATCCAGTCAAGTCTGCTGTTGAAGCCCTCTAGTGAATTTTTAAATTCAGTTATTGTATTTTTCAGTTCAAGAATTTATGTTTGGTTCTTTTTCATAATTTATATCTGTTAAAATCCTCATTGTTTCATATATTATTTTCCTGACTTCCTTTAGTTTGTTGCCCTTGTACTTCTTTTATCTCATTGAGCATATTTAAGACAGGTGCTTTTGAATCTTTGTCAAGTAAGTCTGAAGCCTGTTTCTTTCAGGTCAGTTTTGGTATATTTGCTTTGTTAATTTGAAGAGGCCATGTTTCTCTGTTTCTTTATATGCTTTATAATACACTGTTGAAAATTTGGCATTTGAATAAAATAGCCACCATAGATAGTCTTTGGAAACTGGCTCCATGCAGGGGAAGACCTTCACAAACTGGCCCGGTGTAAAAGCTTAAGGTTTCCTCAGGCCTTTTCCTGGAATTCATCTTTCCTGGGCCAGTGCATGTGCTTTTTATCCAATTCCCTTGCTTTTAAAATCTTGATTCCCAGAAGAGTCTCACCTCTGCTCCTTCTCAGGGCCTTAGATGTTCTACTGTATTCCTCTTCCTGTAATCTCTTGCCCCAGGCACCAATGGGTCTGCAGTTATCCTGAAGCCCTCTCATGCCATCATGACTAAACTGTTTTCAGCAACTCCCAACTTGACATCCAAACTCTGCCATAATTTCTGTCAATATTTCAAGTCAGGCAAGATAGAAACAAGTCCCTTGGCCAGCCCCCTATATGAGCCAGAATGTTGCAAATAAGCGTTACTCTTTTTATTTTTTATCCCGAAAGAATAATCAGTCATTGGTTGGCTTCTCTTCCTTGCTGCATCAGGGAAACAGTGAGTTAAATCTGAAAAAGTACCACAAAATTTCTACTATTTTGCCTGTGGATTTTTCTTGGTTATGCATTTGTTAGTTGTTGCAGATCCTTAATGGTTTCTAGAGTTCTCACAGAGCTACCTTGATGGGTATGTTGTTGTTTACTTGGTATTTCTGAGGGAGTTGGAGAGCCTGGAGCTTCCTAGTTTGCCATTTTCCACATTCATTATTTATAAAAATATAAATTGGGTGATATACCTCCATAAATTCTATTAAATTAGTCAATATCTTCCTATTAAAATAAGACCCTAGCTCCTTGGCCTTCAGGCATTACATAATTTATCTGATGCTTTTGTTTTCCTCTCCCACTGTAATTTGCTCCATTCTTTCCCTTTCTCACTAAGCTCCAACCATAACAATCTTTTGGTTCTAAGAAACCTCAAGCTTGTTCTGTCTTGGGGTCTTTTCATGAACTCTCAGTTGTATCTAGAATAGCTTTCCTTCTCTCTCTGTATTACTAATGCCTTTTTTTGTCCCTCTAGTGTTATAAGATGCCTCCTCAGGAATGTTGTTGCTGACCTTTCAGATTAGGGTAGCCCCATTGTTATATGCAACATGGAACCAGATTTTTTTTCCTTCATATCACTTTTTCAACTGTAAACATATCATTTTTCATGAGGGTATTCATTCAATATCAATCTCCCCTACAACCTAGGAAACTCTTTAGCATAGAGAAAACATTTGCTAGTTATTGCTATATCTACAGTACCTATCACAATTCCTAGGACACAGTAAGCACTTAAATCTATTTTTGATTGTTTCTTTGATGAATTATTGAAGCTTTTCGTTTGTCCATTTGCCTTGTTTCACTTGCTTTCCTCTTTAGTCCTATAGAAATGCTGTTGCATATGCTTTTCTTTCTGATTTTAGTACTTACACACTAGGCTAGACTGTCTCAATGTCTTTCCATAGTACCTGGGGATGACCCAGGGAAACATTAAGAGAGTAGCAAAGCTTTCTCCTTTCAGTATTCTTTGCCTACCATAATCATTTCCTTTCACTTTAGGTAGCCAGTGCTCTCACCCTGTGAAGAAGTAATTGCATTTCTAAAAATTACCTTGAGTTCTTACTAAATTCTAGATTTATTTCATCAAGAGGCTCTTTTAGCAGCAGGCAGTACATAAGAATACTGTGGAATTGCCCACATCAATGACAGGAATGGAAGAAAAATAATTTTACATCCACAACCCTAAAGTAAAGATGCAGAGTTCCTCCTAGTCCATCTCATTTCTTTTTTCATTCCTTCATTCATTGCAATGTATTGAGTACCTACTACATAAACAGTTAATGCAGGAACTAGTAGTAGTACAAAGGTTAATAAGATTTTATTCCATTCTTTAAATTCAGTCTAGTAAAGACGTAGATATTTGAATGAACAATTATAACATGTTACCAATTATTAATTCATTTAAAAACATTTATTGAGAGTTTACCATGTGTCAGGACCTATACCAGTTATTGGGGAAACAAAGAGGTAAAGAAGTATCTTTCCTCTCAAGTTAAATACAATAGAAAAGAAAATACACTTGCAAGCAATTATTGTTAAAATTCATGGCCAAGATCTCAGAGATGTGGGAAATAATTGCCTCATATAATTCTTTCATCAACTCAGCTAATAAAGGCAATTTCTATTCTTAAGAATATTTTTCTGCTGGTCCTTCTAACAAAGTGGCAGACACAGACTTCTTTTTCCAGATGGAAATATAGTATAATATAAGAAGAAAATTATAATGAAGGGAGACAAAAAAACCTATAAAATTAAGGAAAGAAATGTCAAGAGGATAAAAGGTTAGAGTAAAAGCACAATTAAACTCTTAATAAGGCCAAATGGGAACCAGTTAAAAATAATAATACTTTCTCAATTCAGTCCAGAGCTAAAGAGCTGATAGGGACCTTGTTTGGTCCCTGGTTCAATTCCCTGCTTCTAGGAATTTCAGCTGTCCTAGGTAGTGATTGTGATGTTCCCACCTGTAACCCCTGGTTACTACGCATTAGCATTCTTTATAATTCATTGCTTCTTCTGAAGCTTCTCAGAGGCAGTATCTGGTATGGAATTTAGTAGCACACTTACAGCACAACGTGGACTATCCAAAACACAACGCTTAATCTTTATTATGAAGTCGTGAAGAAAGATACAGTGTGAGCATCTAAAACATAGTGAAGTAGCTTAACCTATGTTTTGGTACCTTGATGAAGTGACTCTTAGTGAGTGTTTGAATTTTTTTATCTGTGCTAAGTGTTCCATAATAAAGTATGTGATATTTAAGGTCCCTCTCAGAGTTGATAGTCTATGAATCTATATATTCTAACATTTTATTTGACCTTACAAGGGGAAGGTAAAATAAAATGACAATTGTAGTGGATACAGTGATGCTCTGCCCAGATCCTACCTCAAAGCCCATCCATCCACCCCTCAGCTTTTTAATATCAGGGAGCTTTTGTGCATGGAAAACACTCATTCTTTGCTGTATTTTTGAATTCTCTATTTATTAAATTTTTGCCAGTAAAACTTCCAATACATTTTTCTTTGATATTTTAACACTTATTATAAACTTAATTAATTAAATCTCTTTAAACACTTTAGAATAGACTTACTGATTTAGAATGAATTTAATGATTCCTTTGAATGCCTCCAACACCTTCATTAGTAGACAAAACATACAGAAATACAATGTTTTGAAAATATATTACTATAGCCAGACTTAAGCTTGTTCTAGAAGATTAACAACACATTTGACTTATTTTCTTCGTTACTTCTATATTTCTTCACATATTTCTAGTGTTATGGCAATGTTAACTTTGATGCCTTCCCAGAGTTTCAGCATTCTTATCAAATCAAAAGGATAAAGAACACAAGCTCAAAAATCCATGGTTATAGAATCTGTGTTACCAACCAATCGATCATGAGACTTGATTGTTAATCTCAAGAAGATTTTAAAAGATGATGCAGTCTTTTATTGTCATAGTTACAATAAGGATTCTTAAAACCATGATTTCAACTAGATTTTAGCTTTGAATAACTGATGGCTACTCCCAAAATGATGTACCTAAAAGGTCCACTTGTTTGTTGTTCAATAACAAATGTCCCATTAAGCAGTAGTCAAATGCATTGTATTAGTCTGTTCCCATGCTGCTAATAAAGACATACCTGAGACTGGGTAATTTATAAAGAAAAGAGGTTTAATGGACTCACAGTTCCACATGGCTGGGGAGGCCTCACAATCATGGCGGAAGATGAAGGAAGAGCAAAAGGATATCTTACTTGGCGGCAGGCAAGAGGGCATTTCAGGGGAAGTCCCCGTTACAAAACCATCTGATCTCATGTGACTTATTCACTATCAAGAGAACAGCACGGGAAAAACCCACCCCCATGATTCAATTACCTTCCACCCAGTCCCTCCCATGACACATGTGGATTATTACAATTCAAGGTGAGATTTAGGTGGGGACACAGGGCCAAATCATATCATCTATATACAGAATTCTCCTCTTATCTGGAGTTTCACTTTTTGTGGCTTCAGTTACCAACAGTCAATGGCAGTACAAGAATAATATGTGCAAAATTCCAGAAATACGCAACTCATAAGTTTTAAACTGCATGTCACTCTAAGTAGCATGATGAAATCTCACACCATCCTGCTCCATCCCACTCAGGTCATGAATCCTCCTTTTGCCCAGTATACTCTCTGCCCATGAGTCACTTATGAGCCATCTCAGTTATCAGATCTGCTGTTGCGTTATCACTATGCTTCTATTCAAGTTACTCTTATTTCACTTAATAATAGCCCCAAAATGCAATAGTAGTGATGCTGATAATTTGGATCTGCGAAAGAGAAGCCATTAAGTGCTTCCTTTAAGTGAAAATGTGTAAGTTCTCAACTTAATAAGGAAAGGAAAAATCTTATGCTGAGGTTTTCAAGATTTACAGTAAAATATGAATCTTCTACCTATGAAATTGTGAAAAAGGAAAAAAATTCATGCCAGTTTTGCTGTCACACCTCAGACTGCAAAAGTAATGGGCACCATGCATGATAAATGCATAATTAAGATGGAAAAGGCATTAAGTTTGTTGGAGAAAAAAACATAAACAGGAACATGTTCCAACTTATTACATCAGGTTCAGTACTATCTGTGGTTTCAGGCATCTACTGAAGACCTTGGAATGTAGGCCCCATGGCTGAGGAGGGAACATTATATGTGCAATAACACCCTAGTAGCAAAAAGCCACACCCCAACACCCAAGTCTTGGTTTCAAGATACCATTATCCAATAAAAGAAGCAGGGCTATTTAAGGAAACAACTGATTCCACGGATGGAGAGAGAAATTACAAGTGGAACCTGGAATATTTTACTGTGCCAAAAAGTAAGAAATTGCTCACAAAACAATGAGAGAAATGCTAACTAAAATATATGAAAGGATTGAATGAAAAATTCAAAAATTTTTAATCATATAGTCATAATGGATTCAGACAAGAATCATTAATGGGTGCTGAAATCATTGAGTGAAGATTTCTTGGGGTACTTACATACTTTCAGTGGTAGCACCCCACAGTTTATTTGGTTTTAAAGGGAAAATGGCATGTTTACAATGGAGAATCCTGACAGATAACACCTTAATCTAGTGATCAAAATTAACATCACCAATATCTGTGACACCATTGATGTCACAGAGGACATAAATCACATACATAGTTCCTAAGCAAAACTACCTACCTGAATTTACATGAGGAAATAGGCAAATCCAAATTGAGTTTCATTTTACAAAACAACTGGCCTATACACTTCAAAATGTTAATGTATAAAAGCAAAAATGGCTGAGGAAATCTTCTAAATTAAAGAAGATTAAAGTGATATGAATTCAATGCAATGTGTGATACTGGCTTTGATCCTGGACTAGGAGAAATTGTTATAAAGAATGTTATTGGGATAATTGGTAAAATCTGAATATGGATTGTATGTTCAAAGATAATTTTTATCAATGCTAAATTGTACAAGTTTAATAGTTATATGGTGGCTAGATAAAAGAATGTCCTTGTTCTTAGAAAATGCACAGTGAGATATTTTGTGGTAAAGTCTTTAAGTCTGAAACTTACTCTCAAGCATTTTAGTGATTTAGCTATAATAATAATTATATATATACATGTATGATAAAACAAATGTGGAAAATGTAAACAGTTGGTGAATCTGTGTAAGTAAAGGATATACAGAAATGAGGATTGTGGGTTGTTGAGAGGAATGAAGCATTACTATTGTTTCACTATTTTTGATTGACAAATCCCTTGAAAGAAATGTGTTTTGTTTTAGGCCCATCAGTTGTATTACTTTTGGCAGTGTACTGCAGTATACTATTTGGAAAGTAGTATATGTATATTACGTAGTAACATATACATATACACATATTCTGTATACTACTATGTACTATATATAGCAAATATAAAATATACCGCAATATCCTAGGAGAGTAAAGTTTAACCACTACGCTTTTTTACTACATTGCTTAGATACATTACACAACATACTTCTGATGATATGTTTACATTGGTGGTACTTCTTTCTGGTAGGTCTTACCTCCCCTCCTCAGTCTCAGCTGAAATACAGCCTCCTCTCTAATCCTACACTGTCTTCCCCAGAAGGCTGGGTCTCCTTCTCCTCTGCTCCCATTTCCCATGAATCTTCGTATTATGCTCTGATGTTGCCATTTTTCTTTCTGCCTTATAGTTACCTGCTTTTAAATGATGTTTCTGGACTGCTCTCAAACATTCCCTCCTATTCTCCACTCACAATTTTGAAAGGGAGTGTGGGATTTATTTTCCTCAAATTTTATCACTTCCCTCTCCCTTCTCTCTGCTTGCCACTGCTCAGAATATCAGAATAGTTAAGATCTGCAGTCTTTGGTATAAGTCTCACCCCACTTCAAATGCTGGTTCCACAACCAGCCAGGTTGGATATTACATTCTCTATGTCTCAGTTTTCTTATCATTAAAATGGTAAACTGTATTTATAATGTCTTAGTGAGCATTACATAAGTCAGTGAATTCAAAATTCAGCATGACAATTAGTGAAAAACCACTCAGTGAATATTAACCTGCTATTACCACCACCACCACCATTACCATTATCATCATCATAATCATCATCGCTATCATCACCGCCAACATCATCAATGCCACAGTAGCATAGTAGCTATCAGGTGCCACAAAGTCAGAACAATTGATGACATGTAATGTCTTAGGTTGCTAAAGTTAAACAGTACTTAATGAAGTATTAACCATATTTAACTCTTATGACCCAAACTGCAGAAACTCTCATGGAGGAAAAGTCACAGCAATTTTCAGTCCTGAATTTGCCAAAAGCATCCATTAATTTTTTTTTTTTTTGATGGAGTATCGCTCTATTACCCAAGCTAGAGTGCAGTGGCGCAACATCTGCTCACTGCAACCTCCACTTCCCAGGTTTGAGTGCTTCTCGCGCCTCAGCCTCCCAAGTAGCTGGGACTACAGGTGTGTACCGCCACGCCCAGCTAATTTTTGTATTTTTAGTAGAGACGGGGTTTTGCCATGTTGGCCAGGCTGGTCTCAAACTCCTGATTTCAAGTGATCCACCCACCTCGGCCTCCCAAAGTGCTGGGATTACAGGGCATGAGCCACCATGCCCAGACCATTTATTCTTAACATAATTAATCTACCTTAACTTTAACAATAATATGTTTCTCAGAAGTGGAGAAGTGTATTAACCAAATAGAATATGACTTGTGTAACACTTGGTCCATCCTTTTAGGCACCATCTTTTGAGCACTTACTATGTTCTAGAGGTTAGCAACATTGCAATAAACAAAGTAGATAAATTCTGTGCTGTCATGAAACACACTCCAAACAGAGATGGGAGATATAGTCATTCCATTAAAAATATACTGTATATTATATATTAGTGACAAAAGCAAAGACAAAAGAGTAAGGAGATAGAGAATAATAAGGAATTTGCTATTTAAATGACATCATAGAAGGCCTCTCAGATAAGGAATCATTTTTGAAATTTCTGATTAAATTCATTTTTTCATATTTTAAATAAAATAAGACATTAAGTATAACAATATACACCAAACTCATACCTTTAATTGCATAAAATCTTGCCCAAGATCAAATATTTAAATAGAAGAGCATAATTACTGATTATGGATGAATTCCAATTCACAGGTATACCTGGGGCTCTCAAGAATATATTGGAATACACTCCAATTGCAATTAGTTCCATAATATGAAGTGCCACTTGTTTTTCAGTGAAACAAGGAAGCCAGCCTGGGGTGACTAGTTTACGCTAGCCTGAGCTACATTTAGGCAATTTCTGGGAAGTAGTTTATTCCAGACTCATTTATCAGTCTACAAATACCATTCTCCTCTGAGTTCGGTGTCTGTTCAATATGCTAATAGTTAGAGGTACTCTTCTATAATTAGAGTATGGCAGGCCATTTCTTTTTCTCTTCCCCACCTACTATTTTGTTATCCTTCATTTCAAATATACTAAAAGCTCCTGAAAGCCTCTACTTTGAAAAAAAATAAAATATATGATTCCAATTTTGAGGTTCCTATCACATTATATAAGAGATCCCATATTTCATTTGGTAGTGGACACACTGTCCAGATTCATCTTTAAGAATGAAAGACCTTTTCTCCCAGCTGCTGGAACTGCTTCCAGCAGAGTCCTCAGCTATCAACCTCTTTTGGAAGTGCCTTGGTTGAAGAGAACTGCCTTGACCACGCATCTGGGAAATGGTCAATACAAGACTATCAAGGCCAGTCTCCTCACCTAGCTCAGGACAGCTCTGTAGGGCCAATGCACACCAAGAGCTCTCTAGAGATCAGTTATGGTACTCACTGAGATTGTATTTCAGTCCAGTTTTTTCTTCTGTCCAAGCTTGCTTCCTTTTTTTCACTTTCATGGCTATTTTTTCCAGGGTACTCTCTAATAAACTGTCATATTCCAGGTCTTCCTGGAATTTGGCAGAAATTTAATGGCTTCAATGAAAGACCTAATGGATGGAGGAGGGTGAGCCCCATTGTATCTCCAATTAATTCAATTAGTTCAACCACTCACCCCCCGCACCCCCACCCACCAAAAAAAAAAAAAAAAAGATGTATCCTGGAGAATAACAATGGATACCACAAACTCAACCAAGCAATACTAGCTCAAATATGGCATCTTTGCTAGTATATATGACAATAACCTCAGGCACCTGGTATGTGACCATTCATCCTTCAAATACATTATTTTCTAACCACACCAAAAGCAATCAGAAAGAACTCTCATTCACTTGAAATGGACAATAGTATACATTTGCAACCTTGTCCAAGGGCTATGTTAACTCTTCTGTTCAGTTGCTATATAGTCTAAGAGATCTTGATGACTAGGATATCACAGAAAACTTCATTAGTCCACTATATCTAGGATGTCATGGCAATTGAACCAACTAGAAAAAAGAAGTGACAAGTACATTGTAGGCCTAGGTAAAACATATACACACTAGAGGATAAGAGATAAACTCTATAGAGATTCAGGGCCTGATATATTAGTAATATTTTTAGAAGTCCTATGGTTTTGAGTATTTTGGGATATCCCTTCCAAAGAAAATACAAATTATTGCAATTTGCACTTTCTATCACAAATAAGGAAGCACCTTGCCTAGTAGGCGTTCCCATGTTCTGGAGGCAGCATATTCCATTGCAGGAATACAGCACCAAATCATATGTCAGGTAGCATGAAAGACTGCTAACTTTAAGTAATGACCAAAGCATTAAAAGAATCTATAGAAATTCAGACTGTGGTGCCAGTGACCCTTCCCTTGAGTGATATAAACTACCAGTATGACATAGCATTAATCTATGGTAGGAAAAGGTGCCATGTGGTGTTTGTTGAAAGCCCAATGGGAGAATCAAAATGCAGATGCCTAGGGTTGTAGAGTAAAGCTGTGCCATCTACAGCAGATACATCTTTTGAAAAACAGGTCCTGGTTTGCTACTGGGTCCTGGTAGAAGTGCAGTGTCTGATTATGGACACCAAGTAACCATGAAGCCTGAACTGCTCATTTTGAGCTGGGTAATATCAGACCTCAGGGTGGGTCCAGGACCTTAACATCCTGAGATAAAAGTAGCACATTCAGGATTAAGCATTAACAGAAACAGACAACATGAGCAGGTAGCTTAGGTCCTGAAGTCATCCACTATTGATGTTATAGCTCTTGACCATCATCTTATGCCTACCAAAATAGAGGGGAATCCCTTCTAGCCAACAAACAGAAGAGGATAAAAATCCAAATTTCATGCTTCAGGACATTGGTTTTGGCAAGGGTTTTTTTGAGTAAAGCCTCAAAAGCACAGGCAACAAAAGCAAAAATAGACAAATGGGATTACATCAAGCTGAAAAGCTTCTGCATAGCTTGATGCAACAGCTTGATAGAATATACAAGGAACTCAAACAACTCAACAACAAATAGTAATAATTTGACTAAAAAGTGGGCAAAGGATCTGAATAAACATTCTCAATAGAAGACATACAAATGCCCAACAGGTATATGAAAAGATGCTCAAGTTCAATAGTCACCAGGGAAATGCAAATCAAAACACAATTAGATATTTCACTACAGTTAAAATGACTATTAGCAAAAAGACAAAAAATAACAGATGGTGATGAGGATGTGGAGACAGACAAATGTGCAACAGGTATATGAAAAGATGCTCAAGATCAATAATATCAATATATATATATGTATATATATAGACACACACACATACCGTATCCATTGCATGGTTTCACAGGCCTGCCACATATAATTTAAGCCATCTTTTCTCATTCAATGTTTTTCTTCCTGTAAAACTTATTAAGGCAACTTAGTGACAAAAAGTAATGTTGTATTTACACTTCTGTATAGAAACAACAAAGAGTTGAATATATGGTTTTACTTGGATATAATTTTAAAGCACAATGTGCTAAATTTAAAATAAAGAAGATTTATAATAATATGCTCAGTAAAAAAATGGAATATATACAATGGAGTATTGTTCAGCCATAAAAAGAATAAAATTCTGTCATTTGCAGAAACATGGACTGACCTGGAGGACATTATGTTAAATAAAATAACCCAGGCACAGAAAGGCAAATATCAAATGTTCTCACACATATGTGGGAGTTAAAAATGCTGATCTCATGAAGCTAGAGAGCATAATGATAGGCCAGAAGCTGGAAAAAATTGGGAAAGAGGACGTGAAAAGTGGTTGATGAATGGGTACAAAAAATACATTTAGAAGGACAGGTTCTAGTGTTCGATAGCACAGTAGGATAACTATACTTAACTATAATTTATTGTATATTTGAGAATAGTTAGAAGAGAAAATTTGGAATGTTTCCAATACAAAAAAATGATAAATGTTTAAGGTGATGGATATCCTGATTTGGTCATTACACATTGCATGCATGTATGAAAATATCACATGTGCCCCATAAACACATATAATTATTATGTATCAATTTCAAAAACAAAAAAAAAATTGGTTTAGAGATGGGTTGGCTTGGTATGTGTGTGCAAGCAGGAAATGGATGAAAGCTATATCACAGCCTGACATTGAGGTGGCCCTTAACAACAGTGACAAGTGGCAGTGCATGTGGTGAGCTCTTTACATAGAAAAGGAAGTGTCCTGTAGTTAGAATGTGCATGGGTTCATGAGCAATGGCAAATGGCTTGACTGGGAGGTTAAGGGGTAAGAAAAAATAAAATTGAAAGGACAGAAAAATACGGTCTGAGGTAGAGGGATTTGCATGGACCTATAGGAATGGGAGTGAAATATAAAGATTTTTGTATCAAATGTTAACATCTACCAGAAAGCACCTACCATGGAAGAGGCACGAAATAACAAGCTAGACAATATGAGCTGGCCAGTTCACATCAGCAAGTCTTTCTCATTAGCCTCCCTAGTGCTAGCACAACACTCATATAAATAAAATGGCTATATTTTCAGGGTTAGAAGTTTTGCATAGGATCAGCAGGATAGCCCTCCACTTACTGAGGCTGATAAGTGACTGGTCCAATCAAATATGCAATCTGCTAGAGACGGAGACCAATACAAATTCTCTGGAATGGCACCATCTCTACAGGAGACCAAACAGTCCCTTGGTGATTGGACTTTTCATCCTGGAAGAGGCAGTAATTCATTTTTATAGGAATAGACACATGTTCTAGGTATGGGTTTGGCTTTTCTGCCCATAGCACTTCAGCCATCACTACTACTTGAAGACTTACAGAGGTTTGGTTCACCAGTGTGGGATCCTACATGATACAGCATCAGATCAAGAGATTCACATTGAAGAAAGGAGGTTGAAGAGTGGGTATCTGGTGGCTGACCACTGGATCACTGATTTGTATCCACATACCACACAAACCAAAATTTGCTGGTCTGAGGGAGCAACGGAATGGCCCGTTGAAGGCACAGCTGAAGTGCCAGCTTGAAGATGACATTGTCAATGTGGGGCTCTAACCTCCCAAATACACTGTACACCCTAAATCAATGATCTTTATATGGTATTGTATCCCAGGTGCTTGAATACATGGATCCAGGAACTGATATATGGAAGCAAGAGTGGTCCCACTTATCACCACTCACAGTGACCCACTTGGGAAATTTGTGCTTCTCATACCTGCAACTCTTGGAGCTGCATGGCTTGAAGTTCAAGCCAAAGAGGAAATGCTTCCACCAGGAAACATAGGAAAATTCTAGTTGTAATATAAGCTTTGGCTGACACCTGGGCATTTCAGGTTCCTCATAGCAAGTGACCAGCTTAAAATAAAAAGAGTCACCATCTTGGTGGTAGCAATTAACCCTGAAAGAAAGTAGCATTCTTATATACAATGGGGAGCACGAAGAAATATGTTTGGCACCCATGTGGTCTATTTGCCTACGTTTGATGATAAATGGACAAGTGCAGCTATGGCTTGAAGAGGACAGGGTGGCCAGGAGCTCAGGATGGTCACCACCATGCCACTGGGAAGCCACCAAGACCAGCAGATGATGAGGAAAATCTAAAGTGGATAGTGAAGAAGAGAGATGATAAATATCATTTGAGATCTTGCAACTAGCTGTTTCTGCAAGGGTACCAGTTTATCCTATCAACCTTAATCTTACAACATTCTGCCAGCAAAAGAAACCTACTAAGATCCTAGAAGATTGATTTTCAGTATGTATATGAAGATGTGTATCTGAGTGGTATAAGCAGTGGACTAGAATAGTCATTGGTATTCTGCCAAGATGTCCCTTTAAGAATGAAGGTCTTATTTTACCAGCTTCTGGAAGTGCTGACAGCTGTCAGCCCTCTTTGTTAAGTGTCCTGGCTGAAAAGCGCATCCTTGCTCAAGGTCATGGCTTCTCCCTGGGTGCAGCAAATAAAGACTGATCTCAGGGTTATGAAGGACTGACCCCTTTGCCCCAACTCATGACAATCCCCAAGAGCCATCCAGTCTCAGACTTTCCTCTGGGATTACCTATGACTTTGATTAGACTGCATCACAGCCCACTTTTCCCCTCTTCCCAATTCTGCTCCTTCCTCTTCCATTCTATAAGTACTGTTTCCAAGAGAATTACCTAATAAGATTCCTGCTCATTAATCTTTATGTCATTTCAGGAAACTCAATCTATGAAACCATTGATAGTTTCATGTCAAGCAAATTTATGCTCTGAACCAAAAATCAAGAGACTCTTGTTCTAGTCATGTGTTTGCTTCTAATGTGTTGATTTCCCCCAAGCAAGTCAATAAACTACATGACCTTTATTTTTAATCATCACATTTATGAGAAAGGAAAGAAATTGCTGTGGTTCTTAGTCCTAGACTAAGAACCAGAATACCTATACTTAAGTTCCTGAGTGGCTGTTAATTGCTTTTGTGACCCTGAGAATAACAATCCAAGCCTTTTGTCCTGTCTCTAAAATAAGAAGTAGACTAAATGATTTTTAGTGCTCTTTCCAGCTCTAATAGCCTGTGGGTCTAAATATGTAAATCCCACAATCATTATTTCTGTAACATAGCATTTAAGATGGCATTTTCCATTTTATGAATAACCTTGTTGTCAGGAAAAAAAATTTTTTAAGTCCTGATGCTCACCTCTGACTTTAATCTTTCTCATCTCATTGTTCTTTCCTTGACATTTTTAAATCCTTCTTAGACATGTACCTTCTTTTTTCTATTCCTAGAAAGATATGCAAATAGTGGGAGAACAACATGAGTATTAGCATTGACATAGAACTATTAGTTAGCTTAATCTTAAACACTTCATATTTTCTGCTCTGTTCCCTTTTTTTACCATCTCTATTGCATTGTGGGGATTTTCTACCATGGTCTTTTTTTCCTATATTCATCAAGCGTTTACTACTAGAGCTCTTCAGAAATATTGTCATGTTTCACCAAATTCTTTCCTTCTACTAATACCCTTTCTCAACTACCTTCCTGCTCCACTCCATTCAGTTTGCTCCCCTTTCTGGTCATTATCATAGAGGTTGCCTCAAACTAGTCCTTTTCCTTTCCTATCTCTACTCTCATCTAAATGATCCCACACGTTTTCACAAAGAAGACAAGAGATGTCAACACATTGCAACAGGAGCAATTAGAAATGGGCTTGACGGCTGGCTTGTGTCATCCTGGACATCTGAGGAGGAGCCAAAATTAGAAATGAGCTGAGTCTGTTTATGGCTTAGTGCTGCCAGAGGAGTTTTCTGAGTTAGTTCTCCAAGGCTATATTTTCCGAGTCATCTTTCACAACTCGCAGGCCAAAACTCATAACTCATATGCTGTGTTCTCCATCAAGACACAGTTAATGTCAGAAAGTGGTTACCCTCCAAAGGAAGATCTTTACTCATGTGCTGATGGACACCCCACAGAGTCTGTGAAATGAAGGGCATATCGCTCACCTGTAACAAAGTTGCAGTGAAAGTCTAAACCATACAGGTGCCTCACAATAAAAGTTAACTCATCTTCTCATTCTCATCTCTCCAAACCAATGATGTACTTAAAAAATGAACCATGTTAAAAAGACACATATATTGGCATGGTTCACAGACTCCAAGCTATGTGAAACAGTGACTTCATGGAAGAATGGAAAAGTGAGAAACCATGGGATCCCTCGGTTAATATCTCCCAGGCTTGTTACCTTCTGGGTGTTTACTTTTTATTGTTCCATGAATGTCAAAGATAGCAGTGTTGTTGGTGTTGTTTTCAAATCTTGCCACTAAATTGTGCAGAATCAGTGGGAGGCTAAAACCCAACTCTTTTAAGCTAACACATGATTTTGAGCTTTCTTCTTTCTATGAGCCTCTAAATGCCAAAGTTGTCAGCTGCCTCCCTAGTGTTAATTATTATTAACCATGCCCTATTCCCAATGCCTGGGTCTTAGATGGCTTTACAATAAAAACATTTACCTGTCCTCAACACACGTGGTCACTAAACCAAGTGATAATTGTTTTCTTTCTGTCTTCCCCTCTTCCTTTCTTCATTTCTTTCTGTGGCTTAAGGAATAGCTTATAATTGCAAAGTCTGTAATAAAGGCGTCACCAGAGATGGTTACTATTTTAGTCCATTTTCATACGGTTATGAAGAAATACCCAAGACTGAGTAATTTATAAAGAAAAAGAGGCTTAATGGACTCACAGTTCTACATGGCTGGGGAGGCCTCACAATCATGGCAGAAAACGAAGGAGCAAAAAAGGCACGTCTTAGGTGGTGGCAGGCAAGAGAATGTGTGCAGGGAAACTACCCTTTATAAAACCATCAGATCTCATGAGACTTATTCACTATCAAGGAGAACAACATGGGAAAAACCCACCACCATGGTTCAATTACCTCCCACCAGGTCCCTCCCACAACACGTAGGTAATAAGAAAGCTACAATTCAAGATGAGATTTGGGTGGGGACACAGCAAAACCATATCAGTTACTAATTATAGGATTTTGACTAAGCAAGGGTGGGGCCTATGAGCTTATTGATACACATAAATCACAGCCCATTCCACCTACTCTGTTGTTCAACTGAGCTCCAAACACTGACGTGAGGCTGGGGATGCTACATTAATGCCACAGTTGATGCTAACAAAGAAATAAGGATGCTGGCTATGAAATTTCTTGGAGAGAAGGAAATATTTACTGTCTGCATCAAAGTTTTTGTGTTCTTTAAATATTGCTCCCCAAGCCTGCTGATTTTGTAAGAGAAAGCAGGTTGGAGAGTCTGTTTCTCATATTCAAGGTTCTCAAAACAAATCAAGATGGGAACAGTAGCACCACCAATGGATGTTGGTAAGCAGTAACTAATAAAAGCCAGGATAGAACACTTGGCACATGGAGGGTGCTGGGTTAATCACCATCAACCTAAAGTTAATATATATTAGCTGCAATATTGATTTAAATGACAGGAGAGGTGTCACATTACAGCCATCTTTTCAAAATTTGTACTCTACTTCTTCAATGTATTTTGGCCACAGTATGTAATAAAAGGTGTTAGAAAAGTTTACATTTATTACTTGTTGAAATATTTTGGACTCTTGGTTATATTAAAAATATGCTGTCTGCAAAAATGAAGATGATGCGTGGACCAAAATGTTCCTTAACACTACCAGCATATGTTCCTAGCTCTGCAAGGGGAAATGATTGCAATTCCTTCAACTACTGAGAAGAAACTATGGTCAAGGGAGCATCACTATGGGTACACCAAATGATGTTAACAAGACCCTTCACTCCACCATCCACCCTAACTCTCAGGAAATGCACTGTGCTATTAACCATGTCAGAGGCATGTTTAAGAAAAAATTGATGACAGCACATCATATCCTAGAAAATTGAGAGGTATAACATTTCCAAGCACCATGTTCCCATGAGAAATAATCATAAGGTGCCCCCTTTTGACGTTATTTATGTTTTATTCCTTACCCAACAATGATATAGTTGAGGGATTAGAGTTTCTTTTTAAAAATTGTTGCCTGGGTGTGATGGGTCACACCTGTAATCTCAAGACTTTGGGAGGCTGAGGCAGGAGGGTTGCTTGAGGCTAGGAGTTTGAGACCAACCTGGGCAACATAGTGAGACCCTGTCTCTACAAAAAGTAAATTAGTCAGGCACAGTGGCACATGCCAATTTTCCAAGTTACTCAGGAGGCTGAAGCAGAAGGAAGGATTGAGCCCAGGAGGTCAAGGCTGCAGTGGGCCATGATCACATCACTGCACTTCAGCCTGAGTGAGAGAGCAAGATCCTATCTCAAAAATAATAAACACATACATACATACACACATACATACATACAAATTTGTCAGCCAGGTGTGGTGGCTCACGCCTGTAATACCGTCACTTTGGGAGGCCAAGGCGGGTGGATCACCTGAGGTCAGGAGTTCGAGACCAGCCTGGCCAACATGGTGAAATATAAAATTAATAATAAAAATTAATACAAAAATTAGCTGGGCATGGTGGCAGGCACCTATAATTCCAGCTACTCGGGAGGCTGAGGCAGGAGAATCACTTGAACCCAGGAGGCAGAGGTTGCAGTAAGCCAAGATCACGCCACTGCACTCCAGCCTGGGCAACAAGAGCAAAACTTCGTCACAAAAAAAAATAAAAAATTGTCAGCAACCCAACATGCTATGGCATAACAGCTGTAATAATAAATCATTGCATTGATATATTTATATAAGGCATTAGAGTTTCAAATGCCTACAAATGTATTCTTATTCAATTAAATACTGTCAATATCTTTTAAGATCTTACAAACAAAAGATCTCACACACAAAAATACAACATCAAACGAAGCATTATTAGCTCCAACCAGAAAATGATGAAAAGTAAGGCAGGGGGTGTTAAGTAACCTTCCAAGGTCACAAGCTGACAGATTCGAGAAAAGGTTCGCAAGAAACAACAGACAGAAATATTATCAAGACGGTAAAGGTCAGATGCTGAATAACTCAATTACCAGAAATAATGAATATATAAAGGAAAAATTTTAAGCCTCTACTAACTCAGAAGCCTCAATGCTGTTAACCACTTCAACAACTCCACCCCACCAAACATTTGAAATTAAACCCTTAATTTTACTTTTTTTCATTTTTTCTCTTCTTTTTCTATTAGAAGTATAAGTGAATAAAGAAATTACCTAATCTGATCATCATAGATAAGGATTCGATACCTTTGTTGTATTGCTGACACCTTTGGCCAACTGTTAAGGTCTGTGGGCCACTCCTCCGATGAGTGTTTGAATGTATGAAAGAAAATACGTAGGATTACAAAAGACACCAATTGCATTGAAGTACAATTATAAAAGTATCCAGAAAAATGTGATTTAATGATGTCTTTCTATATGAATGCATTAAGTAACAAACTCTAGCTGCAGGTCTAATAACTACTATAATTTTCAAAAATAGTGATAAAGCACAAATGATGTTCCAAGATATCTGCAACAACTGTGATATTATATAAAAATATCAGTGTTTTCTACTGCTGACAAGGTCAGAGACACTCTTAATACTACTGTGGTTTGTGCCAACATATATAATTGAAGAAATGGCTAAATTTCAGTTAGTAGTTAATTATTTAAAAGATGGAATTTTACCACTTGTGTTCTATCCAAGGGCCTCCTGGGGTCCATGTACCCTATATCAAAAACTCCTGCCATATAACAAGGAAAGGATAGGAACACTCAGAATGCACATAAAGTATTCACTGTAGCCTGAATTAGGATAAGGTTTCATCAGCCCAGACAAGAACACTGTCTTGAGCTTCTCTTACAATTCCCCACATCCCCTAGAACAATGTTTGATAAATAGCGGTCAGGTGCTCAGGAATACTTGTCTTTGGACTCATGGCTGGCCTTACCTCATGGCTGAGTCCCCTGGCAGGGTCTCCCTTCCTGAGCTGACTTCTGTCCCTCCTGGTGATAGGTGGACTCTCCTTAACAAAACAAGCGTGTGGCCTTCGCGAGCCAAAAGAGAAAGAATGAAACAGCCCCTTATCTCCATTGGCAGGTGGGAAAATTGCAATAGCAAAATGGGAATAAAACAAATTAAAAACATATCAGAGAGAATGTTTCATTTAATATAGTTTCTACTTGACAAATTATTTCTCCTCCTAGTGGAACACTTTATTTTATATGACACTAAATGGCAAGAATAAATCAAAAGCATTGTTTAGTTGGGGTAAGGAAAGAAATAAACTTGAATGAATTTAAACTGTAAGTCAAAATGGTGCAGATACCTCTGACAAATTACAGTGATTTTTCTCTCAATGGTTTCATTATGCAAATTATGTTATTTGTTTTCTAGCTTTGCCCAAAATAAATGATGGTGCCAGATTAAAAGCAAATCATATCTTTATCAAGGATCTCAACAATGTGACTTAAAGTATTACAAAATGTACCATGTGCTGGCCATTTTTATATCACCCATTGATCATTTAATTTCAAATGTTGATGTGGCAATGTAATATCATCACTTCAGGTTTTTTTAAATAAAGATCCTGTATGTAGAGCAGTATCATGGAAAATTAGAGCTTATAGTAAGAAGAAGAAAATGGCTGTGATTTTTCTAGTCTTCCTGCCATATAAATAAGTTATTTCTTATTTTGTACCAGTATGTTTACATTTCCTATTATGCCTCCACAGTAACAGTAGAAAAAAAGGCCAAGTATTTCTGAATTAATGAAATAGCAAAATGAGGCATATTAAAATAAATTGTTCTCTGGAGCCAGATTTTTTCCTGTGGTGACGTGTCTTTTCCAGGCCAGGAGAACCGATTTCCCAGTCCACTTCTTTCCCTTGGATTGTCCCTCAATTCTCAGCTTTGTTTCCTCACATCTCTGCTTAGCATCTTCTCGGTGTGGGTGCCACAAGACTTTTTCTTTCATGCCTCCCTGGCTTCTACTCATGACTTCGTTCCTAGAGCAGTCACACAGAAAGCAGCATGAAATAAACAATCTAAAACAATTATTCTAAACAATAAATCTAAAACAATGATTCAAGCAAATTGAGAATCATTTGCTTGAACCCTGGTAATCAAGTAAATATCCAAAAGATATGAAAAATAAAGGAGAGAAATAGTTAAAATTCAGCAAATCTATTAACTTTTTTTCCCTCTAAGGATTGGGAAAAGACTCTAATTGATTTAGCAGTAGAAGGGTTTGTATTTAGATTATTTACATCATTTTACTACTAAAATCTTCATTCTCAGTGATCTCTATAACCTGACCCACCAGTAAAGTGTCTTCCTGATCCAGAAAACTATGGGTTTTTTTAGAAATCATAGCAATACGGCAGCCAGACAAAAAAATAGACCAGGAGAATGTTTTAGAACATTGGCTATGAGCACTAAAAGGCAGTTATACCATCTTGATCTATTTACTGTTCAGTTCAAATCAATAACATTTATTGAGCCTTCGTGATGTGCAAGCCTTTTGAAACCACTGGCAATGGCTGTGCATATGTCATGAGTAGGAGTGATGATCTTTATCCTATGGACTATAGTAAGATGTTTAAGCAAGAAAATGACCTGGCCCTGTTACAGTAGTCAGTCAGGCAGACATAACCAGAGCAGGTGAGGGTCCCCCCAGTCACCAGGAATGTCAGGCAACTATGATGTGATGGTCTGGTGGTGGCTAAACTGCCTCTCTAAAATAATAATTGGTCACAACTGGCACCAAGGAAAGGCAGTCTCCCAATAGATAGGAAAAAGTATGAAACTCGTGATCAGCAGCTTCCCAATAAGATCTCAGGAGTTGGGCAAGTGGGCTCAAGCATGTACACTAAAAGGCAAAAATG
This sequence comes from Homo sapiens, assembly GCF_000001405.40. Taxonomy (NCBI): domain Eukaryota; kingdom Metazoa; phylum Chordata; class Mammalia; order Primates; family Hominidae; genus Homo; species Homo sapiens. Next base: position 31,534,790 of record NC_000008.11, on the reverse strand, counting down.
GTAAGTTTAACTGGTAGATGACCTCCTAGGAACATTAGACTGGTAAAGGAAGAATGCCTCAAGTGAGCATGTGCACAACACCAGTACATACACTGCATGCTCCCCTCCCAATTGCTGACAGGCCACTGCTCATGTAGACTGCCCATCCCAAGGGAAAAATCGGGGAGAAGGGATGCAACCCCTTGGAAGCATGCCAACATACAAAACCCCAAGTCAAAGGGCAAACAGTGCACTTGATCTCTCAAGTCGCCGGCTTGAGAAGTAATGAAAGGAATTTCATTACTTCTCTAAAGCTTTTAAATAAACTTTCACTCATGCTCTAAAACTTTCCTCAGTTTCTCCCTCTGCCTAATGCCCCTCAGTTGAATTCTTTCTTCTAAGGAGGCAAGAAGTAAGGTTGCTGCAGACCCATACGGATTTGCCACCACTAACAGCCCCAGCTTCACTTTAGTAAGATTATTAAAAAGAAAAAATTGAAAGAAAATAAGCATTAAAGAATGGCAGGCAACCTATGTGACTTATTTCTCTTTGCTTGATATTCATGCATCCTTTACAGTTTTCCACATTCTAGTGAGCAAACACCATGCAATTCATATCTCTATTTCTACATCCAATCTATTTCTATGTAACTGTCAAATAATCATTCAATATTGGTATTAGGCCAACTAGTTTAAGCCCCATTTTAAAGATTAGGAACTTGAGGTCAAAAGTGTTCATTTCATTTAAAGTCAGGTAGCCAGTGGTATAGTTGAGATTAAATTCCAAGTTTATTGACTTCATAGCAAGTGATCTTTCCAATATTTTATGGTCTATGGAGTCAGGCTTACAAAATTTTAGCGTTTGATTAATTCTAGTAACATTGCTAAGACAGTGTGTTTTGAATTTTTTTAAATGTTAGACCTAGGAGTCACAACTAAAAATTCCTTATGCCCTACAATTCAAAAGACTTTCTAATAAAAAAAAAAATTACTCATAATGTTAAAATAAAGTCTAATGAACCAACTCAAATATGATTACCGTATAAGAATATTAATACATTGTTTTAGTATGTAACCAAAAGGTTTATGAAATATTAAGAAAATAGATCTGTTTTCTTAATCACTAAATTATTTGGAGAATTCATAGAGAATGAAAGACTATTCTCATTGTGAGAATGAAAATTTTATTTCATATATTCAGAAAAGTTTTCAAGTAATTTGGATTAAGTCTTTTATTTTGGACTTCTTATTAAATAGGGCAGGTTTATCTTGTCTTCCTCCAAAACTCCACTAAAATAAAAGCAAAGGAAATTGGTATAAACCCAGGAAAACAAAAGACATGAGTTCAGAGATACTAGTAGGTGACAGATGTTGATAAAATTTTGTAAGATGAAGTGTGGGTAGATGAGCAGTAGCTAACAGAAAAGAGAAAGCTAAAAGCCTACTATCAGCTTTGGGGGAAATGGTGGTTGTCAGAGGGAAGTAATGCCTCTCGTGGTTCAGAACCCTAGAGAGTTCAGACAGCAGAGCCACCAGGAAACTATAACTCTCAAAATGGGTGTGGGTCAGAGCTGACAAAAAGAAGACTGTTCAAATGTCAGTATATGTATAAAAATCAGTTATACATCTGTGTCTTCTTCCCAAGCCCAGACTGTCAAATAGCTGCCTCTTCACTATTCTGGAATAAAACTGGGGATTCAATCTCAGGAGAAATAAAGCTGAAGAGGCTCTTGCCTCAGGGACAGTAATCACAACTGAGTGTTCAAGTAGAGTCCCTGCAAGAAACAGCATAACTAAGAGGTGATCTACATATTGACTGGGCATGGTGGCTCAGGCCTGTAATCCCAGCACTTTGGGAGGCTAAGGCAGGTGGATCACTTGAGCTCACGGGTTTGAGACCAGCCTGGAAAACATGGTGAAATCCTGTCTCTGCAAAAAATATAAAAATTAGCTGGGCATGATGGTGCGTGGCTGGAGCCCTAGCTACTTGGGAATCTGAGGTGGGAGGATAGCATTGGCCTGGGAGGCAGAGGTTGCAGTGAGCTGAGATCATGCCACTGCACTCCAGCCTGGGCGACAGAGCCAGACCTTGTCTCAAATAAAAAGAGAGATGATCTACATAGTGACTTGGCTCCAGAATGCTGGCAGTCTGGCACATATGTTTCAGACAGGAGAATAAAGCTTCTCCTGGAGAAAGCAGTCAGTTCAAGGCAAAGGGCCCAAAGAAGTGGTTAAATGCTCAATTAATCTATGGTAAGGCCCAATGGTTCACAAAACAATCCATCCCCCACATGCACACATTTACAAAGTGCTTCCAATTACTTTTTCATACCTCATTTGTAAATATGATGAGCAGTCAAGCATCATCAAACATTCTCAATGAGGCCTACCCAGACTCTCCTTTTTAAAATGTAATATCAGCTGGGTATGGTGGCTCACTCCTGTAATCCCAGCACTTTGGGATGCTGAGGCAGATGGATTAGCTGAGGTCAGGAGTTCCAGACCAGCCTGACTGGGTGAAACCCAGTCTCTACTAAAAATACAAAAATTAGCCGGGCATGGTGGCGTATGCCTGTAATCTTAGCTACTCGGGAGGCTGAGGCAGGAGAATTCCTGGAACCCAGGAGGCAGAGGTTGCAATGAATGGAGATCCTGCCATTGCACTCCAGCCCCAGCCAACAACAAGACTCTGTCTCAAAAAAAAACAAAAAAACAAAAAATTGATATCACCCATCTTTTGGTACTTGCAATCCCATACCTGCCTTCAACCATTAGAAGATAAGATACTGAAGGGCAGGGGTTTGTGTCTATCTCCAGCATCTATCTTAGTCCCTGGCATATCATAATTATTCAATAAATATTGTTGAATGAATGAATGAATGAATGAATAAGAAAAAGGTCTTTGAAATTAAAAATATAGAAGCAAATGCAAAAATTTAATAGACAAGTTGTACAATAAAATGAGGAAATCACCCAGAAAATAGAATGAAAGGATCAGGAGAAGAAAAAAAAAGGAGAAACAATTCTGGAATAAATAATAGAAGAATATAGTTCAAAATGAAGGATGTGAGTTTCCACATTTAAATGATCCAAGTAGGGCCCAGAAAAATAATTTAGAAAGACTCAAGCCATATTACATCATTGCAAAACTTTAGAGTATCAAGGAGAAAGATCCTGAAAGCTTCAGAGAGAAAAAAATAAATTATACACAGAAACTAGAAATCCACGCATTAATAGACTTCTCAGTATCAACTCTGAAAATAGAAAATAATGGAAAAGTGGCTTAAATTTTCAGAAAAAAATTTATTTAAAACTCAATGTCTGGCAAAACAGCTAATCAAATGTGACAATATAATACATAGTTTCAGACATGCAAGTTTCTACAAAACATTATTTCCCCTAACCCCTTTCTCAGGAAATTATTGGAGAATGTGCTCTAACAAATAAGATGGAATCTAAGAAATAGTATTCAGGAAATCCAGTAATGTTACAAAGAACCAAGGAGAGTGGTAAAGGGAATTTCCAAAAAAGAGTGAATATAAGTGTCTAAAACAACAGCTGTGGAGCAGGCTTAGAATGTAACCAGTTAAGATTAGAGTAGTCAGATAGAGATTTCTAGGAGGAATTCGCCAAGAAAAAAGAAAAAAACCTGACCATACTGAGAAGATTTTTATAGTGCTTGTGCAAAGCATATGACTGATTTAGTAATAGGTAAAAAGAAATGTAAGAAAACACATTAAAATAAGAACATTTTAACTCCAGGAAAAGCAAAAGCATTTGTAGTAAAACAAAAATGTTATTATATGTAGTACACTACAGGGCTCAGCTCTAGCCATAGTCATGGTAATGAAAATTCTAAACGTAAATAGAAATTATATGTAAATCTATTAGGAAGATGGAGAGAGGAATAATCAGGGGGGAAAGGCAAGGGGAGGTGTGGTATAAGAAAGCAAAACTCTCAAAACAGGAAGTCAATAAATAATACCTAAAGTTTAAAATCAAGAAGTCACAGTATAAGCATTTAATTTAGAAATAAGGAGACAACAATAGAAGTGTTGAAAGTGTAACTAAAAGAATTGAAAGTGGTTGCCTTGGAGAAGTAAAAAAATCAGATTTGGAAGGGGGTCAAGTTAATGAGTGTTGTTATTGTAAGTTTTGTAGCACTATTTGACTTTCTATATTATGTATAATTACTATTTAATAAGCATAAAATTTATTGTGAGCATTATTTCAAGTAGTACTACTGCAAATAGTACTGGCATAAGCTCCATTTATATTAGGATGGTAGTCATATGCGCATTCATTTCTTTTTTTTTTTTTTTTGAGACGGAGTCTTGCTCTGTCGCCCAGGCTAGAGTGCAGTGGCCCATTCTTGGCTCACTGCAACCTCCACCTCTGGGCTTAAGCAATTCTCATGCCTCAGCCTCCCGAGTAGCTGGGATTACAGGCGCGTGCTATCACGCCCAGCTAATTGAAACTGAAGCTTTTTGGGGGTATATTTTCTAAGTCCACACTGAAAGGGATGTGGCAAAACTGATTAAGCTATGTGGTAACAGGTGGATGAAAAGAAAAACAAGAGAGCGGTTTTTAAGTAAGCACTCTAGTCTATATATTTGCAGATGAATTATCAAACAAGACCTATCTACCCAGAAGAGGAAAACAGGGTCAGGAAGCTTGAGTAGAAATTTGATGATTAATTGGATATAAAAAAATGAAATGTCAAGAAGGATGTGAGTCTGTTTTACTTGAATAACAACAGAATGGATAATGGTGTCATTCCCTGAGAGAAGGAACAGGAGAGGAAGAATAAATTTGGAGACCTGGGAGAGGTGAAGAGTTCTGTCTTAATAGTGTTTGAGAAATCTAGTAGTTAGTTGGCCCTGTAGTTGAGGTCAAGAAAAGGATCTGGACTGATATCAGAGATTTAGAAGCCATCAACATAAAGGTGGTTATCGAACTCCTGAGTGCTTACTACTTTGTGTGTGTGTGTGTGTGTATGTGTGTGTGTGTGTGTGTGTGTCAGAGTCTCACTCACTCTTTCACCCAGGCTGGAATACAGTGGCGCCATCTTGGCTCACTGCAACCTCCACCTCCCAGGTTCAAGCAATTCTTCTGCCTCAGCCTCCCAAGTAGATGGGATTACAGGTATGTGCCGCCATGCCCAAATAATTTTTGTATTTTTAGTAGAGACGGGGTTTTGCCATGTTGGCCAGGCTGGTCTCAAACTCCTGACCTCAAGTGATCTGCCCACCTCAGCCTCTGAAAGTGCTGGGATTACAGGTGTGAACCACCATGCCCGGCTGAGTGCTTACTACTTGGTAGGGTCAGAGACATCACTAAAGGAGAGGATGTAGAGTTATAACAGAGACAAAGAGGGAATTGTGAGGAATATTAACAATTAATTGACAGGAGGAAGAGGAACCTGGTGGGGAAAGTGAGTAGGAGAAGCCAAAAAAGAATACCAAGTGATTATGTTTGATCTGACAGCAGACAAAAGCAGAGAAAAACTCAGGAATAACAGAGTGGTCTATAGATTTGGATGCTGTTGAGAGACAAGATGACAATGAATCCATAGAGTCAGAAACAAGAAAAACACTAATGTCCTTGGCTGGAGTGATTTCAGAGGACCTGTAGGAGAAACTCTATTGCATTGGGTTGGTAAGAGAATGGAGATAAGAAAATGGTAACAATGAGTCAGTGACTCTACAAACAAGAAGAAAAGTATAGGGGTGAAGGGCAAACTTCCCTTTTTCCCTCCAAAGTTTTGCAAAAAAATCAACAAAAGGCAGATTAATACTAGAAAAGACATATAAATTCTTATTAACATGCATGGGAGAAATCACAGAGTGATCACCCCAACACCCAGTGGGGTACAAGTGGTTATCTACCCTTCTTCTTAGGATAATGTGAGATGAGGAAATATGGATGATTTTATGGGGGGAGTAGTAAATTATTTTTAGGGGAATTCAATGGGCTTGAAGAATATACAATGGCCTGGGACAAAGTCTGTTGGGCCCATAGAGCAGACAATGGCTGGTAAATGGTTCTATATAATACTGAATGGGACTGAAGCAGAAGACAATGGTTTATGACAAAAGTCTGTCCAGGCGTGTTAACAGACTTCAATCTTTCTTCCCTAAAAGTGATTTCAATTAATACAAACTCAGGGAAGGGAACAGAGGTAATTGTTTTATTCTTTGGCAGTTCCAGACTTTAGGCAGATCAAGGAACCTCAGAGAACAATTTCACCCTGTGCTTTGGGGAAGACAGAATATCGGGAGTGGAGGGGAAGGTCAAAGAGACCTGAGGCTTTTCCTTCAACTCAACATGTCAAAGCGCCATGTATTGGGGTATCAGCTTCTGAGCCCCAACATGAGGAAGAGGGGCTTTGGGCAGTTGCTGGAAGAAAAAGCATTAACATGAAACAAAACAAACTCTCATCTACTCAACAAAGCACCTAAAACCCTGCCTACCCATTCCCTAGCCTCCCTTTCAGAAAAACTGGTTCTGTTTTGAGAAATCTTAGATGCTGTTCAATGTCTTCAACCAAACTGAAAAGACCACCTCGAAACAGTACTTGCCAGATGCCTAATTTCTAGTATTATTACCATTAGGGACTCTTGTTGGCATGATTCTCATTCATACTTTGCCTCTCTCCTGACACTGCCCTACATTAAGTGTGAGCTCACTGCATTGTGTTTGGCCCTGCGATTTTGATGACTGGCTGATAGAGTCCAGCACTCTGTGCACTCTCTAAGCAATCCTCCTCCCCGACTACCAGAGCCACTTGAGGGTCCACCATGCTTCAACACCCATAGTAATAATAATTGCCACTATTTTGTGCTAATTATTGGCCAGGAACCATGCCAGGTGATTGTTAGCCATTATCTAATTTCATCCTCACAATTTTATTATTCCCTTTATTTCCAGATGAGTACATGGATGCTTACAGAAATTAAGAAATGTACCCCAAAATCCCATTTAATAAGTGGTGGATCAAAGATTCAAATTTAGGTTTATCTGACTCTGGAGCCATATCTAGGATGTTATGAATTAAAATAGACCTCACATATGCATGGCATGTCCTGAGGAAGCCACGTATCCTGGAGCAAAAGGATTAGTTGGGATCATCAACATGTAATTTTTCCCCCTATACAGCCACTAGATAGTATAAGCACAGAAACAAACAGCCTCTGCCCTCAAAGCCTTTTTAATCTAGCTAAGATCAGACAAATAGGCTTGCAAATGCAATGAACCATATAAAGTAGCATATGATTCAGGGTCAAAGGACCGGTACAGATAAGAAGTGCTGTTAAGAAGAAGAGGAAGGAGTGATTAAATTAAACCGGGAGGATCAGGAAGGGTTTCAGAGCAAAATCCTGAGCTAGGTCTTGAAAAGTGGCTCCAATTTTGACAAGAAGAGAAGGGGGAGGAGGATATGAAACCAATCAGTAGATATGAAATTAGGACTGAAGTGTTGGTGATAGCAAATGCAGGAAATGAGCAGGTCACTAGCATCTGATCAGGGCAGAGACATTTTTTCTCAGTGTGGAAACATCCACAGCCAAAGTTATCCTTCTCAACCTCCATTATAATCTTCTCGCCTGATGATGGTTGTATTTTCTTCAGTGTTAATAAAAAGCTTTCACTTTGTGAGATACTGCTCCATCCCACCATTAAACAAATCTCAATTCAAGTTATTTCAGGATGTTGATTTCTCATATTTTCTGATATGACTCATGCAGCTTGAAGGAATAGGCTTAAAACCTCTAATCGAGGTGGCAAAGAAATGATGAATTAAACCTTTTACGCCCGTATTGCTTCCAAAATTCTGTGGAAGAATGAAACACACATATTCATGTTTATATATGTTTTAAGCTAGATGAGCTCATTAAATTAAAACAAAGAGTTCAACCAAACTAAATATATATTTTTAAATTTTGACTGCTTTATTAGCCAATCCTTCCAGTTTGATAAATGAGAAGAGGATTTCAGAAAGCTGTCTTATGAATGAAAATCTGTCTCTCCAGAAGTAGGTATGATTATACTCAGGCTATTATAAAGTATAAGAGTAATAACTATTGTGTTTATTTTTAAAATGATTAAATAAGATGATGTCTTCATTTCAGCTCTTGTTGTTCTGATTTATTAAAAATGATACACAAGAAAATATTTGACTTAAGAGTGAGGGGTTCAAGAACCATACAGGAAATAATCATGTTTGATATTTACAAGATGCTAATGTTCTCAATCATCATCTAAATATCATTTTTGGCATTGGTGATTAAAGTAAATAACTACAAGTAGTGACATCCATTACTGCCTTTATTCCTGGGTAGACCTTTGAATGTAAAGCTTTGGGTTTTTAGAGAGGGTATAATTTTTTACTGTCTGGAAATCTCAATGCATGATTAGATTCAGCACTCCTCATTTGCATATAATGTTACAATCAGCTCTACTCCATTTGCAGTCAAATGTCCACTGCTAATTGCCTGGCAATTAGCAGTGGACATTTATGTGTTTAAATATTTATATGTTTAAATATAGTGAGCAAATATTTGTGCCTGGAAAATAATGAGCTGTATTTTAATTAATTTGAAAATGAATGACAAAACAAAAAGGCCTTGTGAAGTAGAAGCTATTCTAAACAGAAGACATTAAGAAGATTACATTCTTGCTTTTTATCTATATTCATTTCAATATCCCCCAGAGCAATACTCTATGAGCCTTCAGTAAATGATTGTTGGATTGATTTTGCAAAATAGAAACATGCAACTGACTGACTCTAGTCAATGGAGGCATTGCTGTGTAGCCAGGTTTCCAACTGAGGCCAAATTTGTTTATTTGTAACTGGTTTGTGGGTGATCATTGCAGGTTTTCATTTGCATGAATTAATATTCATATTAGTTTTCGTGTTTTGACTAAAAGAAGAAAATATTTGGGTTTTGCTTGGTTGTTTGCTTGTTTGTGATATGACTGGTTGGACAAGGTCAAAGAAATGGTAAAGATGATAAAGGGGATGCCAAGGAATTTCCTTCTCTCCTCCCTACATGACACCTGTGGAGGGAAAAATGGGATGGTGACAGGTGAAGGAGCTGACTTCATGAAAGACTACGTAAGGCTCTCATCATGACCATTGATGCTTTAAGGCATCAATGACAAAGTCCTCACCAAGTCAGGCACCTAAAGAACTGCTCTTCCTTCAGGAACGTCAGTGGATCGTACCCCACTACAGAAACACACATTTTCAGGGAGGGCAGCTCCCACAGAAGCAGAACTAAGAGACGGAAATGAGAAGCCAGAATTAGTACAACATGAGCAGCCTTTTTCCTGAGCAAAACATCCTGAAAATTTCCAGGGTTCTCTGAAAGGGATTTTAAGAGGAAGCTGAGCTCCTATGTAAGCAGTGAGGAGATGGAGAGGAAGTGGTAAAAGAATGAGGCCATGAGTACCCTCATGGATTTTCCTGCAGTCATGGCTGGCTCTTGAATATTATATAAGTAGAAGATATGTTTATGAATTTAATAAGAAAATGTCAACCTCCCGTCCAAAGGGAGCGAGGCAAAAAACTTCAACCCAGATAAACTTGTTTGAAGAGTAGTCTAAGCATGAACCTCTCAGCATGAAAATCAGTGAACAGTAAGTGATGAATATCTGAAAGAGATAATTTTCCACTACACAGTTATTTTTGCAGGACATTATGCATTTTCTATATGCTACAGAATTGGTTGTTTCATCATTAAAAAAAAAAAAGTTTCCATAAGAATGTAAAATGTGCTCTCTTTCAAAGCTAGGTAGTAGATAATTATTTACAACTTGTTCCAGCTACTGTTGTATCCAGTATTAATGCAGTTAAATTGAGACAGTGTATGACTTTACTAAGCAATGGACCCTTACTGCATCCTTTTCATGTTGTTACTCTAGAATTTTAATTCACCTACTATAATCTACTAATATCATACTCAATGAAAGATTGAATGTTATTGAACTAGACTAGGATCAACAGAACGATGTCTGCTCTCGGCTCTTCTATTCCATATTGTACTATGGGCCCTAACCATTGCAACCTGGCAATAAAAATAAATAAAAGGCATACAGATTGGAAACAAAGAAATAAAACTTTCTTCATAGTCAATACGATCATGGACATAGAAAATTCTAAGGAATTGACTTAAAAATCTACTATGACTAGTAAGTGAGCTTAACAAGATTTCAGAAGATAAAACCAGTGCATAAAAAGCAGTAATTATACTTCTATATACTAGTGATAAATATTTTTAAATGGAAATTTGAATATTCCATTCAAAATAGCATCAAGACACAAATGTATCCAAAAGTATTTGTGGCTTATACATTGCAAACTGCAAAATATTACCCATAGAAATTAAAGAGGACTCAAATAAATAATTATACTAATGGATTGAGGATTCAACATTGTTAACATATCGATTCTTCCTAAATTTATCTATAGATACAACACAATCCCAATTAAAGACAGCAGGAATATTTTTAGTAGAAATTTACAAACTAATTCTAAAAATGTATTATGTGTGGTGAATGCTATGAGGTATCACCTTTATTATTTTTCAGAAATAAAGGAATTAAAGCTTTAGCTGCCTACAAACAGCCCTAGCATGTCAGCCCCATTTGGGAATTGCCTCAGCAGAAGAAAGCTGTTTCACCCAAGGTCACGCCCCCTTCCCAGGGCAGCCTACTTTCAGTAAGTGATAGACAGAGAGGTTTAAAGGCCTGGCTCTGTCATCCCAGCTCAAGAGTTTGTTCCATCTAAATTCCCTGCAGCATCCACTGAGGCACTCTATTCAAACTGCACTACAGAGTGACTTCTTTCTCTGTCAAATCCTGTTTGTTTATTTATTTGTTTTCTCTTCCTTTACACAGAATGGATACCAAAAGCACTCCCTGATAAACTTGCTAATTTCTAAGTGTCTGCTTTCTAGGGAGTCACACTTGTGATAAGAGTCAAGGTATAGAAGTCACAGGAACTTGACATGACATTAAAAACAATGACTGCCAGACAATTAAAGTGGTCCAATAATATAATGTTCCACCCTGAAATGCAGTCAATTTCTTAACAAGGAGTGATCTCAAAATGAATGCCAGAGAGATTGCAGAGAATTCCTGATTCAGTAAAAAGATTTAAATACTATATAACTAAAACATCTATTCCAATTCAAAAAGCTTCCAGTTTATTATAGCCCAACTAGGTTTTCTGACTTGGGACAAATCACTTATTCACTTAAGACTGTTTCCTTTTGAGGAAAACAAGGCATTAGAAGTCCCTTGTCTTGTGATTTTATAATTTTTTTATTTTATTTTTCCATAAGTCACTGGGGTACACACGGTATTTTATAACAAGTTCTTAAGAACGGTAAAGCTACTATGACCCCAGTTTCACAGGTAATGAAAAAGAGGCATGAAAAGTTTAGGCCCATGTCTATCACAGTAGAAAGAGAATGTAGAACACTCTGCTAAACTCCTGGCTTTCTTTGAGATGCTCCAAGTTCCTCTGAAAAGTATATTTGCCGATAACCAGCCTATTATAATTGATTCTAGTTTAGTTACTTTCCTCATATTTCTCAAACTTCCCCTTTAAAATGCAGCACCAACACTTTATCTTCATGCCAACTGGTATATGAAACCATCATGTTTGTTTGCTGAAAGGTTTTCTGGGGCTCAGCTGGAAAGTTAAAGAAATTCTATTTTAGTTTCTGATATTGGGAAGAGTCGCATTGCTCACCAAAAGACAGTGAGAGAGAGACAGAGAGAGAGACTTTCTCATTATTTTTATTATCCAAAGTTCTTAAAAATCAATGATATGGTAACATGATATTATGCTAATAATACTACCATAAATAATGTTAATATTTTTGAATAGTACTTTACAGTTTAGTAACAATTTTCATGTGCATTATTATATTTACGTGTATATTTACAAGTGTTGTAGGAGTTGCCTTCTTGCCCTTGCCCCACATGTGCCTGGCAACATGGCCACCCCCACATATCTCCAAGTGTGTAGAGAACTGTAGAGAATTTCTGTAGAACATCATGGTTCCCTGCATTTGCATATTAAAAGGCTAGGGTGGGAAGGCCAGCTTTTTCCCAGGCTATGTGAATCACATGCCTGGTCAAACCAATCCCCCGAGCCCTGTGCAAATCAGACACCACCTCCTCCAGCCTCTGTATACACATGGCTGGTTTCTGCTTCACTTGGGGTTCCCTCTCTTGGCTTTGGAGCCCCCCTTCCTCTGTCTCTGTATAGGGGAGCTTCTTCCTTCTTTCTTCTTCCTTTTTTCTTGCCTATTAAACCCTCTGCTCCTTAAAACCACTCCAAGTGTGTCCATGTTGTTTTATCTAATTGAACATGAGACAAGAGCCCTAGTGTTCCTCTACTCGCCAGAGCCGTATCACAAGCAGAGAAGTAATGCCCAAAAAGTAGTAGTAATTATTATTACGTCCACTAAGGAAAGAACAAAAGTAATAAATTTATCCTGTAGCATATAATATTGAGATGAGACCTTGGAAATAATGTCAGCCACAGGGACTATTAGACTTTGAAATGAAAATTATCTAATATTTTTCTCGGAAGGATTTTTAAATGTGGAATAAAAATGAATCACATGTGACAAGAAAAATGTAAAGTGGGTGTGTGTGGAGCCACCTACTTAACAGCCTATTAAGGATCTGGGAATAAAATCACACACCCACCAATACTTCCTAGACTATTTAAATGTTGAAACTTCAGGGGATCAGCCCAAAATTTTTTTCTGAATTTGTCTTATTAGACCATTGAATATAATAATAAGTTGCCATTAAGTTTCAAAGATGCTTCCAGCAAAGTCCATGAAAACAATGTAGGCAATATTGCAGCTTTCATTAAACACCCTTCCAAATCATTACATGGAGACTCTGTGTTTGATCCTAATCAGCAAAATTATTTTGTGATCATTAACAAATGTCTCCAATCCATTGATCAATTTCAATATTAATTAAGGTATATTCAGAAGGTAGTAAAATTCAAATTGAACCCCATACTTTAAAAAAACTCCTTGGATATTTCCACCGTGTCTGCAAAACTTTTTTTGCTGTTTTGCATATTTATTTGTTTGAATAACAGAAAAGAAGACAATCCACTTGGCAAACAAATAAGAAAACTGGAGCCAAGCATGGTGGCTCATGACTCTAATCCCAACTACTTGGAAGGTGGGAAGATGGCTTGAGCCCAGGAGGTCAAGGCTGTAGTGAGCTATGATTAGACCACTGCACTCCAGCCTCGATGAAAGAACAAGACCCCCTACCCTGTTTCTAAAAAACTGGTCAACACCTATTCTTCATTTCAAGATTCTATGAGGCTAAAATTATACAGGGATAGCCCTAGATTTATCTTACATTTTCTAGAGTAAGAGAACATAGGATGGAAATATATACTGTAAAAACATAACTAAAAACTATAGCCCTAAGTAGCTGCTAACTGCTTAACATTAATTCTGGTAGCCATTCTTATGCTTTATGAGTTATGGTTAAAAAACAAAAACACAGCCAAAACCAAAAGAATACATATAGGATGTTGAAGAGACTACTGAATTTCACTCTTTTTGCATGATGAAAATTATCTTAAGAAGTGAAGGGTGGTTCCAGTTCAAGATGATGGACTGAGCATTCAGGGCAGCCTCCACTTCTGGTACAAATTCCTTTACAAGCTAAAAGAAGAAAAAAAATGTCGGTGCAAAAGTAATTGTGTTTTTTTTTTTCCATTAAAATTGCCAAAACCACAATTACTTTTGCACCAACCTAATAAATAAATCTATCTCAACAACAGAAAACAAAAAAAAAGGAGATACTGTCAGGACTTTAAAAGGCAGAAAGCAGAAGATTGAATTGGAGATGGGAACCACAGCCCAAATGCACTTAAGAGAGTCGAAACTACAAAAGACAGGAGAAGCACCAGTAACCTCATGTCTGAAGGTAGCAGAAACTAGAAATAGGACAGGGGCCAGGCAAAATAGGGCGGATCTTTACAGCAGGAGCAACCTACACATCCTTCATCTCCTCTCTTCTCTCCTCAACCTGCCCAAGAGCCAAGCAATAGAAAAAAAAAAATCTTCTTCAGGTGGAGGAGAGTGGCAAAACACTGGGTCAGAGAGACAAAGTTGTGCTTCAGGCAACTGTCAACACCCAGTAGAAATGGTGAGCCCAGGGCACAGATTCTTATCTACTTATTTTCATGTTCAAAAATTGGTCCTCTTTCTCCCACCAAGCAGAATGCAAAAACAGATACACCCTTTTCTGAGTTTAATAGGGAATTTCAGAAGATATGCAAGAATCATAAAATATTTAGAGAAAGCCAATACCATGAAGAAACAATATGTGACTCAACAAAGAGAAGAAATTTATATGCAAAGCAAGAAAATTTACAGTGAGCAGGACAAGACTTTTTATAATTATAAATAATATTCTCCAAAACATATTTTAAAATTTCATCCTTAAATAAAATCAACATAAGATGGAAGAGATTAAAATTTTGACTATATAGGGGCATTCCAAGATGGCCACATAGGAACAGCTCTGGTCTGAAACTCCAAGTGTGATCGACGCAGAAAATGGGTGATTTCTGGACTTCCAACTGAGGTACCTGGTTCGTCTCATTGGGACTGGTTGAACAGTGGGTGCAGCCCATGGAGGGCAAGCTGAAGCAGGGAAGGGCGTCACCTCACCTGGGAAGCACAAGGGGTCAGGGGATTTCCCCTTCCTAGCCAAGGGAAGCCGAGACAGACTACCTGGAAAAACAGGACACTTCCGCCCAAATACCCTGCTTTTCCTAAGGTCTTAGCAACCAGCAGACAAGGAGATTCTCTCCTATGCCTAGCTTGGCAGCTCCCATGCTCATGGAGCCTTGCTCCCTGCTAGTGCAGCAGTCTGAGATCAACCTGTGAGGCGACAGCCTGGCTGGGTGAGGGGTGTCCGCCATTGCTGAGGCTTCAGTAGGTAAACAAAGTGGCCTGGAAGCTTGAACTGGGCAGAGCCCACTGCAGCTCAACAAGGCCTACTGCCTCTAGTCTCCACCTCTGTGGGTAGGGCATAGCTGAACAAAAGAAAGCAGACAACTTCTACAGACTTAAACATCCCTGTCTGACAGCTCTGAAGACAGCAGTGGTTCTCCCAGCATGGTGGTTGAGCTCTGAGAATGGACAGACTGCCTCCTCAAGTGGGTCCCTGACTAACTGGGTGACACCTCCCAGTAGGGGCCGACAGGCACCTCATATAGGTGGCTGCCCCTCTTGGACAAAGCATCCAGAGGAAGGATCAGGTAACAATATTTGCTATTCTGCAGCCTCTGCTGGTGATACCCAGGCAAATAGGGTCTGGAGTGGATGTCCAGCAAAATCCAACAGACCTGCAGCTGAGGGACCTGACTGTTAGAAGGAAAACTAACAAACATAAAGGAATAGCAGCAACATCAACAAAAAGTCATCTACACAAAAACCCCATCTATAGGTCACCAACATCAAAGACCAAAGGCAGATAAAAACACAGAGATGGGGAGAAACCAGAGCAGAAAAGCTGAAAATTCTAAAAATCAGAGCGACTCTTCTCCTTCAAAGGATCACAGCTCCTCGTCAGCAACAGAACAAAGCTGGATGGGGAATGACTTTGACGAGTTGACAGAAGTAGGTTTCAGAAGGTTGGTAATAAACTTCTCCGAGCTAAAGGAGGATGTTCAAACCCATTGCAAGGAAGCTAAAAACCTTGAAGAAAGATTAGATGAATAGCTAACTACAATAAAGAGTGAAGAGAAGACCTTAAATGACCTGATGGAGCTGAAAACCACGGCACAAGAACTTCATGATGCATGCACAAGCTTCAACAGCTGCTTCGATCAAGTGGAAGAAAGTGTATCAGTGATTAAAGATCAAATTAATGACATAAAGTGAGAAGACAAGGTTAGAGAAAAAAGAGTAAAAAGAGAAGAACAAAGCCTCCAAGAAATGTGGGACTATGTGAAAAGACCAAATCTACATTTGATTGGTGTACCTGAAAGTGATGGGGAGAATGGAGCCAAGTTGGAAAATACTCTTCAGGATATTATCCAGGAGAACTTCCCCAACCTAGCAAGGCAGGCCAACATTCAAATTCAGGAAATACAGAAAACACGACAAAGATACTCCTCGAGAAGAGCAACCCCAAGACACATAATTGTCAGATTCACCAAGGTTGAAATGAAGGAAAAAATTTTAAGGGCAGCCAGAGAGAAAGATCAGGTTACCCACAAAGGGAAGCCCATCAGACTAACAGCAGATATCTCGGCAGAAACCTTACAAGCCAGAAGAGAGTGGGGGGCCAATATTCAACATTCTTAAAGAAAAGAATTTTCAAACCAGAATTTTGTATCCAGCCAAACTAAGCTTCATAAGTGAAGGAGAAATAAAATCCTTTACAGACAAGCAAATGCTGAGAGTTTTGTCACAACCAGGCCTGCCTTACAAGAGCTCCTGAAGGAAGCACTAAACAGGGAAAGAAACAACTGGTACCAGCCACTGCAAAAACAGGCCAAATTGTAAAGACCATTGATGGCATGAAGAAACTGCATCAATTAATGGGCGAAATAACCAGCGAACATCATAATGACAGGATGAATTCACACATAACAATATTAACCTTAAATGTAGATGGGCTAAATGTACCAATTAAAAGACACAGACTGGCAAATTGAATAAAGAGTCAACATCTATCAGTGTGCTGTATTCAGGAGACCCATCTCACATGCAGAGACACACATAGGCTCAAAATAAAGGGATGGAGGAAGATCTACCAAGCAAATGGAAAGCAAAAAAAAGCAGGGGTTGCAATCCTAGTCTCTGATAAAACAGACTTTAAACCAACAAAGATCAAAAGAGACAAAGAAGGCCATTACATAATGGTAAAGGGATCAATTCAACAAGAAGAGCTAACTATCCTAATATATATGCATGCAATACAGGAGCACCCAGATTCATAAAGCAAGTCCTTAGAGACCTACAAAGAGACTTAGACTCCCACACAATAATAATGGGACACTTTAACACCCCACTGTCAATATTAGACAGATCAACAAGACAGAAGGTTAATAAGGATATCCAGGACCTGAACTCAGCTCTGCAACAAGCAGACCTAATAGACATCTACAGAACTCTCCACCCCAAATCAACGGAATATACATTCTTCTCAGCACCACATCACACTTATTCTAAAATTGACCACATAGTTGGAAGTAAAGCACTCCTCAGCAAATGTAAAAGAACAGCAATCACAACAAACTGTCTTTCAGACCACAGTGCAATCAAATTAGAACTCAGGATTAAGAAACTCACTCAAAACCACACAACTAGATGGAAAGTGAGCAACTTGCTCCTAAATAACTGCTGGGTAAATAACGAAATGAAGGAAGAAATAAAGATGTTCTTTGAAACCAATGAGAACAAGGACACAACATACCAGAATCTCTGGGACACATTTAAAGCAGTGTGTACAGGGAAATTTATACCACTAAATGCCCACAAGAGAAAACAGGAAAGATTTAAAATCGACACCCTAACATCACAATTAAAAGAACTAGAGAAGCCAGAGCAAACACATTCAAAAGCTAGCAGAAGGCAAGAAATAACTAAGAACAGAGCAGAACTGAAAGAGATAGATACATTAAAAAAACCCTTCAAAAAATCAATGAATCCAGGAGCTGGTTTTTTGAAAAGATCAACAAAATTATAGCTAGCAAGACTAATAAAGAAGAAAACAGGGAAGAGTCAAATAGACACAATAAAAAACGATAAAGGGGATATCACCATCGATTCCACAAAAATACAAACTACCATCAGAGAACATTATAAACACCTCTACACAAATAAACTAGAAAATCTAGAAGAAATGGATACATTTCTGGACACCTACACCCTCCCAAGACTAAACCAGGAAGAAGTTGAATCTCTGAATAGATCAATAACAGGCTCTGAAATTGAGGTAATAATTAATAGGCTACCAACCAAAAAAACTCCAGGACCAGATGGATTCACAGCTGAATTCTACCAGAGGTACAAAGAGGAGCTGGTACTATTCCTTCTGAAACTATTCCAATCAATAGAAAAAGAGAGAATCCTCCCTAACTCATTTTATGAGGCCAACATCAAACTGATACCAAAGCCTGTCAGAGAAACAACAAAAAAAAGAGAATTTTAGACCAATATCTCTGATGAACATTGGTGCAAAAATCCTCAATAAAATACTGGCAAAACAAATCCAGCAGCACATCAAAAATCTTATCCACCATGACCAAGTCAGATTCCTCCCTGGGATGCAAGACTGGTTCAACATACACAAATCAATAAACATAATCCATTGCATTAACAGAACAAATGACAAAAACCACATGATTGTCTCAATAGATGCAGAAAAGGCCTTCAACAAAATTCGACAGCTCTTCATGCTAAAAACTCTCAATAAACTAGGTATTGAGGGAATGTATCTCAAAATAATAAGAGCTATCTATGACAAACCCACAACCAATATCATACCGAATGGACAAAAACTGGAAGCATTCCCTTTGAAAACCGGCACAAGACAAGGATGCCCCCTCTCACCACTCCTATTCAACATAGTGTTGGAAGTTCCAGCCAAGGCAATCAGGCAAGAGAAAGAAATAAAGGGTATTCAATTAGGAAATGAGGAAGTCAAATTGTCCCTGTTTGCAGATGACATGATTGTATATTTAGAAAACCCCATCATCTCAGCCCAAAATCTCCTTAAGCTGACAAGTAACTTCAGCAAACTCTCAGGATACAAAATCAATGTGTAAAAATCACAAGCATTCTTATACACCAATAATAGACAGAGAGCCAAATCATGAGTGAACTCCCATTCACAATTGCTACAAAGAAAATAAAATACCTAGGAATCCAACTTACGAGAGATGTGAAGGACCTCTTCAAGGAGAACTATAAACCCCTGCTCAACGAAATAAAAGAGGACACAAACAAATGTAAGAATATTCCATGCTCATGGATAGGAAGAATAAATATCGTGAAAATGGCCATACTGCCCAAAGTAATTTATAGATTCAATGCCATCCCCATCAAGCTACCAATGACTTGCTTCACAGAATTGGAAAAAACTACTTAAAGTTCACATGGAACCAAATAAGAGCTCACATTGCCAAGTCAATCAATCCTAAGCAAAAAGAACAAAGCTGGAGGCATCACACTACCTGACTTCAAACTATACTACAAGGCTACAGTAACCAAAACAGCAGGGTACTGGTACCAAAACAGAGATATAGACAAATGGAACAGAATAGAAGCCTCAGAAATAATACCACACATCTACAACCATCTGATCTTTGACAAACCTGACAAAAACAAGAAATGGGGAAATGATTCCCTATTTAATACATCGTGCTGGAAAAACTGGCTAGCCATATGTAGAAAGCTGAAACTGGATCCCTTCCTTATACCTTATACAAAAATTAATTCAAGATGGATTAAAGACTTGAATGTTAGGCCTAAAACTATAAATACCCTAGAAGAAAACCTAGGTAATACCATACAGGACATAGGCATAGGCAAGGACTTCATGACTAAAATACCAAAAGCAATGGCAACAAAAGCCAAAGTAGGCAAATGGGATCTAATTAAACTAAAGAGCTTCTGCATGGCAAAAGAAACTACCATCAGAGTGAACCGGCAACCTACATAATGGGAAAAAATTTTTGCAATCTACCCATCTGACAAAGGGCTAATATCCAGAATCTACAAAGAACTTAAACAAATTTATAAGAAAAAAACAAGCCCATCAAAAAGTGAGCAAAGGATATGAACAGACACTTCTCAAAAGAAGACATCTATGCAGCCAACAGACACATGAAAAAATGCCCATCGTCACTTGTCATCAAAGAAATGTAAATCAAAACCACAATGAGATACCATCTCACACCAGTTAGAATGGCGATCATTAAAAAGTCAGGAAACAACAGACGCTGGAGAGGATGTGGAGAAATAGGAATGCTTTCATACTGTTTGTGGGAATGTAAATTAGCTCAACCATTGTGGAAGACAGTGTGGCGATTCCTCAAGGATCTAGAACTAGAATTACCATTTGACCCAGCCATCCCATTACTGGGTATATACCCAAAGGATTAGAAGTCATGCTACTATAAAGACACATGTACATGTATGTTTATTGCAGCACTATTCACAATACCAAAGACTTGTAACCAACCCAAATGTCCATCAATGATAGACTGGATTAAGAAAATGTGGCATATATACACCATGGAATACTATGCAGCCATAAAAAAGGATGAGTTCACGTCCTTTTCAGGGACATGGATGATGCTGGAAACCATCATTCTGAGCAAACTGTCACAAGGATGAAAACCAAGCACCTCATGTTCTCACCCATAGGTGGGAATTGAACAATGAGATCACTTGGATATAGAGCAGGGAACATCACATAGTGAGGCCTGTTGGGGGGCTGGGGGCTGGGGAGGGATAGCACTAGGAGAAATACCTAATGTAAATGATGAGTGATGGGTGCTGCAAAGCAACATGGCACATGTATACCTATGTATCAAACCTGCACCTTGTGCACATGTACCCTAGAACTTAAGGTATAATAAAAAAATTTTACTATAGAAATAAAAATTAACCAGATTAGTTTTATCTAACCTGGTAAATACAAAGAGTTAGATAAATACAGGATTTCAAATATATAGAAATTACAGAAAGAAAGAAAAAGACTGACATCATTTACCACTTGGAAATGCTGTCTGAAAAGAATTATTAGAGGATGCAATGAATAGAGGAATGAGAAGAGCAACAAAAAAAAAGCAAAACAAAAATAAAATACAAAAAGAAAAAGTGGAGTTAAAAAGGTAATGATAAGAAAAGAAGGCTACTTAAAATTGTCTAAGCATATTGACAGGCTAGAACAATAAAATCATAGTAGCTATCAAACTCAAATTTCAAATTATATGAAAATGAGAAAGTGCAGAGATACCTATGTAAATAATGGGGAAGGTCAGGATACTGAATAACTGAACTTTGGCAAAAAAAATGAGATGAACAAACATAAGTTTGTATGATAGAAATTTACTAATAATTACTCAGAATAGCATTATCTTCCAAACCATTAGAATGAGAAAAAAAGAGAAAAAATATCATTCTAACAAAAGGCTGGAAAGGAGGTAAAGAGAAATATATAGCAAGTGAAGTAAAAAGAAAACAAAATAAAATCACAGAAAAAAGTTAAATTCATTATTAGCTATAATACATATGCCAGGGCTAAGCTATCTATTAAAATATAGCAATTCACAGATTAGGTTAAAAAAAAGAAGCTTGCTATGCATTGTTTATAAGTGACATCCTTAACATGAAAGCACAGAGGAAAACCAAAAATAACAATATGAAAAAGAAACCTTAGACAGGACAAATTATAATAAAAGTGTAAGCCAAAGGCCAGACACACTGAATTACACCTGTAATTCCAGCACTTTGGGAGGCTGAAGCAGGAGGATCACTTGAAGCCAGGAGTTCAAGACCAGTCTGGGCAACAAAGCAAGACTCCATCTCTCTGGACCAAGCAGAAGAAAGAATTTTAGAGCTTAAGGATCAATCTTTCAAACTAACCCAGTCAGACAAAAGTAAAGAAAAAAGAATTTTAAAAATAAACGGTCTTCAAGAAATATGGGATTATATGAAGTGACCAAACCTATGAATTATTGGCACTCCTGAGAGAAAGAGAGACAAAGAAAACAATCTAGAAAACATTTGAGGGAATAATTCAAGAAAAGTTATCTAATCTTCCTAGACAGGTAGACATCCAAGCAAAGGAAATACAGAGAATGCCTGTGACATAATATACTAAATGAACATCACCCAGGCAGATTGTCACCAGACTGTCTAAGGTCAATGCTAAAGCAAAAATCTTAAAGACAGCTAGAGAAAAAGGTCAGAACACTCACAAAGGGAACCCCGTCAGTCTAACACTGGACTTCTCAGCAGAAACCTTATAAGCCAGAACAGATTGGGGGCCTATTTCCAGCATTGTTAAAGAAACGAAATTCCAACCAAGATTTCATATCCTGCCAAACTAAAATTCATAAGCAAAGAAAAAATAAAATATTTTTCAGACAACCAAGCACTAAGGGGATTTATTAACACTAGACCACCCTTATAAGAGATCCTCAAGGAAGATTTAAACATAGAAATGAAAGAAATATACTTGCTCCACCAAAAAAAAACCACTTAAGTACATAGCCCACAGACCATATAAAGCAACCAAACAATAGAAACTACAAACCACCACCTAACAACTCCATGAGAGGATCAAAGCCTCACATATCAATAGTCAATCTTGAATGTAAATGGTCTAAATTTCCTCACTTAAAAGGCACAGAGTGGCAATTTGTACAAAGATACAAGACCCATTTGACTGTTGTCTTCAAGAGACCAATCTCACATGTAATGACACCCATAGGCTCAAAGTAAAGGGTTGGAAAAGATCTATCATGCAAATGGAACACAAAAAAGAGCTAAGGTTGCTATTCTCATAGAAAAAAACAGACTTTAAATCAACAGCAGTAAAAAAGGACAAAGAAGGACATTACATAATGATAAAGGGTTCAATTCAACAAAAAGACTTAACTATGCTAAATATGTATGCACCCAACATGGGAGCACCCAGACTCATAAAACAAGTACTTTTTGACCTAGAAAAGATTTACACAGCCTCACAAGAATAGCAGGGGACTTCAACACCCCACTGATCCCCTTACACAGATCATCAAGGCAGAAAACTAGCAAAGAAATTCTGGACTTAAATTCAACACTTGACCATTTGGACCTAATACACATCTACAGAATACTCTACCCAACAATGACAGAATATACAGTCTTCTTGTCTGCACACAGAATATACTCCATGATCAATCACATGCTTAGCCATAAAGCAAGTCTCTAAATTCAAAAAAACTGAAATCATACTAGCCATATTTTTGGACCACAGTGGAATAAAAATAGAAATTAATACCAACAGATCTCTCAAAACCCCATTACATGGGATTTAAACAGCTTATCCTGAATGAGTTTGGGGTAAACAACAAAATAAAGGTAGAAATCAAAAAAAAGTTATTTGAAAGGAATAAAAACAGAGAGACGACATACCAAAAATCTCTGGGATGCTGCAAAAGTAGTGTTAAGAGGAAAGTGTATAGTGCTGAACTCCTACATCAAGAAGGTAGAAATATCTCAATTTAATAATCTAACATCACACTAGAAATACAAAAAACTAACCCCAAAGCTAGAAAAATAAAAGAAATCAATGAGGGCAGAACTGAACAAAATTGAGACCTCAAAATTTATACAATCAGTGCAACCAAAAGTTGTTTCTTTGAAAGGACAGAAGAGATCAATAGACCACTAACAAGGTTAACAAACAGAAGAGAGAAGATCCAAATAAGCACAATCAGAAATAACAAAGGTGACATTGCAACAAATCCCACAAAAATATAAATGATCCTCAATGACTATTATGAACACCTCTATGCACATGAACTAGCTAATCTGGAGGAAATGGATAAATCGTTGGAAATACATAATCTCCCAAGACTGAATCAGGAAAATATTGAATCCCTGAAGAGACAAATATCAAGTTCCAAAATTGAATCAGCAACAAAAAAAAAGATACCAAAAAAAAAAGGTGCCCCAGACCAGATGGATACACACCAGCCAAATTCTACCAGATGCACAAAGAAGAGCTGTTACCAATCCTACTGAAACTATTTCTAAAAATTGAGGAGGAGGGACTCTTCCTTAACTTATTCTATGAAGTCAGCCTACTCTAATAACCAAACCTGGCAAAGACGCAACTTAAAAAGAAAATTACAGGCCAATATCCATGACGAACATAGATACAAAAATCCTCAACAAAATACTAACAAATTGAATCCAGCAGCACATCAAAAAGTTCATTCACCGTGACCAAGTAGGCTTAATTCTTGGGATACAAATTTGGTTCAACATATGCAAATCAACAAATGTGATTCACCACATATACAGAATTAAGAACAAAAACAATATTATCATCTCAATAGATGCAAAAAACTTTCAATATAGTCCAACATCCCTTCTTGGTAAAAGTTCTCAAAAAACTAGGCACTGAAGGAACATATATCAAAACAATAAGAGACATCTATGACAAACCCACAGCCAACATTGTAGTGAACAGGCAAAAACGGGGAGCATTCTCTTTAAGAACTGGAACAAGCCAAGGTTGCCAACTCTCACCACTCCTATTCAATAGAGTACTGCAAGTCCTTCCCAGAGGAATCAGGCAAGAGAAAGAAATAAAAGGCATCCACATAGGTAAAAAAATCAAATTATCTCTCTTTGCTGATGATATGATCTATACTGAGTAAGCCATAAAGACTCCTCCAAAAGACTACTGGAACAAATAACCAATTTCTGATTGCCTGACTGCCCTGGCCAGAACTTCCAACACTATGTTGAATAGGAGTGGTGAGAAAGGGCATCCCTGTCTTGTGCCAGTTTTCAAAGGGAATGCTTCCAGTTTTTGCCAATTCAGTATAATATTGGCTGTGGGTTTATCACAAATAGCTCTTATTATTTTGAGATATGTCCCATCAATACCTAATTTATTGAGAGTTTTTAGCATGAAGGGCTGTTGAATTTTCTCAAAGGTGTTTTCTGCATCTATTGAGATAATCATGTGGTTTTTGTCTTTAGTTCTGTTTATATGCTGGATTACATTTATTGATTTGTGTATGTTGAACCAGCCTTGCATCCCAGGGATGAAACACACTTGATCACGGTGGATAAGCTTTTTGATGTGCTGCTGGATTCGGTTTGCCAGTATTTTACTGAGGATTTTTGCACCGATGTTCATCAGGGATATTGGTCTAAAATTCTCTTTTTTTGTTGTGTCTCTGCCAGTCTTTGGTATCAGGATGACACTGGCCTCATGAAATGAGTTAGGGAGGATTCCCTCTTTTTCTATTGATTGGAAGAGTTTCAGAAGGAATGGTACCAGCTCCTCCTTGTACCTCTGGTAGAATTTGGCTGTGAATCCATCTGGTCCTGGACTTTTTTTGGTAGGTAAGCTATTAATTATTACCTCAATTTCAGAGCCTGCTATTGGTCTATCTTCAGAGACAATCAGGCAGGAGAAAGAAATAAAGGGTATTCAATTAGGAAATGAGGAAGTCAAATTGTCCCTGTTTGCAGATGACATGATTGTATATTTAGAAAACCCCATCGTCTCAGCCCAAAATCTCCCTAAGCTGATAAGCAACTTCAGCAAAGTCTCAGGACATAAAATAAATGTACAAAAATCACAAGCATTCCTATACACCAATAACAGACAAACAGAGAGCCAAATCATGAGTGAACTCCCATTCACAATTGCTTCAAAGAGAATAAAATACCTAGGAATCCAACTTATAAGAGATGTGAAGGACCTCTTCAAGGAGAACTACAAACCACTGCTCAATGAAATAAAAGAGGATACAAACAAATGGAAGAACATTCCATGCTCATGGATAGGAAGAATCGATATCATGAAAATGGCCATACTGCCCAAGGTAATTTATAGATTCAGTGCCATCCCTATCAAGCTACCAATGACTTGCTTCACAGAATTGTAAAAAACTACTTTCAAGTTCATATGGAACCAAAAAAGGGCTCACATTGCCAAGACAATCCTAAACAAAAAGAACAAAGCTGGAGACATCATGTTATCTGACTTCAAACTATACTACAAGGCTACAGTAACCAAAACAGCAGGTAGTGGTAACAAAACAGAGATATAGACCAATGGAACAGAACAGAGCCCTCAGAAATAATACCACACATCTACAACCATCTGATCTTTGACAATCCTGACAAAAACAAGAAATGGGGAAACAATTCCCTATTTAACAAATGGTGCTGAGAAAACTGGCTAGCCATATGTAGAAAGCTGAAACTGGATCCCTTCCTTACATCTTATACAAAAATTAATTCAAGATGGATTAAAGACTTACATATTAGAACTAAAACCATAAAAACCCTAGAAGAAAACCAGGTAGTACCATTCAGGACATAGGCACGGGCAAGGACTTCATGTCTAAAATACCAAAAGCAATGGTAACAAAAGCCAAAATTGACAAATGGGATCTAATTAAACTAAAGAGCTTCTGCACAGCAAAAGAAACTACCATCAGAGTGAACAGACAACCTACAGAATGGGAGAAAATTTTTGCAATCTACTCATCTGACAAAGAGCTAATATCCAGAATCTGCAAAGAACTCAAACAAATTTACAAGAAAAAAACAGCCCTATCAACAAGTGGGCAAAGGATATGAACAGATACTTCTCAAAAGAAGACCTTTATGCAGCCAACAGACACATGAAAAAATGCTCATCATCACTGGCCATCTGAGAAATGCAAATCAAAACCACAATGAGATACCATCTCACACCAGTTAGAATGGCGATCATTAAAAAGTCAGGAAAGAACAGGTGCTGGAGAGGATGTGGAGAAATAGGAACACTTTTACATTGTTGGTGGGACTGTAAACTAGTTCAACCATTGTGGAAGACAGTGTGGTGATTCCTCAGGGATCTAGAACTAGAAATACCATTTGACCCAGCAATCCCATTACTGGGTATATACCCAAAGGATTAGAAGTCATGCTGCTACAAAGACACATGCACATGTATGTTTATTGTGGCACTATTCACAATAGCAAAGACTTGGAACCAACCCAAATGTCCATCAATGATAGACTGGATTAAGAAAACGTGGCACATATACACTATGGAATACTATGCAGCCGTGAAAAATGATGAGTTCATGTCCTTTGTAGGGACTTGGACGAAGCTGGAAACCATCATTCTCAGCAAACTATCGCAAGGATAAAAAACCAAACACCGCATATTCTCACTCTTAGGTGGGAATTGAACAATGAGAACACTTGGACACAGGAAGGGGAACATCACACACTGGAGCCTGTTGTGGGGTGGGGAAGTGGGGAGGGACAGCATTAGGGGATATACCTAAAATAAATGACAAGTTAATGGGTGCAGCACACCAACATGGCACATGTATACATATGTAACAAACCTGCACGTTGTGCACATGTACCCTAGAACTTAAAGTATAATAATATATATATATATAAAATAAACAATTTCAATAAAGTTTCAGGATACAAAATCAATGTACAAAAATCAGTTTCATTTCCACATACTAATAACACTCAAACTGAGAGCAAAACCAAGAAAGCAATCCCGTTTACAACTGCTGCAAAAACCATGAAATACCTACGAATACCTCTAACCAAGGAGGTAAAAGATCTCTACAAAGAGAACTACAAAACACTGCTGAAAGAAATCATGGATGACACAAACAAATGAAAAAACATTTCATGCTTATGTATTAGAAGAATCACTGTCATTCAAATGGCAATACTGCCCAAACTGTAGATTCAATGGTATTCCTTTCAAGCTACCAATGTCATTTTTCACAGAACTAGAAAAAAAACTATTCTAAAATTCATACAGAACTTAAAAAAGAGCCTGAATAGCCAAACCAATCCTAAGCAGAAAGAACAAAGCTGGAGGCATCACATTACCTGACTTCAAACTATACTATACAGCTACAGTAACCCAAACAGTATGGTACTGATACAAAAACAGACACATAGACCAATGGAACAGAATAAAGAACCCGGAAATAAAGCTACATGTATACAGCTATCTGATCTTTGACAAGGTCAACAAAAAGAAGCAATGGGGAAAGGACTCCTTATTCAACAAATGGTGTTAGAACAGCTGGCTAGCCATATGCAGAAGAATAAAACTGAACCCCCATCTTTCACCATTTGCAAAAATTAACTCAAGACAAATTAAAGATTTAAATGAAAAACTTCAAACTATAAGAATCCTAGAAGAAAATCTGAGAAACACCATAGTGGATATCAGCCTTGGGAAAGAATTTATGACTAAGTGCTCAAAAACAATTGCAACAAAAACAAAAATTGACAAGTGGGACCCAATTAAACCTGGGAGCTTCTGCACAACAAAAGAAATTATCAACGAAGTAAACAGACAACCTAATGAATGGGAGAAAATATTAGCAAACTATGAATCTGACAATGATCTAATGTCCAGAATCTATAAGGAACTTAAACAATTGAACAAGCAAAATACAAATAACCCCATTAAACATGGGCAAACGACATGAACAGGTACTTTTCAAAAGAAGACATACAAGCAGCCAACAAACATAAAAATATGCTCACCATCAATAATCATCAAATAAATGAAATCAAAACCACAATGAGATACCATCTCACACCAGTCATTATGACCATTATTGAAAAGTCAAAAACAACAAAGGCTGGTGAGGCTGTTGAGAAAAGGGAATGTTATACCCTGTTGGTAGGAATGTAAATTAGTTCACCCACCGTGGAAAGCAGTTTGGAGATTTCTCAAAGAACTTAAAACAGAACTACCAGTCAACCCAACATTCCCATTACTGGGTATATATCCAAAAGAAAATAAATTATTCTACCCAAAAGACACATGTAGTCATATGTTCATTGCAGCACTATTCACAATAGCAAAGAAGTGGAATCAACCTAGGTGCCCACCAACGGTGGATTAGACAAAGAAAATGTGGTACATATATGCCATGAAATGCTATGTAGACATTAAAAATAACAAAATCATGTTCTTTGCAGCTACATGAATGCAGCCCGAGTCCATTATCCTAAGTAAATTAACCTAGAAACAGAAAACCAAATATCACATATTCTCACTTATAAGTGGAAGTTAAACAATGGGTACTCAATGACACAAAGATGGCAAAAATAGACACTTGGGACTACCAAGTGTGGAGGTAGAGAGGGGAACAAAGGCTTAAAAACTAACTAGTGAGTAGTATGCTCAGTACCTGGGTGACAAAATCCATCATACCCCAAAGCTCACCATCACACAATATACCCAAGTGACAAGTACATGTATTCCCTGAATCTAAAAGTTGAAATTATGAAACAAAAACTAGAAATTGTAGCAAGCACCAATAATAGTGCAAAAAATTAGAAATGAATAATCTCAACAAAAAAATGTTAATAAAGCCCCCTTCCCACCAATAAAAATTAAGTAACTGAAGATAACAAATGTCAGTAAGAGTATGAAGAAAAGGGAACTTGTATACACTGTTAGTGGGAATGTACATTGGTGTGGCCATTATAGAAAAGAGTATGGTGGTTTCTAAAGAAGTTAAAAATAGAACTCCCACATGTCCCAGTAATATCGCTTCTGGGCATACCCAAAGGAAATGAAATCAACACCTCATAAAGATAACCCACTTCCATATTCATTGCAGTATTTTCTACAATAGCCAAGATATGGAAACAACCTAACCTAAGTGGCCATTGATGGATGAATGGATAAAGAAACTGTAGTACATATATACAATGGGATATTCTTCAGCCTTAAAAAAGAATGAGATCTTGCCATTTGCCACAACATGAAAGAGGGTGGAGGACATTATGACAAGTGAAATAAACCAGACACAGAAAGAAAAATACTGCATGATCTCATTTATAAGTAGATTCTAAAATAAGTAAATAAATATACAGAAATAGAGAAGACAAACATGGTTACCAGGGGTGGTTGGAACAGAGGAGTGGAGAAATGAAGAGACATAGATCAGAGAATACAAAGTAGCAGGTATAAGGAGCAAGATGGCCGAACAGAAGGCTCCACTGATTGCCTTCTCCACAAAGATACCAATTTAACAACTATCTACACAGAAAAAAAAAAAAAAAAAAACAGCTTCATAAGAACCAAAAATCAGATGAGCACTCATAGTACCTGGTTTTAACTTCATATCACTGAAAGAGGCAACTGAAGAGATAGAAAAAAGAGCCCTGAACCCCTGACATTACCTGTTCTCCACCCCCTGGAAGTCATGGCATGGTGCAGAGAGCATCTCTGGGTGCTAGAGGAGAGAGAACATAGCAACTGTGAGACATTAAATTTTGTGCTATCCAGGTGGAGCAGAAAGGGAAACCGGACCAAACTCAGCTGACACCTGCCCACGAGGGAAGCATTTAAACCGGCACTACTCAGAGAGGGATCATGGATCCCAGAGGTCAGAACTTGAGTTCCTGCAAACCTCACTACCAGTGACCAAAGTGCTCTGTGTCTCCAAACAAACTTGAAAGCCAATGTAGTCCATAAGGTCTGCAACAATTAGGTGAGTCCCAGTGCTGAACCAGGTCCTGAAACAGTGGACTGGGGGGGGGGGGGGGGGCACATGACATACTGAGACACCAGCTGAGGTGGATAAAGGAGTGCCGGCATCACCCCTCCCCTACCCCCAGGCTTCACAGCTCACAGCTCGAAAAGAAATCCCTTTCTTCCACTTCAGAAGAGGAGAGGGAAAAGTTGGGAGGACTTTGTCTTGGATCTTGGATACCAGCTCAGCCATAGCAGGATAGGGCAGTGGTCAGAGTCAAAAGGCCCCTGTTCTGGGCCCTACCTCCCACATGAACATTTTAGACACACCTTGGGTCATAAAAGAACCCATAACCTTGAGAGAAAGGATCCAATCCTGGCAGCATTCATCTTCTGCTAACTGAAGAGCTTTTCGTCCCTGAAAAACCAGAAGCGATACTCAGGTACCACATCAAGGGCATTGGGTAAGCCTCTGAGACTTGCTGGCTTCAGGTATCAGCACAGCCATAGGGTGGGTAGAGCACCAAGCAAGCTCTTGGGCTCCCCAGTTCCAGGATTTGACTATTGCATAAAATTTCTGGCTCTGTCCTGGGCCAGAGTGGAGTCCACTGCTCTGAAGGATGAGTCCCAGGCCAGGAAACATTCACCACAAGCTGACTTAAGAGCTCTTGGATCTTAAAGAAACATTGGAGGTAGTCAGTCTGACAGTATTCCTTATGGCCTGGGGTGGCAGTGGCTACAGGGTGAGGTTCCTCTGCCTTTGGAAAGAGGAGGGAAGAGTGAGAATAACTGCATCTTGTGGTTAGAGTGCCAGTTCCTCCACAGTACAATAGAACACCAGATAGACTGCTAGGTGTTTAACTCTAGTCCCTAACTCCTAGATAGCACTTCTGGATCCACCTGGGCCTAGGGAACCTTACTGCCCTGAAGGGAAGAATACAGACCTGATTGGCTTTGCAATCAGCTGATTGTAGAGCCTCAGGGCCTTATATGAACATAGGCATTAGCCAGGGAGTGGTTACCGCAGACCCAGTGCTGTGCTGGCTTCAGTTCTGACTCAGCACAGTCATACTGGAGGTGGTCACAGGGGTGTTTGTGTCACTCCACCCCCAGCTTTAGGTGACTCAGAACAGAAAGAGATTCTGTTTGTTTGGGAGAAAGTAAGGGAAGAGGACAAGAGTCTCTACCTAGTAATCCAGAAAATTCTCCTGGATCTTGTCTAAGTCCATCAAGGTGATCCTTTACAAGTCTGCAAGAACCACAGCATTACTGGGCTTGGGGTGCTGCTAAAGCAGATATAGCTTAGATCACAACACCCAAGTCCTTTCAAAAAGGATGGCTACAAATAAGCCTAGACAGTGAAGACTACAATAAATATCTAACTCTTCAACGCCCAGACATTGAACAACATCTGCTAGCATCAACACTATCCAGGAAAACATGAACTCACCAAATGAACTAAATAAGGCAGCAGGGACCCATCCTAGAGAAACAGAGATATGTGAAATTTCAGACAAGGAATTCAAAACCGCTGTGTTATGGAAACTCAAAGAAACTCAAGATAACACAGAGAAGGAATTCAGAATCTTATCAGATAAATTTAACAGAGATTGAAATAATTAAAAAGAATCAAGCAGAAATTCTGAAGCTGAAAAATGCAATTGGCATAATGAAAAATACAGCAGAGTCCTTTAATAGCAAAATTAATCAACCAAAAGAAAGAACGTGTGAGCCTGAAGACAAGCTATTTGATACACAGAGGAGACAAGAGAAAAAAAATAAAAATAATAAAAAACAATGAAGCACACCTACAGGATCTAGAAAATAGACTCAAAATGGCAAGTATTTAATAATCAATCTGCCAGAGATCAAGGATAAAGCAGGGATCCTAAAAGCAGCAAGAAAAATGAAACAAATAACATACAATGGAGAGCCAATATGCCTAGCAGCAGACTTTTCAGTGGAAACCTTACAGGCCAGGAGAGAGTGGTATGATGTACTTAAAGTGCTGAAGGAAAATAACCTTTATGCTAGAACAGTATATTTGGCAAAAAATACCCTTCAAACATTAAGGAGAAATAATGATTTTCACAGACAAACAAAAGCTGAAGGATTTCATCAACAGCAGACCTGTCCTACAAGAAATGCTTGTAAAGGGAGTACTTGTAAAAGGAGTACTTATAAAGGGAGTACTTCAATCAGAAAGAAAAGCATGTTAATGAGAAATCAGAAATTATCTAAAAGTACAAAACTCATTAGAAATAGTAAGTACCTAGAAAAACACAGAATACTATACACTGAAACTGTAGTGTGTAAATTTCTCTTATTTTAAGTAGAAAGATGAAATAATGAACCAATCAAAAATAATAACTACTACAACTTTTCAAGACATACACAGGACAATGGACAGACCAATGGAACAGTATAGAGGACCCAGAAACAAATCCACACAGGTATGCTCATTTTCAACAAAGGTGCAAAGAATATACACTGGGGAAAAGAGAGACTCTTCAGTAAATGGTTCTGGGGAAACGGGATATTCATATGCAGAAGAATGAAAATAGACCTCTATCT
Source organism: Homo sapiens (assembly GCF_000001405.40). Classification (NCBI taxonomy): domain Eukaryota; kingdom Metazoa; phylum Chordata; class Mammalia; order Primates; family Hominidae; genus Homo; species Homo sapiens. The sequence continues at coordinate 31,501,947 of NC_000008.11, read as the reverse complement.
TTCATCATATACAAAAATCAAATCAAAACACATTAAAAACTTAAATCTAATACCTCAAACTATAAAACTACTACAAGAAAACTTTGGGGAAAAATCTTCAGGATGTTGGTCTGGGCAAAAAAAAACATCTTGAACAATATGCCACAAGCAAGGCAACCAAACAAAAATGGACAAATGAGATCACATCAAGTTAAAAAGCTTCTGTACAACAGAGGATACAATCAACTAAGTGAAGAGACAATCCACAGAGTGAAATAAGATATTTGCAAACTACTCATCTGACAAGGGATTAATAACCAGAATATATAAGGAGTTCAAGCACGTCTATAAAAAAACTAATAACCTGATTAAAAATGGACAAAAGATTTGAATAGACATTTCTGAAAAGACATACAAATGGCAAATAGGGATATGAAAATGTACTCAACATCACTGATCATCAAAGAAATGCAACTCAAAACTACAATGAGATATCATCTCACCCCAGTTAAAATGGCTTATATCCAAAAGACAGGCAAATAACAAATGCTGGTACGGATGTAGAGAAAAGGGAACCCTTGTACACTGCTGGTGGGAATGTAAATTGGCAAAATAACTAGGGAAAACAGTTTGGAGGCTCCTCAAAAAACTAAAAATTGAGCTACCATATGATCCAGCAATCCCACTGCTGGGTATACACCCAAAAGAAAGGAAATCATTATATCCAAGAAATATCTGCACTCCTAAGTGTGTTGCAGCACTGTTTAAAATAGCTAAAATTTGGAAGCAATCTAAGTGCCTATCAACAGATAAATGGATAAAGAAAATGTGGTATATATACATAATGAATTCCTACTCAGTTATAAAAAGAATGAGATCCAGTCATTTGCAACAACCTGGATGGATGGAACTGGAGATCATGTGGAGTGAAATGAACTAGGCACAGAAAGACAAACATCACATGTTCTCACTTATTGTGGGATCTAAAAATTAAAACTATTAAACTCATGGACAGAGAGAGTAGAAGGATGGTTACCAGAAGCCAGGAAGGATAGTGGGATGTTGGTGGTGGGGGAGGTAGGGATGTTTAATGGGCACAAAAAATAATAGAAGGTATGAATAAGAACTACTATTAATTAGTAGATAGCACAACAGGGAGACTATAATCAATAACAACTTATTTGTACATTTTAAAATAACTGAAAGAATAGAAATGGATTGTTTGTAACTCCAAGAATAAATGCTTGAGGGGGTGGATATCCCATTCTCCACGATGTGCTTATTTGATATTACATGCCTGTATGAAAACACCTCATGTACCCCATAAATATATACACTTACTGTATACCCACAAAAATTAAAAGTAAATAAAAAAAACCAAAGTAGCAGATATATAGGCTAAACAAATGTAGAGATCTAATGCACAAGATGAAGACTATAGGTAATAAAATTGTACTGTACATAGAATTCATGCTAAATCAGTAGATTTTAGCTGCTCTTTCCACACACAAAGTTTTTTCTTCCTATATGAGATTATGTATATGTTAATTTTCTTCACCATAATAAATTTTTACTACCTATGTGTATTCCATAACATAATGCTGTATACTTTAAATGTACACAATAAAATTTATTTTAAAAATTAAGTGACTGAAAAGTGCTCTTCGCATTCAAAATTACTTTTAGGACAAGGGAACAGCAAAATGAAAATTACAAACTACATAGAACTATTGAGAGTGTGAGAATGAGAAAATAAGGATATACCCTCAGTGTTATGCCAAGGTAGTATTAAAAAACAAAACATTGAAAATTGTTGAACTAAGCTTTCAGATGGCTAAGAAAATGCTCAGAAAATTAGGGTAGAATTATTGAAGATTTTTTAAAAGAAATTAATAAACTAGTTCTAGATCCCTGAGGAATCGCCACACTGACTTCCACAATGGTTGAACTAGTTTACAGTCCCACCAACAGTGTAAAAGTGTTCCTATTTCTCCACATCCTCTCCAGCACCTGTTGTTTCCTGACTTTTTAATGATTGCCATTCTAACTGGTGTGAGATGGTATCTGATTGTGGTTTTGATTTGCATTTCTCGGATGGCCAGTGATGATGAGCATTTTTTCATGTGTTTTTTGGCTGCATAAATGTCTTCTTTTGATAGGTGTCTGTTCATGTCCTTCGCCCACTTTTTGATGGGGTTGTTTTTTTTTTTCTTGTAAATTTGTTTGAGTTCATTGTAGATTCTGGATATTAGCCCTTTGTCAGATGAGTAGGTTGCGAAAATTTTCTCCCATTTTGTAGGTTGCCTGTTCACTCTGATGGTAGTTTCTTTTGCTGTGCAGCTCTTTAATTTAATTAGATCCCAGTGGTCAATTTTGGCTTTTGTTGCCATTCCTTTTGGTGTTTTGGACATGAAGTCCTTGCCCATGCCTATGTCCTGAATGGTGATGCCTAGGTTTTCTTCTAGGGTTTTTATGGTTTTAGGTCTAACGTTTAAGTCTTTAATCCATCTTGAATTGATTTTTGTATAAGGTGTAAGGAAGGGATCCAGTTTCAGCTTTCTACATATGGCTAGCCAGTTTTCCCAGCACCATTTATTAAATAGGGAATCCTTTCCCCATTGCTTGTTTTTCTCAGGTTTGTCAAAGATCAGATAGTTGTAGATATGCGGCATTATTTCTGAGGGCTCTGTTCTGTTCCATTGGTCTATATCTCTGTTTTGGTACCAGTACCATGCTGTTTTGGTTACTACAGCCTTGTAGTATAGTTTGAAGTCAGGTAGTGTGATGCCTCCAGCTTTGTTCTTTTGGCTTAGGATTGCCTTGGTGATGCGGGCTCTTTTTTGGTTCCATATGAACTTTAAAGTAGTTTTTTCCAATTCTGTGAAGAAAGTCATTGGTAGCTTGATGGGGATGGCATTGAATCTGTAAATTACCTTAGGCAGTATGGCCATTTTCACGATATTGATTCTTCCTACCCATGAGCATGGAATGTTCTTCCATTTGTTTGTATCCTCTTTTATTTCCTTGAGCAGTGGTTTGTAGTTCTCCTTGAAGAGGTCCTTCACCTCCCTTGTAAGTTGGATTCCTAGGTATTTTATTCTCTTTGAAGCAATTGTGAATGGGAGTTCACTCATGATTTGGCTCTCTGTTTGTCTGTTATTGGTGTATAAGAATGCTTGTGATTTTTGTACACTGATTTTGTATCCTGACTTAGAAAATAAGAAAAAGTTTATCAATAAAACCTAAAGGTGATTTTTGGAAAGACCAATCATTTTCAAAATTTCATCAAGTATAATTTGAAAAAAGAGACACAATAAAACTTAATAATGTTGTCAATGAAAAGTGGAAATATCGATGAATTTAAAAATACATAAAATGATATATTTTTTTATCTAGATGAAAATTGATAATATCTTAAGAAATAATTATCAAAATAGCCTCAAGAAAAATAGAAGATATAGATCTAAAAGAAACTGAAATGTCAATCAAAGTAGTATCCTAAAAACTGTATGAGAGCCAGATGAATTTGTTCTTTAGATGTTCCATAAACCTTTAAGAAACAAATAATTCCAATTTATACAAATTATTTCAAAATATATGAAACATTTCCTAGCCCATTCCTCAAAGCTAAACAACACTGACATCAAAACCAGAAAAAGACAGTACAAGGAAAGTCAATTATTTATTTTAACTAATAAACACATAAACTAAATTTCTAACTTAGCTAACTGAACACCAAAGTGTGTCAAAATAATAATATATAGTGACCAAGTAAGTTTGTCTCCAAGTATGAGTCCAAGGATGGTTTCAATGAAATTAAAATTAAAAGAGAAAATTTTTATGAGCATTACAAATGAGACCAAAAACCGTAAATAGTTCTCCTTAATATGCATGTACATGGATATGTATTATATGATATACAGTATGCATATAGATATGTATAATGCATATTTAGAACCATAGATAATTCTCCTTAATATGCATATATTAGATATTATATTTATATATTCTATATCATATAATATGGATGTACATATCTATGTACATGCATATTAAGGAGAATTATCTATGGTTCTATATATACATATATGTATATATCTATAATACATACATTGATATAGAGACACATATCTATATATACAGAGACATATGTTTATAATTTATATATATTCACCATATATTTACATATGTATTAATTCAGTTAGAGTCCATCTAAGATATAGAATAGAAACCCCAACAGTTATTTTTACAGAAATAATTCAATATAAAGAATTGCTATCCGACCAGATATTGAAAAATGGAGAAGGCAAGAGGGAATACTAAAATATCATGGTATAAGCAACATAGGAAGCAGCTACCTAGTGCTGAGACAACAAAGGGAAGAGGTTAGAATTATAATATAAATACTAAACTTAGAAACTTGAGTGGCTTCTCAGAGCTGGGACCTAGACCGCTCAGTAGGGGGCGCTTGCTGGTTGGCGTTGGTGTCTTTAAAAAACCCTAAGGAGCTAGTTCTAGGAATGCTGTCAAAACTAAAACTGGAAATAACTGTTGCTACTGAAACAAACTATAACTGCTGAAATGAAAAGTAATCGTTAGGGTGTCGTTAAACAGAACAGGAAGCAAACAGGAAGTGTCTTCCTTCTTCCCCACTCAGCCTTCCAGTCCGCCCCTAGCGTCCTCTGATTGGCAGATCCTAACAGGGAGCTTAGTGGCAAAAGATAAATGTGATTTGTAGAATCCCAGGCAGCGTCACAGAGTGTACATGGGTGGGGCTAAAATTAAGGCAATAGCTTAACCCCAGCTTATGTACATATGTATACACCTGGGGGTCACAATGTACTTCCCATAGCTTGGATTTTTCTCTGTACATCCAAATCAAATAGCTTTATTTCTTTTATTGTTTTTTATCATTATACACAAAAATATTAAGAAACAAGAATAGCCCAAATTTTAATAGTTGTACTACATGTACATACATATTATTTTTATAAGACTCAGAATTTAAACCATATTTCCCTTCACTTATACCGCCTCTCATTATTTGAATATATTTATTTTAATTTCACCCTTCATTAGTTCAGTTATTCAAATAATTCATGCATGGGTTTCTTAAAGTCAAGCCCTATGTGTACGTTTAAATAAGGTAAGGGTTTAATACAAATGGTATTTACATTAACATACTCTTGAGACGCTTTTTGTGAATTGTGTGATTTTTAAATAGTTTTTTGTTTGGATTTGTTTTTTGCGGGTGGTGGGGGCAGGTGCGGCGGGTGAGAATTGGGTTTGTTGTTATCGTTGTTGCTGTTGTTTTAGCTGGTTCCTTAGGTTGTAAAGCAGTAAAGTCCCTGGGTAGAGAGGGAAGCAAAGGGTGACAAGAGTCATGGATTCTCAAGGGAAAAAGTCTGCCTATCCAATGGCCTGAGTGCTTTTCTTCTGCCCCTACAAGAGCCCATTTTCAACACTTCTGCCAGACAAGGTGACTCTTCTATTATTCAACCATTCTTCTGCATTTTGCAATAAACTCAGTTCCCTCCTGTGTTCCTCTTCCTTCCCCATTTCTGTCCCTCACTTTGCCTCCCTCACTCTGTGCCCACTGAGACTGTGACTGTGGGCTACTATTATCACTGTGGCATAAAAGAAATTGCTGAACCGGAACATTTGCAAGCCTTTCTTCAACTCACATGTCCTTTGAATTATCTCCTTTCACTGCTTCTATTCACAGCAAAGCTTATCTAAAGAGTTATCTACATTAACTTTTTTTCTATTTTCTCCTCATTCTGTTTATCTTTAAAGTTGTGTTATTATGAAGCAATGTTTATTTAAAACCAATGTATATTTCACCAAAGACAATATTCAAATGGCCATTAAACTCATGAAAACTTTCTCATCATCCTTAGACACTAGAGAAATGCCAAAGAAAATCACAATGAGATACCACTTCACATCTACTAGGATGGCCATAATTTAAGAAACAGATAATAACAAGTATCCATGGGGACACTTGTGGGAATATAAAATGGTATCATCACTCTGGAAAACAGGTCTAACAGTCCCTCAGATTAAATATAGAATAACTTTATGATGCAGCAATTCTACTCCTAGTTACATACCCAGCAGAAATGAAATTATTAATATATGTCCACATAAAAACTTGGTACATGAATGTATATTACAGCACTGTTCCTAACAGACAAAAAGTGGAAACCATTAAATATCAAGTGATGAATGGAAAAGAAACGTGTTATATCCATACAATGGAATATTATTCAGCAATAAAAAGAAATGAAGTACTGATATGTACTGTAACATGGATGAACCTTGAAAATATTATGCTAAGTGAGAGGAACCAGACACAAAAACCACATATTATTTGGTGCTATTTATATGAAATATTCAGCACAGGAAAATCTATAGAGAAAAGTAGAATAGTGGTTGCCTAGGGCTGGAGATGTTAGGGAGGAGGAGATTGGGATTGACTGCTAATGAGTCCCAAGTTTCTTTATTAGGGTGTTAAAAATGTTCTAAAATGTATTGTGGTGGTGGCTATCAGAGTAGCAGGAGGCAGCCAAATACCTAGGCAGATAGGGGTGGCTCCATGGTGAAACCCCACCTCCGAGCCAAAGAGCTTAAAGCCTGAAAACCAAGCTGCAAGTTAAATCCTCAGACTGACTTGAGAACTTGTTTTCCTGTTTGTCATGCTTTCTGTGATTGATCCTCACCCTTCATCTATTTTACATATACCTACCCTTTCCTAATTGGTCTTCTACACTCTCATGCCCACGTCTGAGTGGTGTCTTTGTTTTAACCTTTTTTGCATACTCACAAACCAATCAGCATGCACTCTCCATTCTGAGTCCATAAAAGACCCCAGACCCAGCCACATGGGGCGGCAGGTTGGGGGGCCTTCCCACCTTCAGGTAGGGGAACCACCCCCTTCCCCACATACACTCTCCACTGAGAGTTTTCATTTCGCTTAATTAATTCTACTCCACTCACTCTCTGGTGTCCACGTGCCTAATTCTTCCTGGTCATTTGACAAGAACTCAGACCTAGCTGAGCTAAGGAACACAAAGAGTCTATCAGTTACATAATTGTAAATATACTAAAAACCATTAAATTATACATTTTAAAGGAAATGTATGATGGTATATGAATTATATCTCAAAGCTGTTACTTTTTTATAAAGGAACAAAAAAATGTATATACAGTCCAAACAACATCTAATTTTTAAAAAACCTAAAATTTCTGCCATATCCTCCGTATGCTCTTCGTTTTTTTCTAACTCCTATATGAAACATAGGAGTTATGCATACATTCTGAACATTAATCCTTTGTTGGTTAAAAGTATTGCAAATTTCTTTCAATTTGATGCTTATTTTTTACAAAATTTAAAGTATCTTTGAACGAAGAAAAGGCCTTAATTTTTTAAATCTAATTTAAAATTAGACTGTTTAAATCTAATTTAAAATTAGACTGTTTAAATCTAATTTAAAATTAGACTGTTTAAATCTAATTTAAAATTAGACTGTTTAAATCTAATTTAAAATTAGTCTGTTTAAATCTAATTTAAAATTAGACTGTTTAAATCTAATTTAAAATTAGACTGTTTAAATCTAATTTAAAATTAGACTGTTTAAATCTAATTTAAAATTAGATTGTTTAAATCTAATTTATCAGCCTTTCCATTTTGACATTATGCTACATGTGATTGCTTAAGAAATTTTCCCCTACCCTGTAAAATATTCTTAAACATTTATTCTCTAAATATTTTAAAGTTTTGTTTTTCACATCTAAATCCTAAATCTGCCTGGAATTGAATTTCATATATGATGTGAAGTAGAGATCCAATTATAAATTTTCTATATAAATAATCATTGTACCAGGTGACTTAATAAAAGAATTATTTGCTCACTAATATTCAATGCTACCTTTTCAAAATATTTAATTTCCCTAAATTAACATGTCAATTTCTGAACTTTCTGTTCTATTCCATTGATCTACATAATCATCCATTCTTAATTATAGCAGCATTATTATAAGCCCCTTGATTTTGTTTCTTTAAGCATATGTTGGCTATTCTTGGCCGTTTGTTCTTCCATGTATATATTAGAATCAGCTTGTCTAATCTCATAAAAATTAGTGTTTGGGATTTTTATTAAATTGCATTAGACTATATATCAATTTGGAAAGAATTTGGACCTTTATGCTATTGTGTCTCCCTATGATCTGTCTCTCTTCTTTAACATTGTTGAATAAAGTTTTCTGGATTTTCTTCTTTGAGGTCTTGCACATCTTTATTTGATTTATTACTAGGACCTTAATATATTTTACTGCTCTTGTAAATAATATATTTTAAAATATATTTCCTAATCTTTCATCCTTGTGTATAGATTTGCAATTGAGATTTATATTTTGTATATCCAATACTGTCACTAAGCTTTCATACTAATTCAAATAGTTTTCCTGTATGTTGTAGAGGACTTTCTGTGAAGTTAATTTTATCAATTATAAGTAATGACAAAAAAAGTCTTCCGCTCATATTCCAATATATTTTTGTTTTCTTGTCTTCCTGAGCATTCTGAGACCTCCAATATAATACTAAAAAAGAAAAAAGAGGAAGACTGGGAGAGCAAGAAAAAGAGAGAAAAAAGCAAAAAATAAAAACATATGCATGTCTGTCATGTTTCATTTTAAAAGGAGTGTTTCTACTATTTAATCTTCAAGCATGATGTTTGCTGTAGGCTTTTAGTAAAAATGGTTTTTCAGGTTGAAAACTTTTCCTTCTACTCTGAACTTCCTGATAATTTTTATCATTAATGCATAGAGAAGTTTTCCTCCATCTACTACAATATTTGTATATTTTTTCTTTAGTATCTTCTATTTTTAATGTGATATGTTACATTTAATGTTAAATCAACTTTGCCATTTCAGTGATGTTTTAAATTTTTATGGGAATTCAAACAATAAACCTGTGCCCATGTGCATTAGAATTTTTTTGATGTTGTGTAGCAGTCTCAAGTAACCTAGTAGAAAAATGAATCAAAGACCATAATAAACTATAGCAATAGTTTATTAACCGTAAAAGGTTAACTTTTAAGGAATACCAACTTTTAATATCCTTAAAAATTCACTCAAGAAGCAATCATAAGACAATTTTATTTTACCACGAAAAAAGGAAATTTATAAACATTTTGGTCAATGTTTGACCAAAATTAACTCCACAAAGAACTTACATTTCATCAACAATTCAAGGCCCTTTGGGATTACCCAGCAGTTTCCTCTTATAAGCCAAGAGAATCGCTGCTCTGGTCACAGTCTACACTCTACCAGCCATATCTATTTACCCTCTCCTTACTAAAGCAAAACCTCTGCTTCTCAAATTTTGAATTGCTTTATATTTCCAGACATTTTCTTTTTGGAAAACTCTTTTTTCTTCCTTCAAACTACTACTTAAAATTTTTCATAACGTTTTTCTTCTCTGAATGTCTCTCTCTGATTCAATTATCCTACACTTTTTATGAAACTATTCTTATTCTTCAACTATTATTTCTAGTCATTGGTAATGTATTACATTTTGATAATAATTGTGTAAAATACATAAATAGCATGATGTCTGACACATAAATTGCATTTGATATATACTAATTATCTAGTTAAATTCTTTTCCCCATTAAATGCAAGCTAGTCACATGCTATGTACAGCATTCACACTTCCCTATACAGAACTATTTTGTTTTGCATGTAATTAACATTCTGTAATATGTCCAAAAGCTATTAATCCTCTCCCCCTCAACCACTATGAATATACCATACATTCTTCTCTCACAGTGCTCTGCTTTGCAGCGTACATTTTTTTCCTATTCATTGTTGCAATTTCTACTAGTAAATTGGCCTCTTTCTTATACTTGATCAGAGTATAAGGTGTTAGACTACATGTTGGACTACAAGCATCTTGTAATTAGAGCCAAGACTTACATCTGATAACGAATTATCATTCATGCTCAATAAACTTACATTTCAGGTTGCCAGTGAATGGGGAATTTGCTGCCAAGTGTTTTTGGAGCAATGTTTTGAATCTTCTACCAGATACAGACATAATAAAATTAGCATTTGAAAATGCTTTCTGTATTTCTACAGAAAGTAAAATCAATGCTAATAAAAGAAAAAGAAATGAGTATTACCAATTAAAGCCTTTAATAAAATAAAAACTCTAAAAGTGACAGAGGATAGTTAAATAATGTGAACTACTGTCTGAAATAAGTGACCTCATAACCTGATTTTCAAACTCTAAGTAAAACCAAGGGCATATGACATCTTTAGGCCATTTCCTGTGCATATATTCTAATATGGTTTGGATTTGTGTCCCCACCAATATTTCATGTCAAATTATAATCCCCAATGTTGGAGGAGGGACCTGTTGGGAGGTGACTAGATCATGGGGGCTGATTTCCCCCTTGCTGTTCTCATGATAGTGAGTGAGTTCTCATGAGATCTGGTTGTTTAAAAATGTGTACTATTGGGAAGGTGGTTCCAAGATGGCCAAATAGAAACAGCTCCAGTCTACAGCTCCCAGTGTGAGCAACGCAGAAGACGGATGATTTCTGCATTTCCAACTAAGGTGCTGGGTTCATCTCACTGGGGCTCGTCAGTCAGTGGGGGCAGAACAGTGGGTGCAGCACACCAAGTGTGAGCCAAAGCAGGGCGAGGCATTGCCTCACCCGGGAAGCACAAGGGGTCAGGGAATTCCCTTTCCTAGCCAAGGAAAAGGGTGACAGACAGCACCTGGAAAATCGGGTCACTCACACCCTAATGTGTCCGGAATTGGTGGGTTCTTAGTCTCACTGACTTCAAGAATGAAGCCGCGGACCTTCACGGTGAGTGTTACAGCTCTTAAGGTGGATCGTCTGGAGTCTGTTCCTTCTGATGTTCGGATGTGTTCAGAGTTTCTTCCTTCTGGTGGGTTCGTGGTCTCTTTGGCTCAGGAGTGAAGCTGCAGACCTTTGCGGTGAGTGTTACGGGTCTTAAGGTGGCGCGTCTGGAGTTGTTCATTCCTCCCGGTGGGTTCATGGTCTTGCTGGCTTCAGGAGTGAAGCTGCAGACCTTCACAGTGAGTGTTACAGCTCATAAAGGCAGTGTGTACCCAAAGATTGAGCAGCAGCAAGATTTATTTCAAAGAGCGAAAGAACAAAGCTTCCACAGTGTGGAAGGGGACCCCAGCCGGTTGCCACTGCTGGCTCGGGCAGCCTGCTTTTATTCTCTTATCTGGCCCCACCCACATCCTGCTGATTGGTCCATTTTACAGAGAGCCGAGTGGTCTGTTTTGACAGGGTGCTGATTGGTGTGTTTAAAATCCCTGAGCTGGACACAAAGGTTCTCCAAGTCCCCACCAGAGTAGCTAGATACAGAGTGTCGATTGGTGTTATTTACAATCTCTTAGCTAGACATAAAAGTTTTCCAAGTCCCCACCAGAGTAGCTAGACACAGAGTGTCGATTGGTGTATTCACAAAACCTGAGCTAGACACAGGGTGCTGATTGGTGTGTTTACAAACCTTGAGCTAGAGACAGAGTGCTGATTGGTGTATTTACAATCCCTTAGCTAGACATAAAGGTTCTCCAAGTTCCCACTAGACACAGGAGCCCAGCTGGCCTCACCCAGTGGATCTCGCACTGGGGCTGCTGGTGGAGCTGCCTGCCAGTCCTGTGCTGTGCGCCCACACTCCTCAGCCCTTGGGTGGTCGATGGGACTGGGCACCATGGAGCAGTGGGCAGCGCTCGTCGGGGAGGCTCAGGCTGCACAGGAGCCCGTGGGGGTGGGGGCGGGACTCAGGCATGGCGGGCTGCAGGTCCCGAGCCCTGCCCCACAGGAAGGCAGCTAAGGCCTGGAGAGAAATCGAGCACAGCACTGGTGGGCTGGCACTGCTGGGGGACCCAGCACACCCTGCGCAGCCGCTGGTCCGGGTGCTAAGCTCCTCATTCCCCAGGGCTGGCAGGGCCAGGTGGCCACTCTGAGAGGGCCCTCTGGCAGGGCCCACCAAGCCCATGCCCACCCAGAACTCCAGCTGGCCCGTAAGCACCCTGTGCAGCCCTGGTTGCCGCTCGCACCTCTCCTTCCACACCTCCCTGCAAGCTGAGGGAGCCGGCTCCAGCCTTGGCCAGCCCAGAAAGGGGCTCCCACAGTGCAGCGGTGGGCTGAAGGGCTCCTCAAGTGCTGCCAAAGTGGGAGCCCAGGCAGAGGAGGTGCTGAGAGCAAGCGAGGGCTGTGAGGGCTGCCAGCATGCTGTCACCTCTCACTAATATTGCCCTTTTCCAACGGTCTTAGCAAACGGCACACCAGGAGATTATATCCCACACATGGCTCAGAGGGTCCCATGCCCACGGAGCCCCCTTCATTGCTAGCACAGCAGTCTGAGATCAAACTGCAAGGCTGCAGTGAGGCTGGGGGTGGGGCGCCCACCATTGCTGAGGCTTGAGCAGGTAAACAAAGCAGCCAGGAAGCTCGAACTGGGTGGAGCTCACCGCAGCTCAAGGAGGCCTGCCTGCCTCTGTAGATGCCACCTCTGGGGGCAGGGCACAGCCAAACAAAAGGCAGCAGAAACCTCTGCAGACTTAAATGTCCCTGTCTGACAGCTTTGAAGAGAGTAGTGGTTCTCCCAGAATGGAGTTTGAGATCTGAGAACAGACAGACTGCCTCCTCAAGTGGGTCCCTGAACCCTGAGTAGCCTAACTGGGAGACACTCCCCAGTAGGGGCAGACTGACACCTCACACAGCCAGGTACCCCTCTGAGATGAAGCTTCCAGAGGAACAATCAAGCAGCAACATTTGCTGTTCAGCAATATTCACTGTTCTGCAGCCTCCACTGCTGATATCCAGGCAAACAGGGTCTGGAGTGGACCTCCAGTAAACTCCAACAGACCTGCAGCTGAGGACCCTAACTGTTAGAAGGAAAACTAAGAAACAGAAAGGACATCCACACCAAAACCCCATCTGTACGTCACCATCATCAAAGACCAAAGGTAGATAAAACCACAAAGATGGGGAAAAAACAGAGCAGAAACGCTGAAAATTCTAAAAATCAGAGCGCCTCTCCCTCTCCAAAGGAACACAGTTCCTCACCAGCAATGGAACAAAGCTGGATGGAGAATGACTTTGACGAGTTGAAAGAAGAAGGCTTCAGAAGATCAAACTTCTCCAAGCTAAAGGAGGAAGTTAGAACGCATTGCAAAAAAAGCTAAAAACCTTGAAAAAAGATTAGACGAATGGCTAACTAGAATAACCAATGTAGAGGAGTCCTTAAATGACGTGATGGAGCTGAAAAACATGGCATGAGAACTATGTAATGAATGCACAAGCTTCAGTAGCTGATTCGATCAACTGGAACAAAGGATATCAGTGACTGAGGATCAAATGAATGAAATGAAGTGAGAAGAGAAGTCTAGAGAAAAAAGAGTAAAAAGAAACAAACAAAGCCTTCAAGAAATATGGGACTATGTGAAAAGACCAAATCTACATCTGATTGGTGTACCTGAAAGTGATGGGGAGAATGGAACCAAGTTGGAAAACACTCTGCAGGGTATTATCCAGGAGAACTTCCCCAACCTAGCAAGGCAGGCCAACATTCAAATTCAGGAAATACAGAGAACGCCACAAAGATACTCCTTGAGAAGAGCAACTCCAAGAAACGTAATTGTCAGATTCACCAAAGTTGAAATGAAGGAAAAAATGTTAAGGGCAGCCAGAGAGAAAGGTCGGGTTGCCCACAAAGGGAAACCCTTCAGACTAACAGTAGATCTCTTGGCAGAAACTCTAGAAGCCAGAAGAGAGTGGGGCCAATATTCAACATTCTTAAAGAAAAGAATTTTCAAACCAGAATTTCATATCCAGCCAAACTAAGCTTCATAAGTGAAGGAGAAACAGAATTCTTTACAGAGAAGCAAATGCTGAGAGATTTTGTCACCACCAGGCCTGCCCTAAAAGAGCTCCTGAAGGAAGCACTAAACATGGAAAGGAACAACTGGTACCAGCGACTGCAAAAACATGACAAATTGTAAAGACCACTGATGCTAGGAAGAAACTGCATTAACTAACAAGCAAAATAGCCAGCTAACATCATAATGACAGAATCAAATTCACACATAACAATATTAACCTTAAATGTAAATGGGATAAATGTACCAATTATAAGACACAGACTGGCAAATTGGATAAAGAGTCAAGACCCATCAGTGTGCTGTATTCAGGAGACCCAGCTCACATGCAGAGACACACATAGACTCAAAATAAAGGGATGGAGGAAGATCAACCAAGCAAATGGAAAACAAAAAAAGGCAGGGGTTGCAATCCTAGTCTCTGATAAAACAGACTTTAAACCAATAAAGATCAAAAGAGACAAAGAAGGTCATTACATAATGGTAAAGGGATCAATTCAACAAGAAGAGCTAACTATCTTAAATATATATGCACCCAATACAGGAGCACCCAGATACATAAAGCAAGTCCTTAGAGACCTACAAAGAGACTTAGACTCCCACACAATAATAATGAGAGAATTTAACACCCCACTGTCAACATTAGACAGATCAACGAGACAGAAAGTTAACAAGGATATCCAGGAGTTGAACTCAGCTCTGCACCAAGTGGACCTAATAGACATCTAAAGAACTCTCCACCCCAAATCACCTTTAAATGGGACACATTTAAAGCAGTGTAGAGGGAAATTTATAACACTAAATGCCCACAAGAGAAAGCAGGAAAGATCTAAAATTGACACCGTAACATCACAATTAAAAGAACTAGAGAAGCAAGAGAACACACATTCAAAAGCTAGCAGACGGCAAGAAATAACTAAGATCAGAGAAGAACTGAAGGAAATACAGATACAAAAAAAACCCTTCAAAAAATCAATGAATCCAGCAGCTGGTTTTTTGAAAAGATCAACAAAATTGATAGACAGCTAGCAAGAATAATAAAGAAGAAAAGAGAGAAGAATCAAATGGACTCAATAAAAAATGATAAAGGGGATATCACCACCAATCCCGCAGAAATACAAACTACCATCAGAGAATACTATAAACACTTCTATGTAAATAAACTAGAAAATCTAGAAGAAATGGAAAAATTCCTGGACACATACACCCTCCCAAAACTAAACCAGGAAGAAGTTGAATCCCTGAATAGATCAATAACAGGCTCTGAAATTAAGGCAATAATTAATAGCCTACCAACCAAAAGAAGTCCAGGACCAGATGGATTCACAGCCGAATTCTACCAGAGGTACAAGGAGGAGCTGGTACCCTTCCTTCTGAAACTATTCCAATCAATAGAAAAAGAGAGAATCCTCCCTAACTCATTTCATGAGGCCAGCATTATCCTGATACCAAAGCCTGGCAGAGACACAACAAAAAAAGAGAATTTTAGACCAACATCCCAGATGAACATTTGTGCAAAAATCCTCAATAAAATACTGGCAAACCTAATCCAGCAGCACATCAAAAAGCTTATCCACCATGATCACCTGGGCTTCATCCTTGGGATGCGAGGATGGTTCAACATATGCAAATCAATAAATGTAATCCAGCATACAAACAGAACCAAAGACAAAAACCACATGATTATCTCAATAGATGAAGAAAAGCCCTTTGACAAAATTCAACAGCCCTTCATGCTAAAAACTTTCAATAAATTAGGTATTGATGGGGTGTATCTCAAAAAAACAAGAGCTATTTATGACAAACCCACAGCCAATATCATACTGAATGGACAAAAACTCAAAGCATTCCCTTTGAAAACTGGCACAACACAGGGATGCCCTCCCTCACCACTCCTATTCAACATAATAACAGGCAGGAGAAAGAAATAAAGGTTATTCAGTTAGGAAAAGAGGAAGTCAAATTGTCCCTGTTTGCAGATGACATGATTGTATATTTAGAAAACCCCATTGTCTCAGCCCAAAATCTCCTTCAGTTGATAAGCAACTTCAGCAAAGTCTCAGGATACAAAATCAATGTGCAAAAATCACAAGCATTCTTACACACCAATAACAGACAAACAGAGAGCCAAATCATGAGTGAACTCCCATTCACAATTGCTTCAAAGAGAATAAAATACCTAGGAATCCAATTTACAAGGGATGTGAAGGACCTCTTCAAGAACTACAAACCACTGCTCAATGAAATAAAAGAGGATACAAACGAATGGAAGAAAATTCCATGCTCATGGGTAGGAAGAATCAATATCATGAAAATGGCCTTACTGCCCAAGGTAATTTATAGATTCAATGACATCCCCATCAAGCTACCAATGACTTGCTTCACAGAATTGGAAAAAACTACTTTAAAGTTCATATGGAATCTGAAAAGAGCTCACATTGCCAAGACAATCCTAAGCCAAAAGAACAAAGCTGGAGGCATCACACTACCTGACTTCAAACTATACTACAAGGCTACAGTAACCAAAACAGCAGGTAGTGGTAACAAAACAGAGATATACACCAATGGAACAGAACAGAGCCCTCAGAAATAATACCACACATCTACAACCATCTGATCTTTGACAATCCTGACAAAAACAAGAAATGGGGAAACAATTCCCTATTTAACAAATGGTGCTGGGAAAACTGGCTAGCCATATGTAGAAAGCTGAAACTGGATCCCTTCCTTATACCTTACACAAAAATTAATTCAAGATGGATTAAAGACTTACATGTTAGACCTAAAACCATAAAAACCCTAGGAGAAAACCTAGGCAATACCATTCAGGACATAGGCATGGTCAAGGACTTCATGTCTAAAACACCAAAAGCAATGGCAACAAAAGCCAAAATTGACAAATGAGATCTAATTAAACTAAAGGGCTTCTGCACGGCAAAAGAAACTACCATCAGAGTGAACAGACAACCTACAGAATGGGAGAAAATTTTTGCAATCTACTTATCTGACAAAGGGCTAATATCCAAAATCTACAAAGAACTCAAACAAATTTACAAGAAAAAAACAAACAACCCCATCAAAAAGTGGACGAAGGATATGAACAGACACTTCTCAAAAGAAGACATTTATGCAGCCAACAGACACATGAAAAAATGCTCATCATCACTGGCCATCCGAGAAATGCAAATCAAAACCACAATCAGATACCATCTCACACCAGTTAGAATGGCAATCATTAAAAAGTCAGGAAACAACAGGTGCTGGAGATGATGTAGAGAAATAGGAACACTTTTACACTGTTGGTGAGACGGTAAACTAGTTCAACCATTGTAGAAGACAGTGTGGCGATTCCTCAGGGATCTAGAACTAGAAATATCATTTGACCCAGCCATCCCATTACTGGGTATATACCCAAAGGATTAGAAGTCATGCTGCTATAAAGACACATGCACACGTATGTTTATTGCGGCACTATTCACAATAGCGAAGACTTGGAACCAACCCAAATGTCCATCAATGATAGACTGGATTAAGAAAATGTGGCACATATACACCATGGAATACTATGCAGCCATAAAAATGGATGAGTTCATGTCCTTTGTAAGGACATGGATGAAGCTGGAAACCATCATTCTCAGAAAACTATCACAAGGACAAAAAAAAACAAACACCGCATGTTCTCACTCATAGGTGGGAATTGAACAATGAGAACACTTGGACACAGGAAGGGGAACATCACACACCAGGGCCTGTCATGGGGTGGGGGAGGGGGGAGGGAAAGCATTAGGAGATATACCTAATGTAAATGACGAGGTAATAGGTGCAGCACACCAACATGGCACATGTATACATATGTAACAAACCTGCACATTGTGCATATGTACCCTAGAACTTAAAGTATAATAAAAAAAAAAAGAAAAAGAAAAATACTGGAATAAGATTGCCAAATTAGATACAAAGCTTAAAAAAAAAAAAGTGTGCACCATCTCCCCCTTCTCTCTCTTCCTCCTGCTCTGGTCATGTAAGACGTCCCTACTTCCCCTTCACTTTCCACCATGATTAAAAGTTTCCTGAGGCCTCCCCAGCCATGCTACCCAAACAGCCTATGAAACCATGAGGCAATTAAACCTCTTTTCTTTATAAATTACCTAGTCTCCGATATTTCTTTATAGCAATGTAAGAATGGACTAATATACATTCAAAGAGAAATAATAAAGTTGAGAAAAAAAGAGTAGCATATTAGCATGCAGAGCAGAAAAACTAGTAATTTTTAAAGTAAATAGTTTAAAGACGACTTGTAATTTTTTACCTAAAGATTGGCTTTCCCACCCTCCCATATCATCTCCTTTCTTGTGTTTTCTCTCATGAGCCATTAGCCTACCAGGTACTAAATGCCTTTGGGGGGATTTTTATCAAATATGCCACTGTCAGGAGTCAGCCTTCTCTACCTACTCTATAATACATCCCTATGAATTATTCTTGTCTACCTCACTACAAGTTCAAACTGTATATTGATGATCTGTGGGCTTCCAATACCTCTGTTTCAGCAGCTTCCAGTCCTGTTAGTGAGATGCAGAGGGGATTGGAGGGGGCCAGAAGCCTTCTCCATTCATGGGTGTTTGACCTCAAGCCCTTCACTCTCCTGGGCCTCAGTGCCTTCACCTGAAAATTAGGAACTTATACTAATCAATGCTAGAGTCCCTGAACTGTACCTGCTATAAGCCAATGAGCAGAAATTGGTACAAGAAGAGAGATTTTTGATATGAAAAAAATTAAATGAAACATCCATATTCTTTCATGCTAAGTAGTTCTCCATGTTAACCTCTACATTTATATTCTTAATTCCCTGGGCCTTCTTAGCCCTGCCAATTTTCTTATTATGAAGCCAATTGGCAATTACAGGTATTTCCTGTAGTCACATAATCCCAAACTCTCAGTTTTCTCTAATTATTATTAGAGTACCAAACAATAGGAACACTAAAGTTACTATTTTCTGTATTGGAGATTCTGAAATCAGTTTATAACTTACTTACATGTGACAGCTGTGAGTTTCTTCTTATGAAAATATATTTTGGCTCTAAATAGGGTAAAACACCAAATAGCAATGTTTCAGTCCAGGTCTGTAGAGAGATGTATAATTTATTATAGAGATTTGACTGGGTACAATCATGAGAGCTGGTTGCACAGTAAGGATACTAAAAATTGACCACTCTGGCATTATGGGAGGCAGTGGGTGACCTTGACAAGAGTGATTTCAGTGAAATGGCAAGGATGAAACTATAATTGCAATGAGCTTCAGGAAGTACGCAATGCAAAGAAATGGAGATGTGAATATAAGTAACAATTTCAAGGAATTTGGCTGTAGAGTAACAGAAAAATGAGACATATACTGGAGGTGAATGTGGATTAAGGGAGTTTTGTTTTGCTTTCAAAGAAAGAAAATATTGCATGTTTATGCAAAAGACCATGTAAATAGTAAAAATTGCCACTGCAGGATGAAGAGCCAACTGCAGAATGAGCTACTTGAAAATATCAGAGGATGAGAGGTAGTGTATAAGTCAAGGGCTTGTCTTACATGGGAGTAGATAATCAATTGCAGCAAGAGGGAAGGTGGAGTATGTGGGTACAGATGAGATCTCTGCTCCAACCACTTGTCTACATCACCTAAATACATCCTTCAAGTTTCAGCTCAAATGTAATTTATTCCAGGAAGTATTCCCTGCCCCCTTAACTGGGGTCCACTGACCTTATCTGTGCACCTCTACCCTCCTGACATAGGGCATAATACTTCACTTTTAATGATGCAATAACATGGTCCTGTTAAACTGGGTAGCTAATCACACATGAGCAGGGCAGGAGAGGGCCCTCCCAACCCCCCCATACACACACCAGCTGACCATCAGGTGATGATCAAGTGGTTGTTTACTGTGTCTCTAAAATAATAATTAGTTGCAGCCTGTGCCAGGGAAAGGCAGTCTCACAATACATAGGAAAAATCTGAAACTGGTGATCAGCCGCTTCCCCCTAAGATTTCAGGAATTGGGCGAGTGGGCTCAAGCATGAGCACTAAGAGGCAAAACAGCAGAGCTTAACTGGTACATCACTTTCCCCTAGGAATGCTAGACCGGGAAGGGAAGAACCACTCTAGGGAGCATGCGTACAACTCCAGTAAACACACTGCGCCTACGGCCTCTCCCAAACGCTAGTAGGCCACTGCGCATACAGACGGCGCACCCTCCAGGGAAAAATCAGGAAATCAGGGACACAAGACCCCAGAAGTATGCCAATATACTAAACCGTAAGTCAAGGTCAAACAGCGCACTTGGTCTCTCAAGTCACCTGCTTGGCCCTCTTCCAAGTGTACTTTCCTTTCTTTCATTCCTGCTCTCTAAAGCTTTTAAATAAACTTTCACTTCTGCTATAAAACTTGCCTCTGTCTCTCCTTCTGCCTCATGCCTCCTCCGTCGAATTCTTCTGAGGACGCAAGAGTTGAGGTTCCTGCAGACCCCTACGGATCCACTGCCACTAACAGTGCCTTTCCAGGTCCTTCTCACTCACAACTTGGTTCTTTTTTTTTTTTTTTTTTTTTTTTTTTGGAGAGTGAGTCTCGCTCTGTCGCCCAGGCTGGAGTGCAGTGGCGCGATCTCGGCTCACTGCAAGCTCCACCTCCCGGGTTCGCACCATTCTCCTGTCTCAGCCTCCAGAGTAGCTGGGACTACAGGCGCCCACCACCATGCCCGGCTAATTTTTGTATTTTTAGTAGAGACGGGGTTTCACCGTGTTAGCCAGGATGGTCTCAATCTCCTGACCTCATGATCCGACAGCCTTGGCCTCCCAAAGTGCTGGGATTACAGGCTTGAGCCACCGTGCCCGGCCACAGCTTGGTTCTTAGAGCTCCTTGTGCCTCAGCCCTAGCACAGGGTTGGTCCGTAAGAGACAACAGGTGTTACCAAAGAGGAAGAAAATTAATCAAGACAGAAGATATAAAGCACTTTGGGAGGCCAAGGAGGGCAGATCACGAGGTCAGGAGATCGAGACCATCCTGGCTAACACGGTGAAACCCCATCTCTACTAAAAATACAAAAAAAAAAAAAAAATTAGCCAGGCGTGGTGGCGGGCGCCTGTAGTCCCAGCTACTCGGGAGGCTGAGGCAGGAGAATGGCATGAACCCGGGAGGTGGAGCTTGTAGTGAGCCGGGATCGCACCACTGCACTCCAGCCTGGGCGACAGAGCGAGACTCTGTCTCAAAAAAAAAAGAAATAGGAAAAAATAAAGGAAACCATGTCACCATTCACTGAAGACTCCATTCAGATAGAAACCATCCCAGGATTTGTATTCCAAAGATGCAGAAATCATGAAAACTAAATTTGTAAAAACTAAATAGACGTGAGATACAGTAAAGCCTGCTGAAAGAGAATGTGTCACACTTTGGTATTAAGCTGACTTCAAATTCAATTTCAGAGCACCAGACTTCAAAAAAATAAATTTAAAAGTATCTCACAAAAATATTACTCAAAAGTAACTGTGGTGCTCAAGCAAACGATTTTGGATCATTTTTCAATACCATGCTTGTTTGCAGAGAATCAAAAGCAATGTTATCTTGTCATCTGTTCTCCAGATTTTCTTCCCTAGTCATTCTTCTGCCTTTCCTATCACCTTCATTTAAAAACAATCAAATGTGCTGTCACAGACACTAAATTATAACTTTAGGTTCAAAACAAGTAATGAGGAACTCTCTAAAAAAAAAAAAAAAGGAACTCTCTCTCTAAAAAAAGAGAGAGAGAAAGTACATCACCACTGACTGCATGCAATGTGAAAAATGAAGCAATAGAAATGGGCTAGAATTTTCTCTTGGGTACCCTCCCTTAATATAAAATTGTAACCAGCCAACAGATTCTTCCTGCACTGCATAGACAAAACCAACTCAGGAGACCACAGCATTGCAATGAAGAAGGAGTTTAATTGACACAAGGCCAGCCACACCATGTGGGAGACAGAGTAATAACTCAAACCGATCTCCCAGAAAATTCGGAGGCTATGGTTTTTCAATAATAGTTTGGTGGGCCAGGGAGTCCGCTTCTGGGTGGGGCCACAGGACTGGTCAGAGGGCGTGGGGAGGTCCAGGTGAAGCTATTGGTCATCAGAAATGCAAACACCTGAAAAAACATCTCAAAAGGCCAATCTTAGTTCCAGAGATGTTATCTGCAGCAATAATTGGGGGATTTGCAAATCTTGTGACTTCTGGAATCATGGTGGGTAATCCTTTAGGTCAACACCTGAGCAGAATTCAGATTGCTCATCCTCCTAACCTGGTTGTCTTTTATCAGCTGTACCAAGGTGGTTTAGTTTGGGAGAAGGGCTATTATCATTTAAACTACAAAATAAATGTCTTTCGAAGTTAGCGTGGCCTGAGCCCAGGAGTGATGAAGGGCAGTTGGAAGGTTAAAAGGCAAGATGGGAGTTAGTTAGACAGATCTCCTCACTGTCATAGTTTCCTCACTGTTTTAATTTTTGCAAAGGCAGTTTCAGAATTGGCTTTGCAATCTGCAAGAAGACGTGGGTTCTGCAATAAATAAGCAATCCTAAATCTCTCTTGCTTCTCCTAAGAGGGATACTACACTCCAAGCCCAGAAAACCTGCTTCCTCTGAATTCCTCCTGGGGCAGAAACCAGGCCTCAGACTTTGGGCAAAGAATACAGAATTATGCATCTGACTCGTGTTTTTTGGAGGCCATCAAGTAGTAGCTTCCCTTCCTCCCCCACCATCCCCACCTGGCTCTTACCTAAAATCCTTCCAGTAAATATTTCTTTCTTACTATTTCAGAAGTCAGAATTTCTCTGTGCCAGTGTTTCCTAAACATGCCCAACTATCTGAGTCACCTGGTATGCTCTCTAAAATACAGATTCTCCCAGGACTCTCCCTTGGAGATTATGAATCAATAGGTCTGGGACAGAGCCCAGGCTGCTCCATTAAAATGCAAATGCCCCAGAGGAGAGATAATAGCTTAAGCTCTTGTTTTATTCATTTCATTTATACCTCCTGTCTTTTAAAGACTTTGAAGTGGCTAGTCACAAGGTGGCCTAAAAGTAACTTCACAAGATTCACAGTGTGACAGGAGGCATCCCAAGCTGTCACTGTCCTACTGGGTAACCACAGAAGCATTGTGCACCTCAACATGCCCCCACAGTGTGAGCAGGAAGGAAGAACTCCAGGCCAGAAATCAAGCAACAGTGGAATCCACTCTCAGCCTCTTCATCATTAGTTGTTTGTAAACTTTGTAGCTTATTTAAGATTCTGGGCTAATTTTTTTTAACTATAAAGTGTTGAATTTGATGATATTGGAGGGTGGCTGCCTACCTTATATGCAGAACAGGTGCATTCATCCTGACCCCTCTCATGAGGCTTCTAGGAAAAAGTTGCTAAATCTGATGGGTAACTATTCCCTTAGGGACCCTTCTCTGAGCAAATGCAAGAATGAAACTTTCCATTTTGTCATTTGTTACAGATTTAATTTTGTTCCCCCAAAAGACATGAAAGTTCTAACCCCCAGTATCTCAGAATGTGACCTTATTTAGAAATAGTCATTGAAAATGTAACAAAGTTAAGATGAGGTCATAATGAATTAGGGTGAACTCAATTCCAATATTGGGTGTGCTTCTAAGAAGAGGAAAATTTGGACACAGAGACACTAGGAAGATGACCACATGAAGATGGAGGCAGAAATTGGAGCGAGGCATCTATAAGCCAAAGAACATCAGCTACAGCCTGCAACCACCAGAAACTAGAAAGAGGCAATGGAGGAATTTCCCTAGAGCCTTCAGATAGAGTATGGCCCTACCAACACCTTGATTTCAGATTTCTAACCTCTAGAACTGGAAGAAAATAAATTTATGTTGTTTTAAGCCACTCAGCTTGTGATACCTTTATAGCCGCCCTAGGAAACACCAACTACCTATTAAAATATAAGCACAGAATTGTGATGCTTAGAACTATATTTTACTTAGAGCTAACACTCATCTGTTTAGAGGTCCCACCTCTTTAAAAAAAAGAAAAAAGAAAAACAGAAAAAAAAGTATCGAGAAAGCAACATGTCCTGCCCCTGCCTTCTATTATCACCACTTCCTCTCACTGTGACATTGAAATAGAATGTTAACACACCTCTCCAGCAGTTTACAAACTGTAGAAAAGAAAGAGAATGCGCATGTGGAAGTTGAAACATTCAGCATGCTAATTGACTGCAAAAATAGCTTTATGTAATTTATTAGACTGAAACGAGATTGGGTCTTGCGTATGTGGCTACCAGACAAAATATCTAATGCTGTAGGACACAAAAAGAAATACTCTGGAGTTTGCTTTCATTTTACCCATTATAATTCAGAATTTGTTGTACAGATCATTCTGTTTGTCATCTAGATGGTTTTATTATGGAGGATCTCTGAGGAGTCTTCTATCACACTCACACACCTAAAACCCAGGAACAAAGAATGCTTCCAAGCAGTCAGCCTTGTGTATAACCAGTCTTATTTCAGTCATTGTTGAAGCAACTAAAATATCACAAATAGACCAGGAAAGTGGAGAAAATATAGTCTTCCACGCTGGACTTTCTATACATCATTGTTTTCTCTCTATGAGTGTTAACTGCTAGTCACCAAATTTTCCAAAGACAGAGAGAGATGAACTATTGCCTCTGCTTCTTGCACTAGTGGACAACTCACTCGCTGAGAAATAAATGTTCCTGTACATCTGGACTTTCAAATAATATTTAGGGAGTGTGCTTTGTAAGACTTTCCTCCAGGAAACAAATAAACATTGGCAGGTGAGATAAAACAGGTACGGAGGAAGGCAGTGTGATCATAAGGAACATGCTGGAAAGTGGGCAGGACACTTCATTGCCTCTGTCAGTTTTATATGTGATCCCTCAGGAATGCCCTGATTATTTTTATGTTGGTTACCTGATGAGAGGATTGATTTCAATCTGCAAAGAGTTTATGTTAATCAGCTCTTAGGAAAATTTTAAAGAATAATAAAATATTGTGCTAATAAAAATCCACACTAATTCAATACCTTTACTGCCATTTTCCTTTAGTAGTCATCCACGAATGACTTAAATTGAATGATCAGGTGCCCACATCCTGAGTGGGATGGTATAAGATATATAGCAGAGAAAAGCCAGAAGTCCAGGGTCTCTAGCTCATGGAGAAATTGTACTGGTGAATTTACCCAGGGACACAAAATAATACTTGATTTGACTTTTATTTCTGACTTCAGATTTGGCAGACTAGTCCTATTAGTTAGGATTCAGATCTAACAAAAATCATCACATTAGTGCAAGTCATAATTAGGCAATTACAGCTTCTAATGCCATGATTGTTCATATTTATACTGATAGCACAATTAGACCTAATCACATTAGGGGTTCAAGGATACTAAAGATTTCTATTTTTTTTTAAAGTGCTCCTCACACAAAAGTCATTCTAAGGTCATTTACATTGTTTTTAACCTATAAGATAAAATATGCCTGTAGTCTTCTCCATATTTCTTAATACATAGAATGAGTCAAAATAAAAAATCTGCACAAACATAAAGCCTTTCCCCTGGGTTCCCACCACGACTTGACAGAGACACACACACATAGTCCAGGGCCATCCTCCATCTCCCATTAATGATTTCTCCTGCCAACCTGTCCCTTTAGTACAGACATGTTATTTTTACTAGAAAACACTGGAATCTTTAAGTACAAAAGAAATAAACACTAGGCATAGAGTGACTCAGTTGTCTTCATTAACATAATATTCAACAGTCTGAATCTTCCTCAGTAGTCTGGTTCTTCCTGGGGTGTCTTATGGGACCTTTTTCTTTCTCGCTAGTTCACCTCCCTCCCTTAGGCCAACCCTGAGCTGAATTCTCCATCTTATCCTCTGGGCTTCAGAAACATAAAAATCTTATATGTAAGAAACACATGCCCACCAAGCAAATTAAGGATGAAACTCTTGCTTCAAAGATATCTGAGACTTAACTCCAGCATTTCTCTATCTTGCATATTCTGTCTATTTGTACCCTCCTTTTGCCCTGGACACACAAGTTTGGTCATCATATTATTCAAAAAACTCTTTTATAGACTGGAATTTACTGCACTCTGTCTTCAAAGAACCATTCATTCACATGTCAAAGGAATTCTCATGTAACTTGTACCTGTCATGTGTCATATTATTTTTAATCAGACAGTAGATAAGAACATGGGCTCTGTAGCCAGACTGATCTGGATTCAAGTCTCAGTTCTGTCAGTTACTATCTGTGTGACCTCTGGTACCTTACTTAACTAGTCTGTTCCTTGGTTTCCTCATATATAAGGTGAGGATAAATTTATGTGTCTCTCTTATAGGCCTGTTACAGAGATTCACTGGGATCATGTGTGTAAAGAAGCCAGCACAGTGCCTGATATACAATAAGGCTAATGAATGTTAACAATGATTATTATCATAAATTAAGCACTTAAGTGTGCTCATCAGTATCATCTCTTATCATCAATATCATTGTTATCATCACCTTCATTATCAAATATTACATTTGAAATCTATTGTAGAAATTGAATAGAAGACCCACACTTCAAAATAAGGAAATGGGGCTTATGATGTTGATGTTCTGTCTTCTTCAAGAGTTATCTCTATGTTGTCTTTGTTTCTGTATAGTTTTGATACATTAAAAAGTCATGCTTTTATTATAAGTACCCATTCTTCTCTACTCCCTCACAAATACTTTGTAATGAATAATTACATTTAAAACCAACATTATGAAAACCAACATTATAGGATGAAACTAGAAATGGATGCTCTCACTGGCTAGATATTTCTAGAAATTTCTGTTAGCTAGGGAGGGCAGGATGAGATTGAAGGAAAGGCCTGTGTAAGCTTCCCTATTGTGAAACAGAGCAGCTTATCATGGAAGTCTATGAGGGGGAAAGTCTATTAAGCCCCAGATGAATTTAGAAGAGTTGGGATGGGGAGAGTCTATTAAGCCCCAGATGAATTTAGAAGAGTTGGGAATGGCATTGGGAACAGGCTATTGGACACTGGGGAGATAGCCATGTGGTGTCCTTTGAGTTTTTCTGGAGTTCGATTCCACTGGCAATACTGAAAGACTCAGCGATACCTTCCTGAAATTGGCAGCCCCAAAGCAGGCAGAAATTTAAAAATTAGAAACTCTGCCTGAGATTTCCCTCTGGAATGGGAGTCAAGATAAGCAGAAGAGGACATGGAGTAGAAATATATGAGGCAGTATAGAGAGGAGAATGAATTTCCTGAGTAATTCATCTATAAATGTGCGGTATTGTTAAAACTTTATGTGATGACTATATAGGGCATTCCAACCTTCTGAATTTCCACTTCTCACCTCATTCAAGACTCTGGGGACTCTGAAGCTAAGGGTCCTTCTAAAAATGAGTGAAAAGTACACACACAAACATTAGCCTACCTCAATTCCTACTTGATTAATATCAGCATTGAGCCTCCTTCTCTTAAAAATAGCAAATCCAAAGTATATGAGAAAATAGTGGTGTCCAAAATAAGTGAGTCATTGTTTTAAAAAATGATGGAATATCTCCTTTTAAAATAGGGTTACTCCAAAATTCAGAAGAAATTTTTAGAAAATATTAGATTCTCTTCCAGAAGGGTTCAAGAAGCCATGGCATCTCTGTAGCTGGGAAATATTCACAAAGGAAGACTTAAATTAGAAAGGTCCCAGTGAGGTCAAAAAACATAATGCCAAACTAACTGGATGATGGCAGTAAGAAAGATATGCAGGAAATGAATGAGTGCTGGAGAAGATAAACTCAACAAATTATCCCAGAATTAGCAGAAGAAGATAAAGACATGAACAAAAGGAGGTAGAAGATAAGATACATGAAGAATAATTCTAGAAGATGTTATCTCCTATAAGAGTATGCATCAGAAAACAAAATAATCAATAATCAGAGAAATAACAAAAAAATTATTCCCAATCTGAAATTTATACTAGCATAAAATTTTGAACGTATTTTTTGATGCTTAGGAAAAACCTCATGAAAAGAAACTAGACAACTAGACTTACACAGCTTAATCAGATAGAAATATCAAATTTCAGAGATGAAAGAATCCCACAAATACTCTTAAAAATATTTATTCTTCACAAAGGAATAAAAATCAACATGAAAAATATTAGACTCTTCACAAAAGATTAATAATCAGCCTGGCCATGCATTTGTTTTCCTTAATACAAAACACTAGAAGACACAGGAGTAACATTTCTAGAACTCTGCCGGAAAAAAATATGCTATCCAAAAATTCTATACCTTCTTAGACATGCTACAACTCAAAAATGAATTCTCACACTATGTTTCATTCTTAAATGAGCTTTTTGAAGATATTTTCCTCAACAGTAAAAGAATAAGACAGGCACCATGGCTCATGCCTATAATCCCAGCACTTTGGGAGGCCAAGGCAAGAGGATCGCTTGAGCCTAGGATTTTGAGATCAACTTGGGCAACATGGTGAAAGCCTGTCTGTACAAAAAAATAGAAAAACTTAGCTGTGCATGGTGGTGTGCACGATAGTAACAGCTACAAAGGAGGCCAGAGTAGGAGGGTAGCTTGAGCCTGGGAGTTTAAAGCTGCAGTGAGCTATGATTGTGCCATTGTACACCCATCTGGGTGACAGAGACCCCATCTCTACAAAAAATAAACAAAATTAGCCACACTCAGTGGTGCACACCTGTAGTCCTAGCTACTCAGGAGGCTGAGGCAGGAGGATCACCTGATCCTAGAAGTTCAAGGCTGCAGTGAGCTATGATCACATCATTGCACTCCAGCCTGAATGACAGAGCAAGACCTTGTCTCTAAATAAATAGTAAACATTTACAACTGAGATTACTGAAATAGCATTTTGAATCAGTAGAGAGACTTAAAATCCAAAAGAGTGTCTGGGTAGCATTCTCCAAACCATTCTTTCCAACTAACCTTTAAATACTTACAAAGGCGTACCCAAGAGGAAAAAAAAAAAAGAAGCTCTCAAAAACTCTGAAATCTAACACTGACAGATAATTCAAAGCCAAAATGCAGGATAAATGGAAATTAATTATAAGACAGTAGAAGTTAAATTGAGGAAAATCCTACTTAGAATTCTATTCCTGACTTCACACAGTATCATTACATGAAATAGAAACAGATGCACAAAAAATGTAAATGTGTCCCCATACTCAAGGATCCAACACCTGTACTAGCCAGAAAACAGGTTAATTATTTCTCTCCACATCTTAGATATTGCTGTTAGGCAAAAGGTGTAGTTTTTCATACAAACCACTGCATGATTTTTTTTCCCACTATCTTTCCACATAGAAGAAGGTTCTATGAAGTCCAGAGAACAAATGGGCAGAAAATAGAGAATAGAGTTTTCAGAGAGGTGTACTTTCCATTAAGAAGACAGCAATATATGCAGAGGGAAAAAACAACATCCTAGTAACAACACATACTTCTCAAGAAGTAGAGGTTTTCCAGCACTCAGAAGATAAAACTGCACTAGAACAAAGGAGCACTAGGAGGATATTTGCTTACAAATGAGAATTAAACTGGGAACAACACAAACCAACTAGCCTTTCAATTATGGATTTAAAGTACAAATTCCAAGATCACATCAATAGACAGAATGTGACCAAGGGCCACACACACACCCATTCTAATGAAAAATAAGTATAGAGAATCTTTGCTTGTCAAAAATATATTTTGCCAATCTTTGACTGGAAAAATATAAAATTATAACAAATAAGAAATATAATGGGGTAAGTTAAATAGAGTTGCTTCCAAAAAGTAGATCTCTAAAAGTTTTCAGAAGGGAATTTTAGGAAACTATATGCTATTATCTAAAGAAAACAGAATTTTGAGTTTTTTCATGAATAAGGTGATAATAGAACAAGATTTTTATAAGCAATAAGAAAGATTAGTTGAGATATGAAAAACATAAAAACAAGGAACCCAAGAAAAACGTAAGAGAAATAATTTCTTAATTTAATGTAACTTAATCGATATGGAGGGTAATGGAAAAAAATAGATGGAGAAGAAATTCAAATCAAAACTGTAAAAGTGAAACTCAAGAAGATATGTCAGCATAGAATAAAGGTATAAACAGATTAAAATAATTGGAGAAAATATGGACAATATAGAAGATGAAGAAAAAGGAGACATCATATGGATAATATTTGTTTCTGAAGAAGCCAGCAAGAAATATAATAAGTGAATCATTAGAAGAAAATCTAAATTTACAGAAATCCAGTATATATAAATCAAAAAAGATTTCTATCCCAAGAAAAATCAATAAGAAGAAATGTTATACCTAATGACATTGTCGTAATATTTTTGAATAGTAATAATGACAGTGATAGAATTCTTTATTTAGCTACCTCTAACCATCACTTTGGGAAGCGGAAACGTGAAGATTACTTGAGGCCTGGAGTTCAAGACCAGCCTGGAAAACATAGTGAGACCCTACCTCTACAAAAGCAAAATTAATTAGCTGGATGTATTCCATAGGCTGAGGCAGGAGGGACACTTGAGTCTGGGAGTTCAAGGTTACAGTGAGCTATGATCATGCCACTGTACTCCAGCCTGGGCAACACAGAAAGACTCTGTCTCTAAAAAAATAAAAACAAAACACAAAACACCAGAACCAAATGGAGCAAAATTCAAGCTATTATTCAAGTTCAAAGTAAAAAAGAAAAAAAAAAGTCAGCTGTGCAACAGCTCAGGAAACATACTTCTCTTTAAGGAAATTACTCAAAGATATACTCCAACTGATTGAGAGAACAGAATTAACAGAATCCTTTAAGATCAGTTAAAAATACATATTAAAGCTAAGAAAAATTTTAATGTCTTGATATAAAATTGAATGCAAAGCAAAATATGTCCCCAAAGAGAAGATATATAATATAAAAATAATATTGTTAGTAAAATTATCAGTATCTAAATTACAAAACAGTATCAGTGTAAAAGACAGAATTCAGAGAAGGGAGTGAATGTTGTGGTACTGGAGAAGTAAAAATAAAAGTATCCTAAACTTCTTATGTCAAGGGGAAACACTCCCCAAAAAAACCCTTGGAACATCACGTTAAACATAGTTGAAAAAACTTTTGAGTAACCACCCATGGAATGGAAACAAAATATGTTTCCCAAACAAGTTTAGCAATATAACAACAAGGAAGCCAGACAGGAAATATAGAAACTTTAAGGAAGCATTTATTTAATATATAAATTTATTTTATAAAAAATAAATAAATAATATTCATTTAATAATATAAATGCTTCAAAACAGAAGCATTTATTTAATATAAATAAAAAAAGAACACTAACTATAGCAAATATAAAAAATTTATGTCTATCCCAAACCTCAGAATGTGACCTTATTTGGCAATAGGGTCTTTGCAGATTAGCTAAGATAAATTCATATTAAATTATCAGCTATAAGCAGGGTGCAGTGGTTCACACCTATAGTCCCAGCTACTCAGGAGGCTGAGGCAGGAGGATAACTTGAGTGCGGGAGTGCTTGAGTCCAGCCTGATCAAGACTCTTATCTCCAATATATGTGTGTGTGTGTATGTGTGTGTGTGTGTGTGTGTGTGTGTAAAGTACAACTATATTTCTAATATAAATATATGTATTACATATATATATTTAAGCTGCAACTTTGATATTAGAAAAATGGGCATTATATATATTTCCCAATAAAGAGGTAAATACTCTCTTATTTGATTACAAAATTGGGGGAATGGGGAGTCAGGTCTTTTTTTATTATTTTACTTTAAGTTCTGGGAAACATGTGCAGAATGTGCAGGTTTGTAACATAGGTATACATGTGCCATGGTGGTTTGCTGCACCTATCAAACCATCGTCTAGGTTTTAAGCCCTGTGTGTATTAGGTTTTTGTCCTAATGCCCTTCCCCTTTCTCTCCACCCCCCGACAGGCCCCTGTGTGTGATATTCCCCTCCGTGTGTCCATGTGTTCTTATTGTTCACCTCCCACTTATGAGTGAGAAAGTGCAGTGTTTGGTTTTCTGTTCCTGTGTTAGTTTGCTGAGAATGATGGCTTCCAGCTTCATCTATGTCCCTGCAAAGGATATGAACTCATTCTTTTTTATGGCTACATAGTATTCCATGGTATATATGTGCCACATTTTCTTTAACCAGTCTATCATTGATGGGCATTTGGGTTGGTTCCAAGTCTTTGTTATTGTGAATAGTGCTGCAATAAACATACATGTGCATGTGTCTTTATAGAATTTATAATCCTCTGGGCATATACCCAGTAATGGGATTGCTGGGTCAAATGGTATTTCTGGTTCTAGATCCTTGAAGAATCACCACACTGTCTTCCCCAATGGTTGAACTAATTTACACTCCTACCAACGGTGTAAAAGTGTTCCTATTTCTTGGGGAGTCAAGTCTTAAATATACAATAGAAGCAACTAAAACATACTCATACAAAATGATGCTTGAAAAAAAGAAGAATGGACCTAGGTTTTTCAGTGAAAGAAAAAAAATAAAACTGGTCAAATATTAATGTCAGGTCAATAAATACTGTATGAAACACTACCAATTATAATAATAGCATAAAAAATAATTCTAATAATAATACAACTACCATAAGTCTTGGCATTCCTTGGCTTGTAGATGCATCATTTCAATCTCTTCCACCATCTTCACATGGTGTTCCTATGTGGACCTCTGTGTCTCTCTCTGTTTTTACTGGCCTATTAAAAAGACATCAGTCATTGGATTTAGGACCCATTCTAAACCATTATAACCTCACTTAACTACAGTCATGTTTCACTTAATGACAGGGATACGTTCTGAGAAATGTGTCTCGGGTGATTTCTTCATTGGGTGAACATCATAGAGTGAACTTACACAAACCTAGATAGTGTAGCCTATTGCAGATGTAGGCTATATGGTAGAGTCTATTGCTCCTAGGCTACAAACTGGTACAGCATGTTACTGTACTGAATACTGTAGGCAATTACAACAAAATGGGAAATATTTGTGAATCTAAACATAACTAAACATAGAAAAGGTACAGTAAAAATACAGAGTAAAAGATAAAAAATAGTACACTTGTATAGGCCACTTACCATGAATGGAGGTTACAAGACTGGAAGTTGCTCTGGGTGAGTCAGTGACAGAGTGGTGAGTGAATGTAAAGCCTAGGACTTGACTGTACACTACTGTATACTTTATAAACACTATACCCTTAGGCTAGACTAGATTTATAGAAAATATTTTTCTTTCTTAAATAACAAATTAAACTCAGTTTACTGTAACTTTTCAACTTTATCAATTTTTAAATTTTCTAAACCTTTTTACTCTTGTAATAACACATAAACACACCGTACAGCTGTGCAAAAATATTTTCTTTCTTTATAACCTTATTCTATAAGCTCTTTTCTGTTTTTAAGATTTTTTTTCCTTTACTTTTTAAACGTTTTTGTTAAAAACTAAGACACAAACACACACATTAGCCTAACCCCATACAAGGTCAGGATCATCAACAGCACTGCCTTCTGCCTCCACATCTTGTCCTGCTGGACGGTCTCCAGGGGTTAAAACACACATGGTGCTGCCATCTCCTGTGATAACAAGCCTTCTTCTGGATACTCCTGAAAGACCTGCCTGAGGCTCTTCCTGAGAAGGTGTCACTTTTTTCAGGAATATGTTCATCATGGTTTCTTAGTTTGTTTCTTTTTTTCATCATAGATTATCTGCCTGGGAGCAGATAATGCACCCTGAAGATTTCTCTCTATTAATGAAAATCTTTTGGTGTTGGAGTCCATATTTTCAAATTTTTAAGAAGCTTGTTGAGGTCTGCAAAAGCTTCTGCTAAACCCTTCACTGTGAATTTTCTTCTTTTTCTTCTCCTGCAATTTCCTTTTCTCTTGGCTCTTCTTCAGCTATGCATTCTGTTCCATTGTAATCTTAGGGGACCACCATCATATATGCAGTTGTCATTGACCGAAACGTCATTATGAGGCTCATGATGATGTATAAGAGGACTTTGCTCTGAAGAGACACGAGAACCCACTCTGTGCACCACAATACCCAAATGTTTCCATCATTAACCCATTCTGCAGAAGAAGAAACTTTAAGATGAAAACACACAATACAATACCGCACCTAACCTTTACTTCACTGATAATCAAGGTGGGGAGAGAAGCCAAGACTCCTATCACCTGTCTTGCAACAATTTTAAAGGAGTGTCCCATTGCATATTAAACATCTCTATTGTACTGAAGTTCAGGAAAGTAATTAGAATTACTCTGGCTTTTGTGACTCATAAACTTAATGCTCTTTCAGCATCATTTTGGCTGAGCAGATTTTCTAACCACAGTTTAATAGCAAACGGCATTTAAATAACAATCTCAAAAGTCTTTCCAGCATCTCAAATTATAGTAAAATAAATTGGCTCTTAAAATTAGAGGCTCTGCTTTTACAGGCTATGAGATATCTCACTGGTTTCTGATATCTTAACTATGAAAGAAAATTACAATTATTAATACTCCATATTCATCTTGCTCCTAGCTTATTAAAATATTTCTACTACGACTGAAGCAACCTGCCTGGTCACGTATTTTAACTTAGATCATCCTCTCGCGGTTTGGCTTGGCTTTTATTCATTTTTTTAATTAGTTATTTTAGCCCTTATTAGGCCTCTGGGTAAAGCTATGAGATTTGGTTTTTTTAATCTCTGCAGTGATCAAGATTTTCACGTTACCATCACTAGTTGGTATTTATTCAATTCTAGGCTCTGTTATAATAAACAAGAGACAAGTCTCCCCCATATCTTTATATTCCAAAAATTAAATAATCAGATCACTTTATAGTATCTCTGTGACTTTTTCACACTTGTAATTTATTAAATGAACATAGCCCCTGATCCAAAATCAACTCTTTAGCAAAGACATCTCATTGATAAACCAGCAGGCTTGAGCTTTGATCTAGGGGACCCTATTTGATTATGCCTATACTTACTCCAAGTTTACCTCAGTCAATCTTTGTTTTTTCTTTAAAACAATATAAATGGAGTTCTTTCCTAAAACTTTGAAAACAAAATAATTAGCACAAACCAAAGCAGCAACCCAGACAGTTTATTTGAACATACTGATTTTATACACACACACACACACACACACACACAATAGGCACATGTCTGCTGCTAATCTCTCTTCTGTAGGAAGGTTAATATCTTTGCAGCCACATTCCATCAAAGCTATTTGTTACCTTTAAGCTCTCCAGGAGTACAACCTCTGTGCATGGAGTAACCAGGAATTAGAAGTCATTTGAAAATACAAGAAACTCCCATGCTGAGTTCTCTCTCTGTATGCATTTTCTGCCAGATTCAACCCAGATTGATTTCCCTGCTGCTCCTCTGGCCTCTTCCCTATATGATCAGACATTAACTTTCTGATTCCCTCTTCTGTTTTTTTTTTTTTCTTTTTCCAGGTTTGTTTTGTTTTGTTTTTGTTTTGAAACGGAGTCTCAGTCACCAGGCTGGAGTACAGTGGCGCGATCTCAGCTCACTGCAACCTCCGCCTCCCAGGTTCAAGCGACTGTCCTGCTTCAGCCTCCCAAGTAGCTGGGACTACAGGCACACGCCACCACACCCAGCTAATTTTTGTATTTTTAGTAGAGACAGAGTTTCATCATAATGGCCAGGATGGTCTCAATCTCTTGACCTTGTGATCTGCCTGCCTCAGCCTCCCAAAGTGCTGGGATTACAGGGGCTTTTTCCAAGTTTTTACTTAGCTCTTATTCGGTCTTCACTTGTATTGTTTCCTACAGCTGCTTACAATTCTTGACTGGTTAGACCTCCCAAGTTTCCACCATTTGGACATAGACTTTTACTTATGACCCAGCCACGTCCATGAACCCTTCCTGCTCCAGCACTTCTGAAGGCACAGACACTCTTAACAGAAAGCCAGAGCCAGGATCCAGCACTGCTCCTCATTCTCTATTTATTTCTTTTGTATCAGCATTTCCTGATTCTTTTTCATCTTTTTAAGTTCCTTAAAGATAGGTTCCCAATATTATACAATTTCTGGCAGCATAATGAGATAGATATATAGATAACTGGTAGACGATGGATGGGTAAATGATAGGTAGGAGATAGATGATAGATAGATAGATAGATAGATAGATAGATAGATAGATAGATAGATAGTGTGAGCCCCCAAAATTTGAGAAAGGTCTCAGTTAATTTAGAGAGTTTATTTTGCCAAGGTTGAGGACGTGCCCATGACACAGTCACAGGAAGTCCTGACGGCATGTGCCCAAGGTGGTCGGGGCACAACTTAGTTTTATACATTTTAGAGAGACATGAGACATCAATCAATATATGTAAGAAGTACATTGGTTTGGTCTGGAAAGGCCAGACAACTTGAAGCAAAGGCAGGAAGACTCAAAGCAGGGACGGGGGTTCCAGGCCACAGATAAGCAAGAGATGAAGGCTGCATTCTTTTGAGTTTCTGATTAGCCTTTCCAAAGGAGACAATCAGATATGCATCTATCGCAGTGAGCAGAAGGATGACTTTGAATAGAAATGGGAGGCAAGTTTTCCCTGAGCAGTTCCTTTCACAATAGATGATAGATAGATAGATAGATAGATAGATAGATAGATAGATAGATAGACAGACAGACAGACAGACAGATAGATAATTGATAGAATGAGTTTTTCGGTTTTACCTGCTCAAAAATCAATAACTTTGCTTTTCTGTTTCCTTTTTCTCAGTCTCCTCCTTTTCTTTCACTTTATAGGCATCACTCTCAGAATTTCCCAAAATCTCTCTGACTATTAAGCAAGAGAATTCTCACTGAGAAAGGATCACCTTTTCTTCGAACTCAGATTTGTCTGTGATTCTGGAAGCTATAGTTTAATCTCTCCACTCTACTCCTGGCAGGTCATAAAAGAAAAATTAAAGTCAACTCTGGAGGCCTGCAATAAATGTTCCCATAGCACATTTACAAGATTAAGTACATTACAAGGGCTTAAGATTTTGTGTAACCTCTCTCTTTTAGAAGTAAGCAACTCACAGGCACCTCAGTATGCACACATGTGCCTCATTCCATTTTGGAATAGGTATTCTACTTAAGACGTCTTACTAATATATGCATAGTATCACAATAGGAAGGCTCATGAAAAAAAGACCATCACGGCCTGAAGCCAGCCCAATGGGACCTGGATATATTACCAGCACCGTGGTAAACTGCAACAGGCAGGCAGCATAATCTGGCACATAACGTCTGTGTTACAGTTGGGTCCATTCACACAGTTCACTTTTGTTACATCTGAGCTGCTAATCCAAGACCAACCAGGAGAAGGCAGTACAGGCTAAACAACTAAACCCTTAAATTTTATTTAACGTGAAAAAGAAAAAGCCCAATGGAGTCAGTCTCTCTCTCTTCCTCTTTAAAAGACAGGATCTTGCTCTGTTCCCCAGGCTGGAGTGCAGTGGCACATCATAGCTCACTGCAGCCTTGAACTCCTAGGCTCAAGGGATCCTTCTGCCTCAGCCTCCTGAGTAGTTGGGACTACAGATGCACACCACCATGCCCAGCTGATTTATTTATTTATTTATTTATTTATTTATTTACTTATTTATTTATTTATAGAGCTGGGGTCTTACTTTGTTGCCCAAGCTGGTCTCAAACTCCTGGCCTCAAGTGATCCCAGCTAGAGATTCTTTATGGCAAAAACCTCTGCCTTCTCCAACACTGTCATCATCTATTGCACATTTTCACCCTCCCTCACCTCCATATCTCTCTTTTCTTTCTCCTTCTACCAGCTTCACCATTCATCTGTGTATATTAAAATCCATACAATATATAAACTAAAAAATCTAAATTTTTAAGTTTCCCAATTCTGTCTTAAATTTCCAGACTACTTTCTTCAACTTTATTACCTAAGGCAAACTTGCATTTTTAAATAGCATTTTCATGAGCTAATGATGCTTTTTATATTACACGATATACTTGCCATGAACCTTGAAGACCACTTGCTTTATAGCCCAAACACAAAAAGATTTTATACATTTAAATAGGGCAGTTTCTTGCTGAATATGGAACTTTCTTCTCTAAGGACACTATGAAGTGAAAGCTGCTTGCTAAAAGCCAGAAGGAAGATTCTAATTAGAATCTCAGCCGCTGGCAAGCTGGGAATCCATTACCCCACCTGCTACCCCTTCCAGCTGGCAGAAAAGCGTCTCCTCTGTTCTGCATAACCCTGGAGAAAAAGAACCAAGTTACTCTCTGGACATTTAGACAAGAACAAATTTTCCATTGAACAAAGTAGTGTGAGCTTCATTAATCGTTAAGTCATACTTCCAAGCTTTCTTATTTGCATAGTTGAGTTTCCTGGGGAAATCATTACCAGCCTGCTCAAAGCAAAAGTGTGACATTACCAGTTTGGGCCTTCATTGCTTCTATCTACAATTTGCTCTTTATTGCCACTTTTTCCATTTCCCCAAGTGCACAGGGTCTCCACGCTAACCCTGACTGGACTCAGAAAATCTCCTTTGTACCTTGCCTTCCTCTGTACTTACCTTTCATTCTTCTCTCCAGCAGAAACTTATTTTTAGTTAAATCTCTCAATATGAACAGTATCAGAGTTTCTGAATCTTTGGACTCACGATCTCATTTATCCATTTAAAACCACAGTAGAGTCATAACTAGTTTTTTATTACATTTCACTGCTAGTTAGCACTTAAACCTTAATTTTCTGTATGATCTCCAAACCTGGTTAATGGGCTGAAGCAAACAGGAGACTTGAGACTTCCTTTTGCCTCTTAAGCTATAAGGCCTAACCTAAGGCAATCTTTCCCTTCTTTCAGGCTCACCCAACCGTCTTAGTTACCTAGGTCTTATCATACCCAGTTTTAGAAAAGTGAGAGCCCAGAAATAAACCCACATATATACAGTCAACCAATCTTTGACAATAGTAGCAAGAATATACAATGGAACAAGTATAATTGCTCCAATAAATGGCATTGGGAAAACTGGATATCCACATGCAAAAAAACAAAATTGAATCCTTATGTTAAATCATATTCAAAAATTAGCACAAAATAAATTAAAGATATAAACATAAGACCTGAAACCATAAAACTCCCAGAAGAAAACACAGGGAAAAATCTTCCTGATGTTGGACTGGGTTATGTTTTCTTTGGATATAACCCCAAAAGCACAGGCAACAAAAACAAAAATAAAGTGGACTACATCAAACTAAAAGGCTTCTGAACATCAAAGGAAGCAATCAACAGAGTGAAGAATCAACTTACTAATGGAAGAAAATATTTCTAAACCGTATGTCTGATAAGGAGTTAATATCCAAAATATAAAAGAAACTAATAGAATGTATAGAATTAATAGCAAAAATTAAATAACCTGATTAAAAAATGGGCAGAGGATCTGAGCCCTTTCTCAAAAAGAAGACATACCAATGGCCCACAGGTATATGAAAAAATGCTCAACATCACAATTCATCAGGAAAACTTAAATCAAAATCATAATGAGATATCACCTTCCATCTATTAGGATGGCTATTATAAAAAAGACAAGACATAAGTCTTGGCTCCATATTTTAAAACCCATAGGCATAACTATTGATTTATAACTAACTTATTATATAAGTAGAATCATATTGTATATATCATTCTATACACAATATTTCCTGCCAATATTTTTCTTTTATAATTGACAAATGTATGTTGTATATATTTATGGTGTGCAATGTGTTGATATAGTATACATTGTAGAACAATTAAATCACAATAATTACCATATCTATCACCTTACATACTTATTTTTTGTGTGTGATGAGAACATTTAGAGCAGTAAAACAATGAATATTCCAATTTACTCTCCCAACAGCAGTTTCAAGTTACCATTGCCCTATATCCTTTCCATTTATTACATCAATCTTTGCAGAACTTGTGAGTGCAAAATAGTACCTCACAGTAGGTTTGAACCATGCTTCTTAACAGAAAAGAATTTTGACAATCTCAGTACCACAAGAATGTGACATAGGCTGGGCACGGTGGCTCATGCCTGTAATCCCAGCACTTTGGGAGGCAAGGCGGGCGAATCATGAGGCCAAGAGATCGAGACCATCCTGGCCAACATGGTGAAACCCCCATCTCTACTAAAAATACAAAAATTAGCCAGGCATGGTGGCACCTGTAGTCCCAGCTACTCAGTAGGTTGAGGCAGGAGAATTGCTTGAACCCGGGAGCCGGAGGTTGCAGTGAGCTGAGATTGCACCATTGCACTCCAGCCTGGCAGCGACAGAGAGAGACTCTGTCTCAAAAAAAAAAAAAAAAAAAAAAAAAGAATGTGACATACATAAACTGTGGTTGTATTTTCCAGCCAAATCAATCTTAAAACGATAATGTATGTTAAGGAACAAAGAGTAGAATATTTGAAATTATGTGTGCTCACCAAATCCAGGATGCATGCTTGTATACACATGTGTAATTTTGTTAAAATGCTGGCCACCTAGAAGGAATAAATGAATTGATGTTTCCTAAATTCATAGTATGAATTCATCCAAGCAGAAGATCTAGGTTAAAAAAGGCATTTGAAAATCTCCTAGAATTACTTTTCATGATCTGTAGACTCTAATTGGTGACACTTGATTACATCAGCTCCCCTGGCACCTACCTTTCTGGCAGCAAGTCTAAATTCTGAGTTGGGGTTTAGTTTCCTACTTCCTGCAATAAAACTATTGCCAATGTAAGGGGCAAGTGCTTTTCTTTTTATATATTATTTAAATGGGGTCTTGCTATGTTGCCCAGGCTGGTCTCAATTTCCCGGCCTCAAGTGATCCTCCCTCCTCAGCCTCCCAAAGTGCTGAGATTACAGGCGTGAGCCACCATGCCCAGCCAGGTGCTTGCTTTTCTTTCTGACCACATCTCAGTAACTTAAACATAGTTCATACATATTAAGCATATAGAAATGTGTGATTCACCATGGCAAGCACTTTATATGAATTATTTCCTTTGATCACCTAATGACCCTTAACAAACAGTACTATTATTCTCATTTTAAAGATTTAAAAAACTGAGAATCCAAAAGATTAGGTAAAATCATAGAGCTTGTAAGTGGCAAGAGGGTCCAATATTAAATTTTTTCCTGATTTAAAATTCCTAAATCGGGCCGGGCGCGGTGGCTCACGCCTGTAGTCCCAGCACTTTGGGAGGCCGAGGCGGGCGGATCACGAGGTCAGGAGATCGAGACCATCCCGGCTAAAACGGTGAAACCCCGTCTCTACTAAAAATACAAAAAATTAGCCGGGCGTAGTGGCGGGCGCCTGTAGTCCCAGCTACTTGGGAGGCTGAGGCAGGAGAATGGCGTTAACCCGGGAGGCGGAGCTTGCAGTGAGCCAAGATCCCGCCACTGCACTCCAGCCTGGGCGACAGAGCGAGACTCCGTCTCAAAAAAAAAAAAAAAAAAAAAATTCCTAAATCGTCATCACTACGCTAAGTGGTCTCATTCAAAATTCAAAATTTACATACCTATCACTATTTTGAAAATGTTCCTCTGCACTTTAGCAATAAAACCTTTTTCTCTATATTTCTGTCCTAGCTCTGACCTCAATAACAAAGCAATCCCTTATGCAGTGGAAGATACCTCTTCCATCTTCCAAAGCCTCTCTTTCCC
The DNA here is from genome assembly GCF_000001405.40 of Homo sapiens. NCBI lineage: Eukaryota > Metazoa > Chordata > Mammalia > Primates > Hominidae > Homo > Homo sapiens. The sequence goes on along the minus strand of NC_000008.11, from coordinate 31,460,317 downwards.
AAGTTAGACACTCTCTTATCCTTCAACTCTTTTCCTGACATGTCTTTACATTCCCTCATGCTTTATATCCTAGTTACTTTCCTCTGGCAAGCTTCATATATGGTCCTCCTTCCTAAAGTATGATGCTCAGAGCAGAATGCAACAGCACGCGTCCATGCAGTATTCAGGATAATGCACTCACCAGTGCAATATATTCAATCTGCACCCTCTGCCCTTCTCAGCATTGCTATAAATCCCACTGGCCTTCTTGCTGGCCATGTCACCCTGTTGACTCATTCTGAGCTCAAGCCAACAATACTTCCCAAGGCTTTTTAAAACACATATTCTTATTAAGCCATGTCTTTCTCAGCCTGCATTTTAACAGTTTTTATTTTATCCAAATGTAGGATATGACATTAATACCCATTAAGTGTTATTTGTTGCAGCTTACAGAAGATACCTTGGTTCTTGATTCTGTCTTTCAATTTACTGGCATTCTCTCCAACTTTACATGATCTGTGTGCTCTGTCTCTATCAAACTCATTGATTAAAATCCACCCAGTTTCCTTGATAACAAGCTTTGTACTCCACTCACAGAAACATGTCTTCAAACTCACACTGTTCTCTTTAAAAAGTTATAAAATAAAATCTTTTGACTCTAAATCCATCTGAACGTATTAGTATTAACTTCACATCTCGTTATATTGGCAATAAGGATATTATGAAAAACTTTGTCAAATGTCTTTCTGAATTTCAGATAGACATTATCTATTTTTCTGTAGCCTTGTCAAAAAAAATAGAACTATTTAGTGATGATATGCTCTCGATAATCCTATGTTAGACATTTTTTACTGTGCCCTTTATAATAACTCTCCATCTGCCTTATAAATAATAAGTTCTAGAATTTTGCTTGGTATCTAAAATAAACTTACTGGTTTATAGACACCTTTACCTGTTTTGGAATTCATGTCTCTCTTTCTCTTTAACAGAAAATGAGCTTCACTTCTCAGAAACATGAAATTGGTTATGGTGGATCAATGTTCCTGCTAGTAACCAGGAAAAAAAAGCATATAAATTACAAAAATAATACACTTAAAGATACCAGAGAGCTGTGAAGTCAATGAGGACTCGATGAACTAAAATTTCAGAGTCAAAAGAACATTTCCAGCTGGGCGCGGTGGCTCACAGCTGTAATCCCAGCACTTTGGGAGGCCGAGGTGGGCAGATCACAAGGTCAGGAGTTCCAGACCAGCCTGGCCAATATGGTGAAACCCTGTCCCTACTAAAAATGCAAAAATTAGCAGGGCATGGTGGCGTGTGCCTGTAGTCCCAGCTACTTGGGAGGCTGAGACAGGAGAATCACTTGAACCCGGAGGCGGAGTTTGCAGTGAGCTAAGATCACACCACTGCACTCCAGCCTGGGTGACACAGTGAGAGTCCATCCCCCACCCCCTCACCCCACCCCCCCAAAATAAGAGACTTTCTTAAGAGAGTTGACAATCACCAGCCATTTTCTTTTCTTGGGAATATCGAACAGTTCTAAAATTGGCATGAGGATTGGTTCTGGCTGAGGGATTCTACTGAGTTTAAAAGAAAGCAAGTTGCAAATTTAGAGGCTTCACAGCTGCTGAGTTGTACTGGAATCTAGAGGATTCTAGATAAAAGATCAGTTTTTGTCTCATGGGTCAGTTATCAAATTCTGAGGAAGCACAGGAGGCTGAAGCATCCAGGTCATGAAAGGTAGATTAAAATGGTTTTCAGAATATAAAATACCACCAGTGGGTATTTTATGACCTACCATGCCCTTCAGACATTTGCCAGAAACCAGTTCTCTGGGATAATTATCCTCTGTTGTTAACTTATCTCCTGAAGGACTGATAAACAGTTTAAGAAGAATTATCTCCACTCCCTTGAACATTTGCAGGTAATTCCCCTTCTGCCCAAATTGCCATCTACTCTCTCTTTTTCAACTCCTCCATATGCAGAGTTTACCACTGTATTAGCCTGCTAAGGCTACCATAACAAAATACCACAGGCTTGGTGGCTTAAGCAGCAGACATTTATTTCCTTACAGTTCAGAAGCTAAAACTCCAAGATTCTGGTAAATTTAGTTTCTGGTGAGGGCTCTCTTCCCAGCTTGCAGACAGCTGCCTTCTTGCTATGTCTTCACATGGCCTCGTGTTTGTGTGTATGTTCAGAGAGGGAGAGAGCTGGCTTTCGATGTCTCTTCTTATGAGGACACTAATCCAGTTGAATTGGGGCCCCACTCCCATGACCTCATTTAAACTTAATTACTTCCTTAGAGGCCCCATCTCTAAATGTAGCCACACTAGGGGTTAGGGTTTCAACACAAGAATTTCGGGGTGACACAAACATTCCGTTTCTAACAACCAGCTCATACCTACATCTCCATTTGAAGTCAGTTTCGATGACATGTTCTCAGGGACTCCTTCCTTTCCATGCTCCATAGCATCCTGTGTATGGCCTTGTCATAAAACTTGCCACATTGAATTGCTATTGCCTATAAACATGTTACTATCGATGATTATATATATATAAAAAACATATTTATGTGCCAATATGTATTATACTATACTATATATAATATTAAATATATACATTATACTATCTTGACATATAATAGGCACACAATGCTGAATGAATGAATGTGTAGGAGAGGGAGATAGGAAGATTTGCTCCTGACTCTAATTCTCAGCCCAGTGGAAATGACATTTTCCTAAACTTCAATATTAAATATCTGAATTCATTAGTCATATGCCTTATATGGCTAGTTCTAACAGAAATGTGGCTCTTAGAAACATACAGTTATTAATTCATTCACTGTATGTTCATATTAGAAAAGTGCCTGTTCATTTCATGCAGCCATGTGAAAACACAAAAATGCCTACTAATATAAATGTTTAAGCAAAAAGTCTATGGATACTGCCATGATTTCACAAGCAATAAAGTGAATGAGGTCAAAATTATTTTCTACTCATGCAGCATAAATTGTTAATCAGTCAGGACAAGTGGAAAGATACAGGCTATTTCCCAGGCGGGGCTCATTCTCTGCTGTCGCACATGCAGTGACTTATCACTGTGCAATGTGATTGAATGGATTACGTTGCCATGCACCTGCCAAGGACCATCATATGAGTTCTAAATTGGTGACCTGCAGCCAGGCCACCCTGGATACTACATCTGCCCTGCCACAGGGGAGAGAAGAGGGTACAGCTAGAAAACCTCTGGACCTGATAGCTGCTGGTTCAGAACATAACAGTGGATAGAGAAGAAATTTCTTAGCCGAGCCTATGTCCTTTCCTCTCAATGAAGCCTGCCTTAGCCATCTCAACATTGACTTTATGCACCCTTGCTGTCTGTAAGGCTCCTATAACACACAGGCTCCTGTAGGTTGTTATTTTCTTGCTAAGTGCCTATATCGCTGCTCTCAAACCCTCCCCCATAATCTCAGCTTCCTCAAAGAGGAATCTGTTAAGCAACCGAAGACATAAACTGATGAAAGAGCACAAATGGGCCACCATAAAGATGCTCAATTGATGTGACTGCAAAGGCAAAAAGAGATGTGAGACAATGGGGGAAAAAACCAATTCAAGACACTTTCTTTCTCTTGTCCATCTCACTCCACGTATTTTAGACTCTATATCTGGATTTTGGCTGTAGAAAATAGCCTCTATGAACCCAACCCCAATATAAATTAGGTTATATCCCTTATTCTTTTTCCACAGAAACCTCATAATACATAACGTAGCCTGTTATTGTATAACAAGTTTTGCATTTATTCCTGTAATAGCTTTTTCCCATCAAGCTCTAAGCTGCTTTTTTTTTTTTTTGAAAAGGGGTCTGGCTCTACCGCCCAGGCTGGAGCATAATGGTACAATCTCAGCTCACTGCAACCTCTGCCTCCCCAGGCTCAAGTAATCCTCCCACTTCCGCCTCCTGAGTAGCTGGGACTACAGGCATGTGCCACCACATCCAGATAATTGTTTTATTTTTTATAGAGACAGGGTCTCACAATGTTGCCCAGGCTGGTCTCAAACTCCTGGGCTCAAGTGATCCACCCACCTCGGCCTCCCAAAGTGTGGGGATTACAGGCATGAGCCACCGTGCCTGGCTTTAAGCTTCTTGAAGGAATATTATGTCTATACCAAATTCTTACTACCAGGCCTGGCACATAGTAGACCCTTAATATTTGTTGAATGAATGAATGGACGTGTGAAAGGGAATTCTAAATGAGGAAACTATAAAATGAAAGGGTTCAGTGCAGCAAAACGTCTTAGTAGGGCTTTTGATGAGTTTTGAGCAGGCTACTTAGGGTAGAAATGTGTTTGGTGGGCTCTTTGCAGGAGACATCATTCCTTCTTAGCAACAAGAATGGCCAGGGTAAGAACCAGAGGAGACAAGTCAAATACCTAACCACTTTCTAGACTTACAAGGAATTAGCAGCCAGGATATTTACATTTCTTATTCGTTTATACATCCCAGTTCACAGAATAGGAAAAGAGGTGAGGATTCAGCACAGATGGTCAAGACAGGAATGAAGAAAGTGCATTTGAGTATAATATTTCCTGTAAGTCTTAGGACCCTGCATTTTGAGTATGCAGTACAGGAGACTTAGGAATCCCTATAAATCTTAAGTGTCATGAGGACAGGAGATTTGTTTATATTCTGTGTCCTTCCTAAAGCCCTTTTTCTTTTTCAAATCACTTCTTTTTTATAACTTTTTTTTTTTTAAGATAGAGTCTCTCTCTGTTGGCCAGGCTGGAGGGCAGTGGCATGATCTCAGCTCACTGCAACCTCTGTCTCCCTGGTTCAAGTGATTCTCAAGCCTCAGTCTCCCAAGTAGTGCAGACTATAGGCACACACCACCAGTCCTGACTAATTTTTGTATTTTTAGAAGAGACAGGGTTTCACCACGTTGGCCAGGCTGGTCTCGAACTCCTGACCTCAAGTGATCCGCCCTCCTTGGCCTCCCAAAGCGCTGGGATGACAGGCATGAGCTACCATGCCTGGCCTCAAATCACTTCTTACTCAATGCTTCTCCATTAAATGAATAAAAAAATTATATATATAATTTCAATATAGCAAGTATTTCAACTCCCTATATTCCAAGATGTCTCTACAGGCTGCACAGCCACTTGTGACTAAATGACCCAAGATGCTGGAGAAACTTGGCCTGCATTCAGACAGGAGCTTCCCCAGATTATTAGATGTCTAACAACTTAGCAGCTGCCTGCCACTGCCGTTCCCATGGAAACAGACATTAGACCTCAGAAACCCAGAGTGTGAGAGCTTAAACTAATCACTGTGGCAAAAAATAAAAAATAACAGCCTATTTTCTTCTCACAGTGTGGAAATGGTGATTAGGTTAATGGACCTTGATCCCTTTTCCTGGGGGTATGTTTTTATAGAAAGAGGAATGCAGTCCATCCTATTAAAACTTTTACTGGACCTGTTCCTTCCAAGTGGCATCAATACCATTTCCCCACCAAGACTTCAGAATTCAACAGGACCCCAATCCAAGAGTAAGTAGGAATTAGAGTATTACCACACAACGTAGATATAGATCCATTTATTTTGTATCTCTTTACTCTAAACCTTGCTTGAAAAAGAAACCTGTTATAATGCACCCACGCCTTTATGTTTTATACTAAAAAGGTTTTGTTCGGCAAATCAGAACTATTTTATGGAATGTCCATTTTTATAAAGCATATTAAGAATTTTTTTTTTAGATACAGTCTTGCTCTGTTGCCCAGGCTGGAGTGCAGTGGCATGATCTCGGCTCACCACAACCTCTGCCTCCCAGGTTCAAGCGATTCTCGTGCCTCAGCCTCCCGAGTAGCTGGGATTACAGGCGCCCACCACCACGCCCAGCTAATTTTTGTATTTTTAATAGAGACAGGGTTTTGCCATGTTGGCCAGTCTCGTCTTGAACTCCTCGCCTCAAGTGATCTGCCTGCCTCAGCCTCCCAAAGTGCTGGGATTACAGGCGTGAGCCACCACATGCGGCCCAAGCATTTTATAAAGCAATGCGAGTTCTCAATATCTGCTTAAAATTCAACCAAACCACTAAGACATAGCTAAAATTTTGATCAAGTTAAAAATTAAGAACCTCTCTGGAGTTAATGTCTACTAAGATTTTTAAATGTATTTATTAGTTTTTCGCTCTGTGGTTCTAAATAGAATATGCTGGAGTTTATGGACAAACTATGATTTACAGGCAAGCTTAACTAGCCAGCATCTGCCCTGCAGAAAATGAAAACCTAGGCATTCATTTCCCTTAATGCTACTTGTATAAGAAGTAAAATTAGTCATGCTGACCACCTGGCTGATCCTAATTTCATAGATTGAACAAAAAAGAAATTGTGTAGGTCTCCATCAAGGAAAGAGAATTCTCTGGAATAAAGATACTGCAAATCTAAGAGTGAGGTTGCACATTTCTCTTTAATGAATTATGGAAAATAGACACCAACTTCTGATGTCTTGAGTGCAACAAGAGAAGCCTGAACATCTGGTTTCTTGAATTTAAATAAGAACAAACATAATATATTTACTGTTTTATTCATCCCATCTCCAGTTCACTCACATGTCTCTTAAGCCACCACCAACCAACCCTTCACCCCGCAAACAGGAACAGACTATGTCCTCCATTTCTCTTTACCCACCACATTCAGGCAGCTATTCAGTTGACAATTAAATATTTTGTTTAAAAATTGCTTTGACTTGTTTCATTTTGCTAAATATTATTTGCATTCCTATGCAACCTAACCATATTTAATAATTTGATTTACATTATAGTACATGTTCTTTGCAATGCAAAAGACAATTTTAATTTCCAATGTTATGCAACATTGTTTCATAAAACATACAAATATACCCCCCTATGATTTTAGCAAATGTTAACTCAACAGTGTTTAAAATGTCTTTAAGTTTGCAGAAATTCCAGTCAATTTTTCTATAGATGCTTAAGAATATTTTAGTAATATTTGAAGAATGGTTCGGGACTTTTATATAAGCTGAGAACACATCATTATTCTCCCATTTAAAATACATAATGGGACAGGTGCTCATTGTATTCAAAAGTTTACTATCTAAACCATTTTCAAGAATAACAAATGTTCCAAAATGTTCACATTGATAATACATGGGTTACTGGATTATAAATAACTTTTGTTCTTTATGATTTTTCTATTTTATAACTCTTCCATATTAAATATGTATTTCTTTTAGAATTAGAAAAACAATAGGGCAAATGCTCTTAAATAATTTTCACTTCTCTTATTATTGTAGAACACATGGCATTGTTATTCTAAAACTATTGTGTGTATGAGGGAAAGGAGTTGGAGATATGAGTTTAACACATTTATTTTAAAACCCTATGCCTGAATGTGAATTTGGAGCATCAGTAAAAACCGTAGTTCACAAAAAGGCCTAGAAACAAGGACAAGCAGGGAGCTATGTGAACCCCTAGTGCCCAGGTTGGGGTCTCCAAATACTCCAGTAAATCAATTAGAAAAGACAAACAATGCAGAAAAAGAAATAGTTAAAACATGTGAACAGGATATTTATGGAAGAAAAAAAAACTCATATAGTCAATAAACATGAAAAGACATTCAGCCTTAATAGTCAAGGAAGTACAAAACAGATACATTTCACATCCGTCAGAGAGGCAAAAATTTAAGTCTGATGATGTGAAGTGGTGGTAAAGTCTGGAACAACAGAATTCTCACATACTTGTGTTTGGATCTGAAAGTATGTATATCAGTATGTACTTCATTTCTTTTTATGGCCTGGCAATATTTCACTTTACGAATATACCACATTTTGTTTATCTATTTATCCATTCACTTACACTTGGGTTGTTTCCACATTTTAGTTGAGGAACTGGCTATGATGAATACTGCTATAAACTTCCAGGTTCAAGTTTTGTGTGAATATGTTTTTAATCTCTCTTGGGTATATATCTGGGAATGGAATTGCTGGGTCATATGGTAACTCTGAATGTAATCATTTAAGGAAGTGCTACATTGTTTTTACAAAGCAGCCACACCATTTTACATTCCCACCAGCAGTGTATAGAATTCCTGCTTGTCCATGCCTTAGTCCATTTGTGCTGTCATAACAAAATACCAAAGACTGGATAGTTCATAAATAATAGAAATTTATTTCTTCATAATTCTAGAGGTTGGGAAGTCCAAGATAAATGCAATAATAGGTTCTGTTGTCTGGTGAGGGCTGCTCACTGCTTCCAAGATAGTGCCTTGTTGCTGCATCCTCCAGAAGAGAGGAACGCTGTGTCCTCACATAGTGGAAGGTAGAAGGGCAAATGAACTGAATGCTATGTGGAGCCTCTTTTATAAAGGCCTTAATCACATTCACAAGGAGCAAATTCCTCATGGCTTAATCACCTCTTAAAAGCTCTATTTCTTAATATCATCACATTGGCCATTAAGTTTAAACACCTTAATTTTGGAGCAAACACATTCAAACCATAACAGTGTGTATCCTCGACAACATTTGTTATTATCTGACATTTTCATTGTAGCCATCCTAATGTATGCAAATTAGTAGCTTATTGTGTTATTTATTTGCATTTCCCTAATAACTAATAATATTGAGTATCTTTTCATATATTTATGGGACACTTGTATATTCTATTTTGGAGAGATGTTTAATCAGATAATATATCCTTTTTATATACTTTCAACTTTTATTTTAGATTCAGGGGATACATATGCAAGTTTGTTACATAGGTATATTGCATGATGCTGAGGTTTGGGATATGATTGATCCCATCACCTAGGTAATGAGCATAGTAGCCAATAGGTAGTTTTTCAACCTTTGCCCTTCCCCACCAGTAGTCCCCCTTGTTTATTGTTTTCATGTTCACATACAGCTAATGTTTAGCTCCCACTTATAAGAACATGTAATATTTGGTTTTCTGATCCTGCATTAATTTGTTTAGGATAATGGCTTCCTGCTGCATCCATGTTGCTGCAAAGCACGTGATCTTGTTCTTTTTTATGGCGCATAGTATTCCATCATGTACATGTACCACATTTTCTTTATCCAATCCACTTTTGATGGGTACCTAGGTTGATTCCAGGTCTTTGATATTGTGAATAGTGCTGTGATGAACATACAAGTGCTTGTGTCTTTGGCAGAATGATTTCTTTTCTTTGGGTATATACCCAGTAATGGGATTGCTAGGTTGAATGCTAGTTCTGTTTTAGGTTCTTTGAGAAATCTTCAAACTGTTTTCCACAGTAGCTGAACTAATTTACCTTCCCACCAACAGTGTATAAGTGTTCCCTATTCTCCATGGCCTCACTACCATCAGTTTTTTGACTTGTTAATAACAGCCATTCTGGCTGGTGTGAGATGGTATATCATTGCAGTTTTAATATTTGCTCCCATTCTGCAGGTTGTCTGTTTACTCTGTTGATAGTTTATTTTGCTGTGCAAAAGCTCTTTCTTTTACTTAGGTCCCACTTGTCAATTTTTGGTTCTGTTGCAATTGCTTTTAAGGACTTAGTCATACATTTTCTCAAGACCTATATCTAGAATGGTGTTTCCTAGGTTTCTTCTAGGATTTTTATATTTTGAGGTCTTATATTTAAATCTTCAATCCATCTTGAGTTAATTTTTATATGTGGTGAAAGGTAAGGGTTACAGTTTCATTCTTCTGCATACGGCTAGCCAGCTATCCCAGCACCATTTATTGAACAGGGAGTCCTTTCCCCTTTTTTTTGTTGACCTTGTCAAAGATCAGGTGGCTGCTGATGTGTGGCTTTATTTATAGATTCTCTATTCTGTTCCATTGGTCTATATGTCTATTTCTGTACTATGCTGTTTTGGCTGCTGTAGCCTTATAGTATAGTTTGAAGTCAGGTAATGTGATGCCTCCAGCTTTGTTCTTTTTGCTTAGGACTGATTTGGTTATTTGGGCTTTTTCTTGGTTCCATGTGCATTGTAGAATAGTTTTTTCTAATTCTGTGAAAAATGTTATTGGTAGTTTGATAGGAATAGTGTTGAGTCTATAGATTGCTTTAGGCAGTATGACCATTTTAACAATATCGATTTTTCCAGTATATGAGCTTGGAATGTTTTTCCATTTGTTTGTGTCATCTCGTTTCTTTCACCAGTGTTTTGTAGTTCTCTGTATAGAGAGCTTTCACCTCCTTGGTTAGATGTATTCCTAGGTGTTTTTTGTGTGTGTGACTACTGTAAATGGAATTGCCTGTTTGATTTGGCTCTCGGCTTGACTATTATTGGTGTATAGAAATGCTACTGATTTTTGTATGTTGATTTTGTATCCTGAAACTTTACCGAAGTCATTTATCAGTTCCACAAGCCTTTGGCAGAGTCTTCAGGGTTTTCTAGGTACAGGGTTGTATTGTCAACAAAGAGAGATAGTTTGACTTTTCTCTTCTTTTCCTATTTGGGTTCCTTTTATGTCTTTCTCTTGCCTGACTGCTCTGGCTAGGATTTCCAGTACTATGCTGAATAGGAGTGGTGAGAGTGGGCATCCTTGTGGTGTTCCGGTTTTCAATATTTGTCCATTTTTAGTTGTGTTGTCTTTTTATTATTGGGTTGTACATGCTCTGTATATATTCTAGATACAAATCCCTTATCAGATATATGATTTGCAAACATATTCTCTCATTCTTTGACCTGTCTTTTTACTTTCTTGAAGGTGTCCTTTGAAGCAGGGGGTCTCCAACCCCCAGGCCATGGCTAGATGCTAGTCCATGGCCTGTTAGGAATCGGGCTTCACAGCAGGAGGTGAGTGGTGGGCAAGCGAGCATTACCATCTCAGCTCCACCTCCTGTCAGAACAGTGCCAGCCTTAGATTCTTACAGGAGTGTGACCTCTATTGTGAACTGCACATGTGTGGGATCTAGGTTGTGCACTCCTTACGAGAATCTAATGCCTGATGATCTGAGGTGGAATAGTTGCATCTCAAAACCAGCCCCCACATCACCCACCAGTGTGTGGAAAAATTGTCTTCCATGAAACCACTTCCTGGTGCCAAAAAGGGTTGGGGACTGCTGCTATGAAGCAAAAACGTTTTTAATGAGGTCTGATTCATCTAGCTTTCTTTTGCTATTTGTGCTTTTGGTGCCATATGTGAGAATCCTTTTCTAAATCCAAGGTTATGAAGATTTACTCCTATGTTTTCTTCTAAGTATTTTACAGTTTTAGCACTTTCATTTAAGTCTTTGATCCAATTGAATTGTATATGGCATGAGGTAAGGATCCAATTTCATTATGTTTTATATGGCTATCCAGTTATCCCAGCACCATTTCTTGAAAAGACTGTTCCTTCCCCATTGAATGGTCTTGATACTCTTGTTGAAAATCAGATGACCATAGATGTATGGGTTTATTTTTGAACTCTCAGTTCTATTCTATTGATATATATACCCAGCCTTATGTCACTACCATATTGCATAAGCACCAATTGATTATTATTACTTTGTAGTAAGTTTAGAAATTTGAAAGTGTAAGTCCCCGTATTTTGTTCTTTTTCAAATCTGTTTTGGCTATTTTGAGTCCCTTGCAATCCTATGTGAATTTGAGACTGATCTTGTCAATTTCTATGGACATCAGCTGGTGTTATTATAGGGATATTATTAAATCTGTAGGTCAGTTTGGAGAGTATTGCCATCTTAACCATATTAAGCCCTCTGATCCATTAACATGGAACATTTTTTTCATTTCTTTAGATCCTCTTTAATTTCTCCAATAATGTTTTATAGTTTTCAGATAATATGTTTTACACACTTTTGTTAAACTTATTCCAAGTATTTTATTATTTTTGGTGCTACTGCAAATAGAATTGTTTCCTTAATTTCATTTTCAGCTTATTTATTTCAGGTGTATAAAAATACAACTGATATTTTCATTTTGATCTTGTATCCTGCAAGCTTACTGAACTCACTTTAATAGTTTTTGGTGGATCCCTTAAGATTTTTCTGTACATAACATCATGTCATCTGCAAGTAGAGATAGCTTTATTTCTTCCCTTCCAATCTCGGAGCATTTTATTTCTTTTTCTTGCCTCATTGCCCTGACTAGAACCACCAGTACAATGTCAAATAGAAGCAGTCAGAGAGTCTTGTTTCTGATCTTAAGAGAAAATAATCTAGTCTTTCACCATTAAGTACAGTGTTAGCTGTGGGCTTTTTATAAATGCTCTTTATCAAATTGAGGAAGTTCTCTTCCATTCCTAGGTTAATGGGTTGTTGGTGGTGTATAAATTCTTGGAAAGTATTGAATTATGACAAATGCTTTTATTGCATCTATTGAGATCATATACATTTTCCTTTTAATTCTATTGATACAATATATTATACTAATTAATTTTCAGATGCCAAACTAACTTTGCATTCCTGGAATAAATCCTACTTACCCATGGTGTATAATTCCTTTTATATGTTTCTAGAATTTGTTTGCCAGTATTTTATTGAGGATTTTTGTGTTCATATTTATAAGATATTGATCTTTAGTTTTCTTTCCTTATGATATCTTTGTCTAGGTTTGATATCTAGAGTAATGTTCCCTCCTCTTCCATGTAGAAATAGGCTATAAACATCCATAGGAATCATAAATGACAAAGTCAGGATAATGGCTACCTCTAAGGAAGAAGAAAGAGGTACACATACAGCTCCAGCTCTTTCTATAAAGTGTTAACTAATTTAAGAAAAATCCTGAAGCAAATATGGCAAAATCTTAAAATATTAATAAATCTGGGTTATGTGTATTATTCTTAATAATGTTCACAATATTTCCTAAAAATATATTCTTAACAATGTATGTGTGCAAGAATGTTCAACATTTTAATAATAAAAGTTACAGTGGTGAATAATACAAAGGGAAAAATATTTGCAATGTGAGGCTGAAAATTGGCTCCCAAAAGTTATTTAGGTCTTAATCTCAGGCACCTGTGCATGCCACCTTACAGAGAAATAGGATCTTTGAAGATGTGATTAAATTAAGGATTTTTATATGGGGAGATTATCCTGGATTATCCAGTGGGCCCTAAATGCAGTCATATATATTCTTATAAGAGAGTGGCAGAGGAAGGTTTGACACACAGAAAAAAGGATATGAAGAGAGAGGAAAGAGATATGAAGATGGCACTCTTAAAGATTGGAATGATATGTAGACATAAGCCAAGGAATTCTGGTATCCACAGACAGAAGCTGGAAAAGGCAAAGAATGGATTCTCTTCTAGAATTTCCAGGGGAACCACAGCCCTGCCAGCACCTTGGTTTCATACCAGTCATACTGATTTATTTTTTAAATTTTATTTTATTTTGAGATAACAAATAATTTTATATATATTTATGAGATACAATGTGATGTTTTGATATATATTTGCATTGTGGAATGATCAAATCAAGCTAATTACCATACTTACCCTTTTTGTGGTAAAAACATTTAGAATCTACTCTTTTGGCAATTTTTAAATACACAATGCATTATTATTTATTATAGTCACCATTCTGTGCAATGAATCACTAAGTGTATTCCTCCTGTCTAGCTGAAATTTTGTACCTTTTAATCGATATCTTCCCTTTCCCTATTCACTCCCCTCCCCTATCCTCTGGTAACTACCATTTTACTCTCTAATTTTATGGGTTCAACTTTCTGAGATTTCACATATGAATGAGATCAGCCTGTATTTATCTTTCTGTGTCTGCCTTGTTTCACTTGCCATAATGTTGTCCAGGTTCATCATGGTGTCACCAGTGATACCAATTTCTGATTTCTGGCCTCCAGAACTGTGAGAGCATAAATTTCTGCTGTTTTAAGCCACCAAATTGGTGGTAACATTACGACAGCCACGAGAAACTAACACAATTGCTGAAACTTTTACCAGAGAAAAAGTTTTTCCAGAAACACAGTTGTTCTAACAAGACTTCATTTCTTTCCTCTTGACCTGTTCATAAATGTAAATCTACTTCTTGCCATATAATTCATGATTAAGGCTTCAGCAAAGTGGCAGAAGCTGTCATTGAATAAAATGGGTTCCATTCCTGTTTGTGTGGCTGCATAATAATTACCTCATAATGCAGTGGTTTAAAATAACGGCTATATTTAGTTTTCGCATAATCTGCAATTTCAGCAGGCTCGGTAGGTTAGCTCATCTCTGTTCCACCCAGGATTGGCTGGGGTTCAAAGGCTGAGGCCTGGAAGCATTTGAAGGTTTACTCACTTATAGTTGGAGGTTGATTCTATCAGCTGAGACCTCAGCTGGGGTTGTCGGCTAGAATACCTGCACATATCTCTCCATGTGGCCTGGGCTTGTATATAGAGAAACACAAACTGCTTTTCCTTCTATACTCACACCATTCTCAATACGTGCTTCACTTCTGACATAAAATGTATAGGAAAAATCAACTGTTTTTCTCTATACTCACACTCTACACTACTGTAGTCAGATATGGATTTTTTTTCCCACACTGTACAATTCTCCTGTACCAGCTAGATGACCTATGATTCAATTCAACTCTGACACTAACTGGAATTAGTATCTGCACAGGTTAAGGCTGTAGCCCCACCAGACTGCCCCCAACTTCAGATTCAATCACAAGTGGTAGGTCCTCAGGTTCCCCACAACTTCTGTCTAGCTTGACTACAAATCAGAGGTTCCCATAATCCCCTCCTGAGTTAAACAATTTGCTAAAGCAGCTTACAGAGCCCAGGAAAATGGTTTACGTACTATTACCAATTTATTACAAAGGCTTTTACAAAGTTCATTTTATTTATTTATTTATTTTTTAATTATTATTATACTTTAAGTTTTAGGGTACATGTGCACAACATGCAGGTTTGTTACATATGTATACATATGCCATGTTGGTGTGCTGAACCCATTAACTCGTCATTTAGCATTAGGTATATCTCCTAATGCTATCCCTCCCCCTCCTCCCACCCCACAACAGTCCCTGGTGTGTGATGTTCCCCTTCCTGTGTCCGTGTGTTCTCATTGTTCAATTCCCACCTATGAGTGAGAACATGTGGTGTTTGGTTTTTTGTCCTTGCAATAGTTTGCTGAGAATGATGGTTTCCAGCTTCATCCATGTCCCTACAAAGGACATGAACTCATCATTTTTTATGGCTGCATAGTATTCCATGGTGTATATGTGCCACATTTTCTTAATCCAGTCTATCATTGTTGGACATTTGGGTTGGTTCCAAGTCTTTGCTATTGTGAATAGTGCCGCAATAAACATACGTGTGCATGGGTCTTTATAGCAGCATGATGTCTAATCCTTTGGGTATATACCCAGTAATGGGATGGCTGGGTCAAATGGTATTTCTAGTTCTAGATCCCTGAGGAATCGCCACACCGACTTCCACAATGGTTGAACTAGTTTACAGTCCCACCAACAGTGTAAAAGTCTTCCTATTTCTCCACACCCTCTCCAGCACCTGTTGTTTCCTGACTTTTTAATGATCGCCATTCTAACTGGTGTGAGATGGTATCTCATTGTGGTTTTGATTTGCATTTCTCTGATGGCCAGTGATGATGAGCATTTTTTCACGTTTTTTTTGGCTGCATAAATGTCTTCTTTTGAGAAGTGTCTGTTCATATCCTTCACCCACTTTTGATGGGGTTGTTTTTTTCTTGTAAATTTGTTTGAGTTCATTGTAGATTCTGGATATTAGCCCTTTGTCAGATGAGTAGATTGCAAAATTTTTCTCCCATGTTGTAGGTTGCCTGTTCACTCTGATGGTAGTTTCTTTTGCTGTGCAGAAGCTCTTTAATTTAATTAGATCCCATTTGTCAATTTTGGCTTTTGTTGCCATTGCTTTTGGTGTTTTAGACATGAAGTCCTTGCCCATGCCTGTGTCCTGAATGGTATTGCCTAGGTTTTCTTCTAGGGTTTTTAATGGTTTTAGGTCTAACATTTAAGTCTTTAATCCATCTTGAATTAATTTTTGTATAAGGTGTAAGGAAGGGATCCAGTTTCAGCTTTCTCCATATGGCTAGCCAGTTTTCCCAGCACCATTTCTTAAATAGGGAATCCTTTCCCCATTGCTTGTTTTTCTCAGGTTTGTCAAAGATCAGATAGTTGTAGATATGCAGCATTATTTCTGAGGGCTCTGTTCTGTTCCATTGATCTATATCTCTGTTTTGGTACCAGTACCATGCTGTTTTGGTTACTGTAGCCTTGTAATATAGTTTGAAGTCAGGTAGTGTGATGCCTCCAGCTTTGTTCTTTTGACTTAGGATTGACTTGGCAATGCAGGCTCTTTTTTGGTTCCATATGAACTTTAAAGTAGTTTTTTCCAATTCTGTGAAGTCAGTCATTGGTAGCTTGATGGGGATGGCATTGAATCTGTAAATTACCTTGGGCAGTATAGCCATTTTCACGATATTGATTCTTCCTACCCATGAGCATGGAATTTTCTTCCATTTGTTTGTATCCTCTTTTATTTCATTGAGCAGTGGTTTGCAGTTCTCCCTGAAGAGGTCCTTCTCATCCCTTGTAAGTTGGATTCCTAGCTATTTTACTCTCTTTGAAGCAATTGTGAATGGGAGTTCACTCATCATTTGGCTCTCTGTTTGTCTGTTATTGCTGTATAAGAATGCTTGTGATTTTTGCATATTGATTTTGTATCCTGATACTTTGCTGAAGTTGACTATCAGCTTAAGGAGATTTTGGGCTGAGACGATGGGGTTTTCTAGATATACAATCATGTCATCTGCAAACAGGGACAATTTGACTTCCTCTTTTCCTAATTGAATACCCTTTATTTCCTTCTCCTGCCTGATTGCCCTGGCCAGAACTTCCAACACTATGCTGAATAGGAGTGGTGAGAGAGGGCATCCCTGTCTCGTGCCAGTTTTCAAAGGGAATGCTTCCAGTTTTTGCCCATTCAGTATGATATTGGCTGTGGGTTTGTCATAGATAGCTCTTATTATTTTGAGATATGTCCCATCGATACCTAATTTATTGAGAGCTTTTAGCATGAAGTGTTGTTGAATTTTGTCAAAGGACTTTTCTGCATCTATTGAGATAATCACGTGGTTTTTGTCTTTGGTTCTGTTTATATGCTGGATTACGTTTATTGATTTTCGTATGTTGAACCAGCCTTGCATCCCAGGGATGAAGCCCACTTGATCATGGTGGATCAGCTTTTTGATGTGCTGCTGGATTCGGTTTGCCAGTATTTTATTGAGGATTTTTGCATTGATGTTCATCAAGGATATTGGTCTAAAATTCTCTTTTTTGGTTGTGTCTCTGCCAGGCTTTGGTATCAGGATGATGCTGGCCTCATAAAATGAGTTAGGGAGGATTCCCTCTTTTTCTTTTGACTGGAATAGTTTCAGAAGGAATGGTACCAGCTCCTCCTTGTACCTCTGGCAGAATTTGGCTGTGAATCCATCTGGTCCTGGACTTTTTTTGGTTGGTAAGCTATTAATTATTGCCTCAATTTCAGAGCCTGTTATTGGTCTATTCAGAGATTCAACTTCTTCCTGGTTTAGTCTTGGGAGGGTGTATGTGTCCAGAAATTTATCCATTTCTTCTAGATTTTCTAGTTTATTTGTGTAGAGGTGTTTATAGTATTCTCTGATGGTAGTTTGTATTTCTGTGGGATTGGTGTTGATATTCCCATTATCATCTTTTATTGTGTCTACTTGATTCTTCTCTCTTTACTTCTTTATTAGTCTTGCTAGTGGTCTATCCATTTTGTTGATCTTTTCAAAAAACCAGCTCCTGGATTCATTGATTTTTTGAAGGGTTTTTTGTGTCTCTATTTCCTTCAGTTCTGCTCTGATCTTAGTTATTTCTTGCCTTCTGCTAGCTTCTGAATGTGTTTGCTCTTGCTTCTCTAGTTCTTTTAATTGTGATGTTAGGGTGTCCATTTTAGATCTTTCCTGCTTTCTCTTGTGGGCATTTAGTGCTATAAATTTCCCTCTCCACACTGCTTTGAATGTGTCCCAGAGATTCTGGTATGTTGTGTCTTTTTTCTCGTTGGTTTCAAAGAACATCTTTATTTCTGCCTTCATTTCGCTATGTACCCAGTAGTCATTTAGGAGCAGGTTGTTCAGTTTCCATGTAGTTGAGCGGTTTTGAGTGAGTTTCTTAGTCCTTTTTAAAGGATACAAATGAACAGCCAAACGGAGAGATACACAGGGCAAGGTGTAGAAGGGTCCTGTTTATGGAGGTTTCTGTCCTCATGGAATAGGGGTGTGCCTCCCTCACCCAGCACACAGATGTACTTATTACCCAGAAGCTCTCTGAACCCCCAGGGTGGAGTAGGGATAGATTTAAAGGAACAGCTAATTTATCCTATAAAATCATAACCAACATTTTCATATTCTTGTACTAATTTGTGCATTCTATTGCTATTTGTGTCTTGTAATAAGCTTTGCAGAACTATTTAGCAGAAAAATCAGCTGATGGTTAGCTAAATCCAATTTCTCTTCAAGTCAGTTATTTTCCATAAGTATTACATCCTGGAGAGACTTTAACTCAATCTCCCATTACATTGAGTCACCAATATCAGTAGTATCATAAGATTTATTTATACCAGGTAATTGAATCTTACTTACAGCACCAGTATGACACCATATCACCGTATGGTCATGGGACAACTCAGTTTCATAAAAGAACAAATAAGTAAGAATTACAGAGGAATTTGTCTTGTCTTCCCAACAGAATCTACTCTTGTCCATTTGTCAGATATTATTAAGGAAGGGCATTATTACAGTTGGCCATGGTTTAGTTATATCTGGGTTTCTAGTTAATTGAGGACAAAAAGAACCACCCCACCTCATCTCACAGGCTTGTACTGAGGCTGGTTTCCATTGTGTATTATTAGATAGCAAGGCCCACCTCCTTCTTGCAGGGAGGACACAGGTGGTATTCAGAGTGGTTCCCATTTCTACCAACTGTACTGCAGGATGTATTTCATTTTGATCTATGCTGTGGGTGAGAGCATTCATAGTCTATCAGTGTAAAACTACAAGTGCCCTCAGAGAACTTCCATAAGTTTGGAAGGCCATCAGACTCCCATGGGTGGGTCTCTTGGACCTCAGCAGCCAGAATAGCAGGTCACTGCCCCATGGCCACTTCAGCTTCCATCTGTATTAAAATAGTCAAGAGGTCCTATTGGGTCAGGGTACAAGCCCTTTCCCCTGGGCTGGGTGTTAGCAGTGCCCAGCATTGTTTGTTGAGTTGGCCTGATCCACTTCGCTAAAGCCTCATTATCTTTCCGCCCCGACTCCATCCTTTGCCTTCCTCCTTGAAGAGAATTTCCTCTATTCTGTCTCTTCTAGTTAATAAATCTTTTTCCTCCGAATGCTGCTCCACATTAAGAGTAAACTCAGCTTGTCCCAGGATACCTAGACCTGCACCTATCTCTCCTGAGGCCCTTTTCTGTCTTAGGAGCCAGTGTTGTTTAATCTACCATGCATATCATTGGTATTGCGTACTAATGGCGCGAATGCAGTTAGGATAAATGTTTTGCAAAAAATTTTGGGTCCCCACACTAGAGTTAGATGATTGGTGTTTACAGGTAGATGTAATTTAATTTGAGTGTGCCATAAGGCCTCTCACAGCCTTCCTTATTTCGAGTGGGGTCATTCCCCAGGGGAACTTGGATCTACAATGTGATGCCAACTTCTTTAATCCTACCAGAGGCCCATTGTTTTTCCCTATACTGCTTAATAGCTTTCTGTCCACAAAAACAAGAGTGGTATGTATTTATGCATAGCCTAAATGCATGCTATGTTGGGCATGCTACCATCATATTTTTTCTATCATAACCAAGGACCTTTCTAAGCATTTGACCATCAGGTTTTGTAGGTTTTGTGGTTACCATAGTGATCAGTCTGTTGAGAGCCATACACCACATAGATTGAAGTCTCAGTAGAAAGCAGTCCTCAAAACTTCCTCCCCAAAAGATATCCTTTGTAGTTGATGTAGCCTAAAATATAGAAGTCAAAAGATACCACTGATACGTTACTAGAGTCCCATTTGGTCATTAACAGTCTAATTCATCATCATACCATATGACCAGAATGGCTCCCAGAACTATGCCTTTCAGGTTTGCAGGCTGTCGTTCAACCTTGAAAGGTTCCAAAAGCAGGGGTGGTCTCAGCAAACATACAGCTTCACCGTTCCAAACATCTGTTCATAATTGTGCTAAGAAATAATATCCTGATCTGAGTCTCTCCTGAGGTATTAAGACAATGTTGCATTTCCCTTGTTGCATACCTCATGTATGCACTGTATTCCTTTACCCCCGGCTACTATTACTCCTTCTCTCCATTTGTCATTTATTCTGACCCAGAGTTTTCCATCTTTGGGAGGGCCATTGCTGACAGTGATGCTAGTCTAACAAATGCCTCCCTTTCAGTCCATTTCCATTCAGATAGGGTCAGGTTACCTGGGTACAGAACTGTCCTATCGGGGATGTCAGGGCTAGCCCAATCCCTAGGCAACACAGCAATATTCACAGATGTGAATTCACACTATCAGGCCCTTAGGACTTCTGGCATAGATGTTTAAAAGTTAGTTACACTTTCTTGCCTAGAAATCATCCTTGCTTACGAGGATGTACACAGTCACATCCCTGGTCCTAGGACCCTTGGCATCAGGCAGTGCTCCAGTGCTTCTTACTGGGACAAAAAAAAAGTGAGATTATATGGGAAAAATCATATAACCACACTGGCAGCAGGAGGGAGATTTCCACCCCTGCTTTGCCAGATCCCCCAGAAAAGTGAGAAATCTATCCAGGGGGAGCCTTCCTTTATCCTCCCCCATGTTGAGTGTGAGCACACACTCATGAAGGCAAGTCCCTCATGCCTTTGTCTTCTCTTGTTTTAGGTGGTAAATATTTCAATTGCCTGTTCCAATTCTCTATTAAACGATTACCCTGAGGATGATATGCAACATAATATGTCCATTTGATGTAGTATTTCTTTGCTCACTGTTGGACACTATGGGTTGTAAAGTGCATCCTTGGGCTAAAGAAATGTAGCTTGATGAGCCAAATTGGAACAGTATTGTCTGTTCCAATCTTTAAATAGTATTTTCAGCATTTGCATTTACTACCAGTCCAGAGTAAGTGTCTATTCCTGCTGGGACCCATTTGTAGCTCCCAGGGGCTACTGGCATTGGTCTAATATAATCCACTTACCAGCTATGTGTGGGGCCTTCCCCATGTAGAATCTTCTCTGTAGCCATCTGCAATCTCTATCTCTCCTGTTGACAGATGAAACAGTTCTTGGTGACATTCTGTGCTTCAGAGAGTGAAGAGGAATATGTCTACATTCAGTCCATTTCTGCATGGCTGTAACCCCCACACCATGTTCACTTATTTCATGGACCCAGCTCACCACCTCATGGGAGAGCATCAATAAGTCTATATGATGGTTTAAGTCACCTCCTGAACCTGTAAGTAGTTCTTCAATGCTCCCCTTAATTTCCCATAGTAATTTCCATAAGGCCACACCACATAAGACCATCCCTTCAATAGCCCAGTTTTCCATTGTCCATCTATCTGACCACATAGCCAGACCATTGGCTATTGCCCATGAGTTTATAAAAACCCAAACATAAGGGCTTTTACCATTGTTAAACTCTTCCATCACTGCTAAAAAAAAAAAAAACCGGCATGTAATTCAACCCATTAAGCCAATTTGTTCTTAATTTCTTAAACTAGTTTTTGTATCTTCTGGTCTTAATACAGCATATCTCCAGACAACATAATGTCCATCCATCTTGGAACTGCCATCCATAAACCCAGCAGTTCTTTGTCAGCCCATCAAGAGCTGTTCATAGGGCACTTCCACATGGCAATAGAGTCTGGCAGTTCTTCCAGTGATTCTGAAGTCAGTCCTAGGGGACCTGAGGCTAGCTACTTATGGATACAGTAGGTGCCTCCTTGCATTCCACCAGTAGCATGCTTCTGTATAAACCATTTCCACTTTATCATGGAGCTCTTCTGGGCACTGCCTTTCTTATTAGAGTGTTTCTCTGACATCACCCAAGACATTATCAGTATCTCAGGTTTCATGATTATTTTATGTCCTTCAGTCATTGAGGTCGTCTCAATTAAAGCCCAACAGCAAGCTAGTAATTGCCTCTCGAATGATGTGTATGGGGCGGCAGCATCTGGAATCCCAGGTGCTCAGGCTTTTACCATAAGCTGCAGTTTGCATGAGCACTGGTAGCAGACACTTCCAAAATCATCTGAATGGAGATCATAATGGCCCAGAGGCATTGAGAGAGCTATTGATTTTTGTAATTCAGACATGGTCTGCTTTTGTTCAGGTCCCCACTCAAAATGGTTTTCTTTCAGGTAGTCTTATGTATAGAAGCTAGCAATATTTTCAGATGTAGAATATGCATTCTCTAAACTCCAAATACAACAACCAAATGCTAGATGTCTTGTTTGGTCTTGGGGGTGATTAACAACAGCAGTTTATTTGTAGTCACTTGTGGAACTGGGTGGCTCCTGCCTATGTTATTCCTAAGAATTTTACCATGTGGGCAAGTCCTTGGATGTTTGCTGAATTTACTGATCAGCCTTGGTTGGTCATGTGAGTCATCGCTGCATTCAACTCAGTCTTAACCTGGCTCTTTAGTTTCCAATATTATCATCTCATCATCAATATAGTGTATTATTACACTTGAGACCTACATCAAATCCAAATCCCTTCTGACCAAATTATGACAGTAAACCAGTGAGTTCAGATGACCCTATGGTAGCATAGTATACATAAACTGGGATCCTTCCCATATAAGAGCAAACAGTGTTTGGCACTTTCTGAGACTGAGAGAAGAATGTTTGCAAGGTCGATCACTGAGTAGCAGTCTTTTTGTATGATTGAAATCATGACTAAAATTACTGAGGCTATAAAATTGTACTGAGGTACAAATTTATGTATTTAAGCCTCAATAATCTACTGTTTGTTCTCCATGAGCCATCCTCCTTTTCCACACAGGGCTGTTGTTCAAAAAATTCTTTTGTATCAGCACTCCTGCATCTAGCATGTCATTAATTAAAGTGTGAATGTCCTTTTGCCCCCCACCCCCCCACCCCCCTCTGCTGCTGTCAGGTACTCCATATTGTTTTAAATTAACCACCTGTGTGGATTCAGGCAGTTCTAATGGTTCTCATTTAGCACATTCAAAGAAAACTGGCCTGAGGGAAGACTTACATAACTTCTAATAACAATATTAGGTAGGGGAAGCAATCCGCAGTCAGACATAATATCCATCCCAATAATACATTCAGGTAAAGGTGACACAACCAACTCACATAAAGCTTTTTCAAGAATTCCAATTGTCCTCCAAACTTCCATGTTAACCCCACCAACCACTGAAGCTCCATATACTCCCCCAATCTTAACTTTAACTCCTGTTAAGTCTTCACCAACAGCTTTTGGAATTACAATGCATTGACCTCCTATACCAAGGAGTCCCAGAAAAGTCTCTTCTCCTTCCACTGACCATTTTATCTACACATGTGCATATGTCCTTGGGACCCCTGCCAGCCTGAGGTCTGGCCAGGAGACCCTGGCCCCTCATCAATCTTGATTAACCTGCTTAACCGTCACCCCAACCAGTTCTGAGTAATCTCTGACTTTTTAAGTTTCTCCAAACTGGGGTAAATGGAGAAAACTTGTTGGAGCCTTTCAATGTTGGGAGACAAACAGAAAGTCCCATTGGTTCATCTAACCTTCAATAGTGCTGCATTAATACTTTTGTTTCAACACCATCAATATCCACAACATTCATCCAGTTTCTCAATAACCATCTAAAGACTCCTACCCTGCTGGGACAAGTCCATGACTCTCTTCTTTGTCTCTCTCATTTTTTTTTTTTATTTACTATAATGTCCTTGATCAGTAAGACCCACAGGGGAAGCTGAGACAGCAAATCTGGTAAGGCTTTTCAAGCTATTGTTCCATTTTGCAGAAGTACACATGGGGTGCCCATGGAAAAGGAACTCCTTTAATCACAACATTTTCCATAACCTCATAATGGGCATGTAATTGGCAAAAGGGTCTGGCTGCTTGTAGCTTGTAAAAAGAAGCCAATATAACAAGAGTGAAGTGTGACAAAAAGAGAGTGAGATTTTATTATCCATGCTAGGAAGGGGAAGAAGGGGTGTAATACTTTCCAAAAATCTCCACTCTTCAATTTGTGAAGAGAACACGGGGGTTGGTTTTAAAGAGAAGGTTTGGAATGCAGAAGAGGCAGGGGGCCTAGGAGGTATCAGGTGGCATGACCAATATGATGGCTTGTCTTAAGTTATTGTTCCATCTGGTGAAACGTCTGGTGCCATTGTGGCTGGAGGTGTCTGGTCCATATCAGGATCCAGCCCCTGAAGCTTCTAAGGAAACATATGACCAGATAAGTGAGTATGGTGTGTGCTTAACAAGCATATAGGTAAATAAACGTGCATCAGACATGGTAGCATAGAACAGGAAAAGAAAAGGAGTGGATGTTCACAGCACATTCCAAGGCTGTATTTCAAGATGACAGGTAACACATATACAATTTGTCTCAAAGTTATATCTTGAGATTGGAGAGAAAGGAGGACAGAAAGCAAAGTTTTAAAATGCTATTTGAAGCCAAGCTGCTCAGTTACAGGCATATTCAGCAAACGAATAGCCACTCCTCATAAAGCTTGCATATGAAGCCTATCAGCTGCATCATCTGAGATGTTCCACTTGGGATTTATGGGGGAGTTACAATCCCACTTTTAGGATAAACACACTTTATAGCCATACTGTATAGGAATAACTCCCTGTGTAGAGGGATTGTTCAATAGTGACCTGTGGATCCTGAATCAACTCAAGCATGTGCTTCCACTCTGTAGCATTCAAAACAAAAGACACAGCCCCCAAATTAGCTACTCTCACAATCCACGTTAGTAAAGGTTCTTCAGGGAGCTGATGGTATCAATCCACAAGATGAGATAACTTCTTCATGCAATACCCCCAGGTTTCAGTAGTCTCTTGGCTTGTCCCTTTCCCCAAGCTGACTGCCCTCTTGGTGACCAGAGATACTTTCTGTTGTCCCTGCTTAATTTTTCCCTTTGCAAGCATCTTTGAGGCTAATAGCTGAAGCTCATTCAAACCAAAACTGAGCTTTGTGCAGGACCCAAAGTCCAGCTCTGTACTTTCTTTCATTTTTTGCTGTTATAAATAACAATAACCAAAGGATTGTATGTTTAGTATGTTTCTTATTGTTTTGCATTTCCTCATGTATCCAATAAGCCAACTCCTCAGAAGTTGGGTCTAGCACCATTTCTAAATGCCACTGGTAAGCCTGATCGATTAACTCAGACTCTAGCTCCTCTCCCCTCTTCAGAGGACGAGATGTGGAGCTAAAAGTTCCAAGCTTCTAAGCATGCCTTGGTTTTTCTGGTGACCAGTACCCACCCAGGAGCCCACCAAGAGTCAGCTCACTAGAAC
The DNA here is from genome assembly GCF_000001405.40 of Homo sapiens. Taxonomy (NCBI): domain Eukaryota; kingdom Metazoa; phylum Chordata; class Mammalia; order Primates; family Hominidae; genus Homo; species Homo sapiens. Next base: position 31,434,861 of record NC_000008.11, on the reverse strand, counting down.
AAAAGAGGCTCCTATCACCTGGGAAATTCCAAGGGATTTAGGAGCTTTGTGTCAGATGCTCCTATCACTATGGTTATTACAAAGGTCTTAGAAACCCTGTGTACGGAACTGGGGTCTAAGACCAAATATTAGAACAAAAGATTCTCCTGGCACCTCTCTTTACAAAAGTTTTGAAACTTCTGTGTTAAAAACTGTGAGTGGAGGCCAGGTGCAGTGGCTCACACCTGTAATCCCAGCACTTTGGGAGGCCGAGGTGGGGGGATCATCGAGGTCAGGTGATCAAGACCAGCCTGGCCAACATGGCAAAACCACATCTCTACTAAAAATACAAAAATTAGCTGGACATGGTGGTGGGAGCCTGTAAACCCAGCTACTCAGGAGGCTGAGGCAGGAGTATCACTTGAACTCAAGAGGCAGAGGTTGCAGTGAGCCAAGATCACGCCACTGCACTCCAGCCTGAGTGACAGAGTGAGACTCCATCTCAAAAAAAAAAGAAAAAAAAAAAAACTGTGGATGGAGACCTATATATATTGTTTATTTGTTTGTTTGTTTGTTTGTTTTTGAGACAGAATCTTGCTGTGTCACCCAGGCTGGAGTAGTGGCACAATCTCGGCTCACTGTAACCTCTGCCTCTCCTGAGTAGCTGGGACTACAGGCGTGTGCCACCATGCCTGGCTAATTTTTGTATTTTTAGTAGAGATAGGGTTTCGCCATGTTGGCCAGGCTGGCCTCGAACTCCTGACTGCAAGTAATCTGCTCACCTCGGCCTCCCAAAGTGCTAGGATTACAGGTGTGAGCCACCGTGCATGGCTATATATATATAATATATATATTTCTTTTTTCACAGCTTCGTTACCGTGTGGTGGCTCAGTTTCCAGGGAACCGCATCCTAAGAAAGAGCCAGAGAAGTATCTTACGGTCTTTTATGTCCCAGCATCACTTTCAGAACCACATTTTTGCCTCAAGGCAGTAAGAAAGCCCTACCCAGATAAAATCTACCTTTTCATGGGGAGTGACAAGGTTCTGGAAGAGCAGATGGGGCTGGAAATACTTCTGTGGTCATTTTTATAATTTACAATCTGTCCCTGTTTCTTCTAAAATATTTTATAAGCATTTAATTGAAAACCACCAGCCTCCTTCACCCCAGAGCCAAGCCAGGCAGGGAATCTCTCTGGAGGCTACATACTGGGAGAAAACAGTTTTTGAGACACATACATCTGTGTCATGAGAACTTCCCTCTGCAGGTCTCAGCATCCACCTTTTCTAACAGTTAGCTAGTCTAAAACTCAGCATGCAGACTAACGCTTAAGAGCAAGGCTGAATAACTGCAACTGCTGTTCAGGAAGTTGAGAGCTAACTGAGCAATTGCCATATAGAACTGCTCACTGCTGTGCAAGGTAACAGCAACTCATACATCATCAAGAGATTTATTAGTGTTTTGGGTGTCAGTAAGAAATCAGGATTCCCTATCATTGACCATTGGCTTTTTCTGCTCAGATTCCTTTCTGTAGGTTTAATGCTCATTAGCCTTTTGTTTTGTTTTGTTTTGTTTTGTTTTGTTTTGTTTTGTTTTAGAGATAGGGTCTTGCTCTGTTACTCAAGCTAGAGTGCAGTGGCATAATCACAGCCCACAGAAGCCTCACCCTCCTGGGATCAAGTGATCCTCTCAACTTAACCTCCTGACTAACTGAGATGACAGGCGCATGCCACCATGCCCTACTAATATATTTTTTTTAATTTATTGTAGAGATCGGGTCTTGCCATGTTGCCTTGGCTAGTCTTGAACTTCTGGCCTCAAGTGATCCTTCGATGCTGGCCTCCCAAATTGCTGGGATTACAGGCCGAGCAACCATGCCTGGCCCTGACAAGCTTTTCTATTGGTTAAACTAGTATGTCCAAGGTCTTTATGCAGAGAGTGTTTTGAGAGACAAAACATTGAGATTTGCCTTTTAGCTGATTGGCTTGAACTTGGCACTCTCTCATGCAATGATGATTGGATTTCTGTATTCTATATTCATAGAACTGATCTTTGAGTTACAGTTTAGGTCTCTGAATTGGCCCCAATAAATAGCACCCTTCTTCCCAAATAAGCTTCTGAAAAATTTGAAAAATAAACATAAAAGATTAAAGATAGAAACTAAAAGATCAATATTTACAAAGATACAGCTGGGTAGGAAGGCACATTCAATGAATCCCAGCATTAGGCCCACTTCTGAGCCAGTCACAGGCAGTAGTGGACAAGACAGCAGGCCCATTCTCATGGGCGAAAGGAACATAGGGAACATTTCCCCTCCAAGGGCAGCCTTCCTCCTAAAAGGAAGATGAGCAAGAAGAAGTGGAGTGCACACAATTAATCTAATCACTAATCACAATTAATCTAACTAGCAAATTGGTGTTATTTCATACGTATCACCAGGACAAATGAGGTAAGGGGCAGAGTTACCCTAATTGAACTCTTTATACTAGAAAAAAAAGCAAAAAAACAACACAAAGCTTCAGAATGGGGAAGGAACCATGCCCCTCTACCTGTTATGAGAGAAATCCCATGCTATAAAAGCTACCTATAATAAAACACACACACACACGCACACGCACACACACAAAGCTTCAATTTTCCCTGCCTATTTACAAATATCGTTCAATATATCTAATAAGATAATGAGACCAAACATTAAAGTAGCAAGCATAAATATGTTCTCTGTCTTGTTAGTTGTCACTTGTTTTGACCCAAAACTGGGATAGCCATTCTTGCCACTGCCTTGAACCTCCTCTCAACACGCTTTTATTCTAGGGCTTTTCCATTTTTTCTCGTGAGTTTTAAATGCTCAGTAATAAAAACAAAAAAGGCTTTCTTCTGACTGCAAAACTGTGAAAGCTGTGGGGTTTCACAATCTCTCACAGCCTGATGAAGCACTGAAAGAGCAGCATACATTTTCCAAAACACTCACAAGAGAATTTGCTATGTTCTATTTGCAGTTGAATTGTGACATACAAACCCCTTCCTAAACTTTGCAAGCCCAGACCTAATGGAGTGAAACACATGGAAAATGGGTAGGAAAAACAACCAATTTCACTGCCCTCCAAACCAATCCTTTTTCCCCTAAGCAATTGAAATAAACATTTGGAAACTTTGTGGTATAATAAACACTTTCCAAAGATTACTTGGAAAGCTGGGATATGGGCAGATACAGTGTAGTTTGTCATGCAAAGTACTGTTTGGCAAACTCTCGCTACTGGGTAACAATGCAGCCAGAAGTTGTTATATGGTTGAATAGTCAGTGATTCATTCACCAAAAGATAGATCAAAATTTGCCCAGCCATGTAAGATTCTAAATGTAGCTCTTGAAAGATCATAGCTTTTAAAGAAGATGAAGGGAAAGATATAAGGAAATAAGCTATTTCCATGGTCCTAGATGAGCTTGAGTGTTCCCATTATTTTCAAGGAGACCAAGTTGTTGTTGCTGTTTATGTATTTGTGATGTCAAAGAATACCAGAGATGGCAGGAGTTAAATCGTGACAAATATATTTTACTCAGGAATTATTGCAACAGGAGAAAAGAGACCTGACTATAGAACTGGGCTCAATTCAGAATACAAGGAAAAGTGGGGATTTACAGCCAAGGAGCAGGGCAGGGATCAGTGGATGCAAAATTACTAACAGGAAACATCAGACAGGATTCTGACCAAACCAACTTGGCAAGATTCTTGCTGAGAGCAGGCTAAGGTGATCAGATATTACCTGGGGGATGATGAGAGATGAGGAATTTAATTGAAGAATGAGGGTGACTAAGTATCAAGAGTTGGAGTTCTGGCTAAACTGACTTTAAGCAGGATTCTTGCTACAACTGGAATCCACAAGAATAGGCACCAAAGCCCAAGGTTGAGACCACAAAGGCTGAATGCAGCCTGATTAGAGTCAGGACAAGGAAAGAACCTTGGTCAGTGTCATAACAGTAAGTAATATTTCATAGGGAACATGATTTAGCAAAAGCTTCAAGGTGGCAAGACCCCATCTGTCTTGTCCATTTTGTGTTCCCAAACTAGGTACCAAGTGTGATACAAAATAGGTGTTCAATAAATATATTTCCCCATCTATTTCTTTATTTTAAAATATTTAATTGATAAAGATTGAATACGTTCAAGGTGTACAAAACAATGATTTGATGTACATATACGTTGTGAATGGTTACCATAATCAACTTAATTAGTACATCCATCACCACTCATATGGTATATTAGATCCCCAGAAGTTGTTCTTATAACAGAAAGCGTGAACCCTTTGACCAACAGCTCTCCAATTCCCTCTAAACCATCCTGCTACCCAGTGCCTGACAAGCACCACTGTAATTCTCTCCGTCTACAAATTCACCTTCTTTAGATTCTACCATATAAGACAGACCACATGCTATTTGTTTTTCTGTGTCTGGATTATTTCACTTAGCATAATTGTTAAAGACCTACATCACCTGCCCCTTGCCACTTCCTTTCCCCACCTGTCCTCCCTTGCACACTCTGCTTTAGTGGCATTTTTATCAGCCTGCTGCTACTCAAGCATGACAAGCACATCCCAATTCAAGGTCTTCATACTTATTCTGCATGCAGATACCCACGTGGCTCATTCCCTCAATCTATTCTGGTCCAAAAGACCACCAGGAGGGCTAAATAGTAGAAAGGAGAGCTTTATTGGCATTATCAGGTTGCAAAACAGGAAGAGTCCCTGGTGTGGGTTGAAGGTGCTCTTGCTTCAAGGAGGGAAAGGGCAGGTTGGGTTTTATGCCACACAGGGTACATATTACTCAATAGAGTCATACATATTCAGCAGGTTTTGGAGAAAAGCTATGCATATTTACAAGTGGAGCCGAGCAGATGTGCAATGGATAAACATATATGTAATATACGTCCCATGTTCACTTTGGGCAGGGTTTTAGTATTAAAATAGAATGGAATTTGGCTGTTTATGTCGAAATGTTGTAGGACATTTTCCTTAGTTCAGCTAAGAGCCGGGTTCTTGTCACATGACCATCAGAGATTAGGCTCGCGGACACTTTGAAGGGTGAGAAAAAATGAAATTTATTGGGCAAAAAGGGGGAAAAAGGGACCCTTCTCAAAGCCAGAGTCCTGCTAGCGTGCTTGCTGCCCCGCAGGCTGAATCCCAGGTTCCACCCAGGAAGAGGGGGTCCAGGCTCCTCCCCACTGGAAACGGGGCAAACTTCCCAAGACTCCACCCGAGTGCGCGTTGCTCCCAGCGCACAGGTCTGTTGGAAGTTCTGCCAGGGAGTCCTTCCCACCTGGGCATCTCAAAAAGGTGAACTACAGGACATGGAGACAGTTTGTGCACAGCCTCTATATCTGGCTGAAGCTGGCTTAAGGTCTACATTTGCTTATCAGGAAAGAATGTTTGTAAGGCCGGTCCTCAGTCCAGTCAGAGTTGTAGTGGTCTGGGTTGTAAATCAGAGTTAGGAGGAGCCTGATAGCTCCTACTTTTAGGGAATTTAGCAAGATTGTGTTTTTTTCTTGTAGCCTTAGAATTTGGAAATTTGTCATATTAGCTGATTTCTGAAAATCGAACTTTATCAATTAAGATGGACCCTAAGGTTAAGAAAACAAAAGTTACCTTAACCGTAGGGTCCATCTTAGTTGATAAAGGAGCATCTATTAAATAATATTTTGGTCTCTCAGATCACACCATTCAGATCTCTACTTCTCAGAGTCAGCCCTAAACAGCCCAGCTAAAAGATCCAGGCCTTCCCACCCACCAAACTACTCTCTACCCCTTTGTCCTGCTCCATTCTTAGTAGCATTGATCATTCTCTACATTATTACATAGCTTTTCATTTTTCATCAACATCCCACCCTATAACGTGAGCTTCAGGAGCACAGAGACTTTAATTTTCTCCCTGAAGAGCCCTTAGAAACAAAAACAATATTAGTTAAATAATTTAGTGGATAAACCTTGTGTATCACCATAGTTCAGGGGCACTCTTTAAACTGCATGTAGTTGGATTATATTCTTTCATCCAATGAAAGAATCTCTACTGACGGTATGTTTAGTCAATTGACATTTATGGCACTATTGATAAATTTTGATTTATTTCTACCATCTTATTTTATTTTTTAACCATGTAATTTCTTTGCTTCCCTTTTTCTTTTTCCTTAACATTTTGCATGTATTAAACTTTAAAATCTTCTTTGTTTTCCCCCATTTATTTGAATGTTTAAAGTCTCTGGTTTATTTTTTTCTTTCTAGATTTTATTCATTTAAAGTCTTTTTTAATATTACAAAGAGATACATGATTATTTTATTAAATAACGTAACACAATCCAGGTGTGGTGACACACGCCTATAATACTAACATTTTGGGAGGCCAAGGTGGGTGGATCGCTTGAGTTCAGGAGTTTGAGACCAGCCTGGACAACATGGCAAAACCCTGTCTCTATAAAATAAGAAGAAGAATAATGTAATACAATACAAAGACATGGTGATGAGCAGAATTCTGAGATGTCCCAAAACCCCCAACCCCTGCTTAATCGCTCCCTGTGGCCACAGATAGGACCTGTAACCATTAAGGGTTAGTCACTCCTTTGATTAGGTTGTGTTAAGTGACAAAGGTAGTAGGATGGTTACTCTAGTGATTATTCAACATTATATAAGAGTCTGTCTTGGCAGACTGGAGAAAGATCATCCTGCCTGCTCAGAAAAGGAAGCTGCCAGGTTTTGAGAAATCCACACAACTAGGACCTGAGAAAAGCCCCAAAGAGCTCAGAGTAAACTTCAGCCCATATATCCAGCAAGAAAATGGAAAATTTAATTCCACAACCACAAGCAATTAAATTCTGCCAATCTGGATGAACCTGGAAAAAAGCCCTGAGCTCTGGATAAGAATGCAGCAGACTGACACCCTGATTTTGGCTTTGTGAGGCCCTGAGCAGAGAGTCAAGATAGGCCATGTCCGGGCTTCTGAACTACAGAATTGTGAGCTAACAAAGGGGTGTTGTTTTAAGCCACTAAGTCTGCAGTAGCCTATTACACAACAATAATAACTGATACAGATATCTACATAGGTTTTGGCCTGAGCAAATGGATAGATGGAGCAATGATTAGCCAAGATGGGGAAGAGTGCAGGAGATGGCCTGGTGCACATTTTCTCATCTAATGGGGGAGATAAAAGGGAACTTAGGAGAGATGACATAGAATCCTCATGGAACTGGAGGAAACAATGAGGAACAATCAAGTCTCTATTGTAGAATTCTACCCATAAAAGCTTTCAGAAAGACTCTCGTCTAAGTCTTTCTTCACTGCTCACTCAAAAATTGATTCGCAACTAAATAATGGATGTGTTTTCTCAAGCAAATGGAAATGTACTTAAATGGAATGTAGAATTGATGCTGCTTTTTTCTTAATCCTGAAGCAAATATACTTCTCCTTCCACAGAATTAGTTTCCTCTAATATGCTCTCAGTAAGGATCTTTTTGTATTTTAGAAAACCTAAGCTTGTTGTATGCTGCTAACACTTGATGGCAACCAACCTAATATTGGCCAAAGGATAAATGCTTCCTATCAGTGGTCTCAGAATTATCTACAGGTTCAAACGGTGGCTTTCTCATCCTACCAGACACAAATCTACACTCCTGTAATCTTCCTGAAATGACAGATCACTACTCCTACCCAAAATATATTGAAAATATCCTTCACTATCCATTTACAGCCATCAAAAGACAGCTGCTCATCTGGTATTGTGTAATACAGAATTTAATCTTGCCCAAAGAGAGGTCTGACCTTTGTCCTTGGATCCTGGGAGACAATCTCTGAACCCTTAGAATGTTCTGCCTGACAGGACTGTCTTAGTTTAGCTAAGAGCCTTGGGCCATCCCAGATCTTCTAGCAATGGGATTTATGGTAGAAGTTTTGGGTTACACAGTATCAGCTCTGCCTCCAGAGGGGCTGGAGATTGAGTTAGCCAACCATTCTATGTGTCTGAAACCCAACTGAAAACTCTGGTCACCACAGCTCAGTGTTAAATAGTGCCATGTGACAACAGACACATAGTTGGCAATACTAACTGAGTATTGTTACACATCATTCCAGGTGCAGTTAACACTGGGAGAGGACGACTAGATGCTCAACGTTTTGAATTCTCCTATTCTCTGCCCCATGCATCTCTTCCTTTGGCTGATTTTGGTATATATTCTTTTGCTGCAATAAACTGTAACCATGAGGACAATGGCTGTTAGTGAGTTCTGTGAGTGAGTCTAGCAAATTATCAAGCCCGAGAGTAGCCTCATAGACACTCATTCTTACAGCTGGTGTCAGAGGTGAGGGTGGTCGTGGGAACCCCCAAACTTGCAGTTGGTGTCAGAAGTGATTTCGTGGACAGTTTTACCAACTGCAAGTATGAAAACATAAACCACAAATTATAAGCAGAGAAAATCATTTATAAGGAAGAGTAAATGAATAATATTATCTGGGAATACTCCCTTGGGAGGGATCAAAAGCTCTTTCTATTTTCATTTAGAACTAATCTTGTAAAGAAATCAGGCTTTGACTAAGCCTATAAAAACATTTAAGTCAGTTTGTATACAGTGAATTCTTATAACACTTTTTTATTTCTAAAACCTGAAATGCAAACAATTGCAAATAATAGATGAATTGATGAGGATGTAAACAACACCTTCTGAAGCTAGATATTTGACCAGAGTGTCTCAATTTCTAAAGCCCAGCCATCTGAGACACAAAAGGTAAGCTATATTTTGACTAGCTTTCTTCTTAAGAAGCAACTTGTGACACATTGTATAGTGCAAAAGAACTATTTGAGTGGATCTTTTTGCTCTTCATGTCAATTTTCCTAGTATGGTCTCCATTCCTAGTCATTATATCCCCAGAGAAGTGCATTTGTTCTTACTGTTTTCAAGATGTAGAATAAAATACCAAAGAAAAGATGCTTTCTGGGGTTTTCTAACTCCGAGGATGATTCTAAAGTCACTCAATAACCATCTTCAAAGATTCCAGCAGGGTTGAAATGTTATGGTCAGTAGAGAAAAATGGGGAGCATTGCTGAACTAAACCCACAGGCTTAGTAGGAATGTGAACCTCTCGATATTGTCAACGTAGAGTAAGATCCAAAACGCACACGATGAAAGTCTTTGATGTTCCTTTTTATGTTTCAAAACAATGAAAGGCCTAGAGCAAGAAAGGGTGCCTTTCATAAGTCAGGAGAAAAGATATGAGAAATGTGAAGAAACAATCTCAAAAGACAGAGGGGGGGAGGCAAAAATCAATGCTAACTTTGTAGTTATCTTCATTTCTGTCAGTTCTACTTCACTGTCCAACTTGCTATCTGACAGCCAAAGATAAAGGTGAAAATATTGTTTTAGCAATCCATAAATAGTGTGTGGGGGGGAATTGTACGTTTAATTAAGAACCAATACTGTGATCACAAGTATTAGTGTTTTGAACTGTTCATGGTGCCAACTGAACTCTTGGTATGAAGGAGAGGTCTACACGTGGCAATATATTTGTGAAAGCAGAACGAATATTAGTAAAAATATATAGATCTTATTTAAACCATACTATTATTCTTACTAATGATATAAACTAGATTGGACTTTGCAGATTGTTTTCCTTTATGAATATGAGTTTAAATTTCACTGTGATATCTGGGTTTTAAAATAAAAACAGGAAACTAGTTAATGAGATATAAATGAGTTCTCAAATTAAGTGATTCCAACCCAACTCCCTTCTTTCTTTGTTTTGTGTTTTGAGAAAAGGTCTTGCTCGTTTGCCCAGGTTGGAGTGCAGTGGCAGGATCTCAGTTCACTGCAGCCTCAACCTCCCAGACTCAAGCGATCCTTCTGCCTCATCCTCAGCCTCCTGAATAGCTGAGACCACAGGCATGTCCCACCACACCCGGCTAATTTTTTGTATTTTTAGTAGAGAGTGGGTCTCACTACATTGTCCAGGCTGGTCTTGAACTCCTGAGCTCAAGAGATCCTCTCACCTCAGCCTCCCTAAGTGCTGAGATTACAGGACTGAGCCACTGCATGCAACCTCCTCTTCACTTTCCAATAGCATTTTCAGCCATGATATCCAGGTGATTATTTCACTCTTTAACCCTGCCAAGTGAAAATCTTAGTGAGGTCTCAGGGTCTCAGGAAAAAACCTTAAACCCACAGCAAGTTCACAGACTAATTCTTTAAAACTAGGAACATGAGGAGTCAAAATACATGTTAAAAATACAGAATTCAGATAGATACTGCCCAAGAGGAAAAAATGATAAGCACTGATAGCCTTGAGAAATAAAGTGATCAGGAACAGATAAATCTGGGCTAAAAATGAATAAAGGGAATTTCTGGTTTAATTTTTTTTTGATGGAGTCTTGCTCTGTTGCCCAGGCTGGAGTGCAATGGCACAATCTCGGCTCACTGCCATCTCCACCTCCTGGGGTTCAAGCGATTCTCCTGCCTCAACCTCCTGAGTAACTGGGATCACAGGCGCGTGCCACCACACCTGGCTAATTTTTATATTTTTAGTAGAGACAGGGTTTCACCATGTTGGTCAGGCTGGTCTTGAACTCCTGACCTCGTGATCCACCCACCTTGGCCTCCCAAAGTGCTGGCATTACAGGCATGAGCCACCACACCCAGCCTGGTTTAAATTTTAATGCTTACCACATTTCTTACTAAAATACTGAGAAAGATATACTTATGGTAGAAATGTAAACTAATATTTTCTGGAGGACAACGTTGCATATTCCATCATGAACTTAAAATAGACTGGTCATTGGTTCCAGATATTCTACTTCTAGGAATTTTTCTAAAGAAATAATTAGAGTAGCCTGGTACAGTGGTTCATGTCTATGATTCCAACAGTTTGGGTGGTTAAGGTGGGAGGATTCCTTGATCCCAGGAGTTCAAGACAAATCTAGGCAACATAGAGAAACCCCATCTCTACAAAAAAGAAAAAAAAATTAATTAGCCAGGTATAGTGGTACACACCTATGGTCCCACCTACTCAGGAGGCTAAGGTGAGAGGATTGCTTAAGCCCAGGAGGTCAAGGCTGCAGTGAGTGGTGACTGTGCCACTTCACTCCAGTTTTGATGACAGAAAGAGACTCTGTCTCAAAAAAAAAAAAAAAAAAAGAAAAGAAATAATTAGACTGGTTTTCTAAAAAGAGTAATATGGCCAGGTGCTGTGGCTCATGCCTGTAATCCTAGCACTTTGGGAGGCCGAGGCGGGTGGATCATGAGGTCAGGAGTTCGAGACCAGCCTGGCCAATATGGTGAAACCCTGTCTCTACTAAAAATACAAAAAGTAGCTGGGTGTGGTGGCATGCACCTGTAATCCAGCTACTCAGGAGGCTGAGGCAGGAGATTCGCTTGATCCTGGGAGACAGAGGTTTCAGCGAGCCAAGATCACACCACTACACTCCAGCCTGAGCAGAAGAGTGAGACTCTGTCTCAAAAAAAAAAAAAAAAAAAGAGTAACATATACAAGAATGTACATAGCAATGTCATTATTCAAGTGAAAAATTAGAAGAAAATAATGCCAAAAAAGGAGATGTAGGCTAAATATAATATGGTACCTACATAATTGAATATGTTGGAGCAAAATGGTAATATAGTTGTAAGAGGATATTTGAATGCACGAAAACATATTCACAATACAGCCAGTGAATAAAAGCAAGTGTTTAGTAAAAGAATGTTGTGGTTGAAAACTCAGACTTTCCCACCAGACAAGCTAAGTTCAAATCCTCCATGCTTACTGGCAAGGTAGCTTTGAGAAAGTTTACAGTTCCCCGGTAGTAAAAGGGCGATAATAGTAGTACTTACTTCATTGGGTTGTTTGGAAGACTAAATGATACAATGCATGTACAGTGGTTAGAAAAGTACCCAATACATAGTAAGGGCTCAATTAATGTTAGCTACCATTCTTATCAAAAATATCACCAGGCAAGAATTTTGTTAGAAGAGGGATGGGGAACTGGCAGTGGTAAACTACAATGTGAGCATGCAGCCCAGTGAAATATTCTGAGGATTCCTTTGTTTGCAAGTACAGAAAACTTAAGTCAAATGGCTTTAAACAATAAAGATGAGAAAATGACTATCGTAACTTCAAAAAGCTAAAGATGGTATGCATTTCAGGGTTAGGTAATGCAGTGGTTTGATTCAATGGAATGCAAGGTTCAGGTATTTTTGTATCTCTAGCTCATAGAAGAGTGTCTGATGCACAATAGGTACTAAATAAATATTTTTGTATAAATTAAAGTAGGATCCCATTTTCTGCTTAAACTACCATCCTTCTACCTACCGTCGTGGTGTCAAACTTGCCGAAGCAATACTAGATGTAACATCTTTGGACTACACTATCCAGAAAGACAGAAAGGGAGAGTCTTATTTCATAACTCTCAAAGAAGAGCAATAAATTTATCCTCTGAATGAAAAGATGAAGATCTCTGACTGCAGAACATACAAGGAGTCATGAAGTTTCATAGTAGATTTATTCAAAGTGTCAAAGATCTGGACCTGTGGATTGGATTGTTTCATGTAGTCAAACTCAGTAATGTTAGCTGACATACAAGTATTGAATGTCACTGAGAATTTCACTAAGACTAGGAAGAAATTAATTTTCTGTCTTAGCTATGTATTTGAAAAGAGGTTTCAATCACCTCCAAAAGGACAAAGGTGTTACAAAGCAAACCATTCACATAGACTCTAAGAAAATGGTGAATAAAATAAAATAATGAATAGTGAATAAAATAAAATAATCAAATAGTAAAATGAATTTTAAATAACTGTTGAAAATAATGCAATAATGGCCAAGTGTGATGGCTCATGCTTACAATCCCAGCATTTTTGGAAGCCAGGGTGGGAGAATTGCTTGAGGCCGAGAGTTAAAGACCAGCTTGGACAACACAATGGGAGCCCATCTTTAACAACAACAAAACAATGAATCAGCTGGGCCTGATGGTGAGTGCCTATACTCCTAGCTACTCAGCAGGCTGGGGAGGAAGGATCACTTAAGCCAGGAGTATGACGTTTTAGTGAGCTATGATTGTACCACTACATTCTAGCCTAGGTGACAAAGTGAGACCCTGACCCTGACTCAAAAAATAAAAATTAAAAAAGAAAATACTACAATATGATTTTTGCTTCCAGCCATGATGATGTACCAGTACCAGACTAGGCTTCCGATCATAAACATCTAGAAATCTAGACAAAATATATGTAACAACTACTTTCAGACATTGAACAACAGGCAACGTAGGACTAACCAGGCAAAGAATGGCTTCTAGGAAAAACCTACAGGGAAGCTGGAAGCTGAACAACTTCCTCAGGCAGTACAGGAGGTATCTGAGTTCTGACAACCTAGAATGAAGAGTTACCACTGAACATTTGGAGCAGTCATAGAGACTCCAAAATGTGTGCACCTTAGGAGTAAGGCTTAATAGCCATGGAGTAAAGGTTACTCTGGATCCACTCAAAAGAAACTTGAAAACACATCCCAAAAGTATGAAAATGATCCAGAAAGTAAATTACCCTCCCGACACAGAAAAACTCCAAAATCTTTAAAGGAATGGAGGAAAAAATCCAGACACTCAAAAATGTCCAGCATTCAGATGAAGATTATGCCACATACAAAATGGCAGGAAAATGCTTCTGATATCCAAGAGAAATATCAGTTAATTGGAATGGACAAAGAAAACATGGAAATGATTGAATTAGCAAGCAGGGTCTTCATTAACAGTTACTGTAAATATATACAAAGACTTAAACATACACATGAAGAAAAGGAGGCTGATACGTGAATGTTCATAGCAGTTTTATTCATAATGGTTGCAAACTAGAAAAAACTCAAGAGTCCAATCAACAGGAGAATTGTCTTAGACTCCTCAGACTGATAAAACAAAATGTTATAGGTTGGGTGAAAAAAACTTAGACATTTATGTCTCCCAGTTCTGGAGGCTGGGAAGTCCAAGATCAGGGTGCCAGCATGGTCAGGCTCTTGATAAGGGTCCTCTTCCTGACTTACAGACAGCCACAGTGTGTGTTTTGGGGGTGTGGGCGGTGGAGAAAGAGAGAGAGATTGAGAGTGCTCTGCTCTCTTTCTGTTCTTAGAAGCACACTAAACCCCGCCATGGGAGCCCCATCCTCATTGTCTCATCTAAACCTAATCACCTCCCAAAGGCCTCACCTCCAAATGCCATCATAATGGGGATTAGGGATTCAGTTATGAATTCTGGGGGTACACAAACATTCAGTCAATACAAGAATGGATACACGCAGCGTGTTATACAATGGAATATTACTAAGTGACAAAAAGAAGCAAACTATTGATAGGCATAACAATACTAATAAATTTTAATAATGTTAAGCTGAGCAAAAGAAGCTAGGAAGAAAAGTACATAGCAGATGGCTCTGGTCTTATGAAATTGTTGAACAGCCAGAACTAATCTGTAATGATAGAAATCATATCCGTGGTTGCATGAGAATGATGTTGGAGTAACTGACTACAAAAAAAAGTATAGGAAACTTTTTGAGGAAGTGAAAATATTCCTTATCTTGATTGTGGTAGTGAATATATGGATATATACAAAGGGCATTGAAGTGTTCATTTAAAATGGGTGTATATTAATAAATGTAAATGATACCTCACTAAAGTTGATTTTTAAAATACTGCAATGAAAATGAAAGGAAAGATCACCTTAAAAATGTACAAGGATAACAAATATCTGAAAATGATTTGCTAAAGAAAGGAGAAATTTCCATTAGTTTGCCATACTTATTAGAATGCATGACTTCTATGAAACAGAAGCAGAAAGCCAAGATACAAAGAAAAAAAAAAGACTAAGAATAAAAGACTAATATGCATAGAAAAGAGAGAAAAAAGACTCAAGGTAGGATAATTTTCAAAAAGATAAAATCACAATAGTAGGATTTAAATGCAAATTGATTCAATGAAGCATAAGATTAAACTTGGTAAAATCTAATCAAACAGAAATAATTTGATAAATTTTTCAAAATGCAGTACAAAAAAACCAAAGTGACCAAAAAAAAAAAAAAATGGATGGTGAAGATTACGGGTAAGGAGAAAGGAAAGAGAGCTTGAACCTAAGAGTCACAGGTATTCTCAGGAAGACACTCCAACTAGAGAAGAAGCAAACATCTAGAGCTTAATTGAAAACCACACAGAAACTGTCAAGAAAGCTTAGTGTATAAAGCTTATCACAAACTCTTCAAAATCACTGAAAGATAACCCACATAAACACATATCCTGGAAAAATATATAGTATTTTCACTAAACAGATAAGCCTTTAAACACCCAGATTTTTTTTTAAGTTTAACAACAAAATAAATAAAAATCAGACTCTTGATAAACTCTAAAATGCTAAAAAGACAAAAAAAATACATTTATGCTTTTAAGGAAAAATATCATGTCCCTCAAATTCTGATATCAGCTAAATGGCAAATTTGTATGAATAAACAGAAAGATATTTCAAAATATGTACTACACAAAGATTCTTTACCTTCTAGGGAGGATGTATTACTTGTCCACTTGTCCAAAGACCAGTGCTCCCATCCAGAGCTAGAAAAGCCAGACGGAATACAAAAATTTTCTTTTGAAAAAGACAAGAGTTGCTAAGGCAACAAGAACAAAATGGACTAATACTTTATAAGGGAAGAAACAGAGAGGTGAACTGGCCTCTGCAGTTGCTTTTCTCCTGGAGGTATTGATGAATTTGAATATGGGCAAGAAGCTAAGAGTCTAGGGCAAAATCCAGGGCAACAGCTGGAAGAGGGCTGCAGCAGGAGTAAAAGGAATCAGAAGAGTTTTGGTGGAGAATTATGAGGTTTCAAGCATATGGCAGATTATTTTCCCCAAAACATGTATTGAAAACTGGAACCCGTATGTGGCAAAAGGCAAAAACGTAACTGGGAAGACCCTGCAAAACAAAACAGAGCTCTGTTGTCAGTCTCACATGACAAAGATTAGAATTTGATATCCATAAAAAAGAACGTTCCCAAAACACACCAACATCCTAGATGAAACTACACAAGGTCAGTCTTGAGCCAGAGGTCATCCCTCATGCAGCCATGATTCAGCACAGTTCCTTACTGAAGTAAGCCAACTGACCACCACTCTGCCAAGAGGGGAAAGTGAGCCTTCTCAGGAATCTAGAGTTTCTGTATTTTTTAAATAAATAATGTCTGGCATTTATTCAAATATTCCTTCACATGTCAAAAAATAACAAAAGAAAATAAATAACCAATAGAAACAGACCCATAGGTGATCCCAATTTTAGTCTTAACTAACAAGGATTTTAAAATAACCACAATTCAATTAATGTTCAATTAATATGAAAATGAAGAATATGCATAAAGAATTGAAAGGCTAGGTAATTTCATCGGTATATTCAAAATGGTGAAAACAGGATCAAATGGAAATTCCAGAACTAAAAAAAAACAAAATCTAAAATTAAGAACTAACTAGTTGGGTTCAATAACACATTAGACACAGCATCCATCACCTGGAAAACAGGTAACAGAAAACAATCAAACTGAAGCAGAGAAAGGAAAAAAAAGAATTGAAAACACAGAAAAAAGCATTAGAGACAGGTAGGATTTAGGGAGAAGATCTAATAAACAAGCAAGTGAAGTTACAGAAGAAAAAGAGAAGGAAAATGGGGTAAGAGAGATGTGAACAAATACTGGCAAAGGGTTTCTCAAAACTGATAAAACACTTCTGATCACTCATAACTTCCTGACAAATTGACCCTTTTAGCTCTATAAAGTCCCTCTCCTTGTCTCTAGTACCTTTTTTTGTTTTAAAGTCTATTTTGTCTGATATTAGTATAGCCCTTCCACCTTTCTTATGGTTGCCATTTGCATAATGTTTTCTATCCTTTTACTTTCATTCTATTTGTGTTTTTGAATCAAAATTATTTCCTTTAGACAGCATACAGTTGGATCTTATTTTTTATCCAATCTAATCATTTGTGCATTTTGATTGTATATTCTATTAACATTAATGTTATTATTGATATAGATTTACATTCACCATTACACTTATTGTTTTCCATAAATTTCATGGTTTTTTATTCCTCTAATCCTTTCTTACTGTTTTCTTTTGAATTGAGTGAATATTTTCTACTAATGCATTTAAATTTCTTTAACAATTTTTTTACTTTTCTTGAGTCATTTTCTTAGCGTCTTTTGTAGGGCCTACCAACACATCTTAACTAACCAGAATCAGCTTCAGATTGATATCATTTTAATTCCAGTGAAATACAGATATGTTATTTTAATAGTTCCATTCCCTTTTCCTACTTATTGTAGTACTATTGTTGTATATCTGTCAATATTACCAACCCAATAATACATTGTTAAAATTCTTCCTTTATATGATTTTAGGTCTTTTTAAAGAGCAGAGAAAAGAAAGGGGAGCAAATATATATTTGTAGCTTTTGTTGTATTAACCTTCCCATTTATCATTTCTGGTTTCCTTCATTTATACTTTGATCAAGTAACCATCTGGAATCATTTTCCCAGCACACCATTGTTCCCACTCACCTACTTGTGCTGTTATTGACAAACATAACACATTCCTATGTTATAGGCAAAGCAATACATTATCTACATTTTTTTACAATTGCTTTTTAAGTTAGTTAAGATAACAAAAGAGAACAAATATGCATTTATACTGTAATTTAATTAACCTTTTTTTCTTTACTGGTGCTCTCTAGTGTGGTGTGTGTGTGTGTGTGTGTGTGTGTGTTTGTGTTTGTGTTTACATTCAAAATATTTGGAGAATTCTATGCCTGCAAGCCTCAATTTCCAGTAAGCCTTTATTGCCAGCCAAAAGAACACTGATTCCTCATTACAATATAACTCTACATACGTCATTTTAAAAATGAGAGAATTCCCTTTCGTCAATGTCCCTAAACCTTTACTAAGAAGCATATCTAAACATGCCCCAGGGATACTATTACAAAATCAAAATCAAGCCCAGGAGGAACTTGCTTGCTTAACACACACATGCACACACGCATGCACACATACACACACAGTGCAGGGCCTCACCTGTTTATGCTGGCAAAACATATGGGGAATATATATGTGAATGGATTCAGACAATATTGGACAAGGAGGGGAGAATATATTACATAAGACTGTATTTATTGACATAGATTTCACCACTGACACTCTATATTCTTTGTAACAGCTTGAGCAGGTCCCTATGGGACAGGGAGACCAGTAGAACATGATGCAGTGAAATTGTTTCCTTGATTTTAAAGAAAATGGGAAGATCTGAGGGTGACAGAGGCCACATGGGGCACTTAAATGCCAGAGGCATGGTCATAATATCAGGACACAAGATCAAGGGAATAACCTGGTGAAGATGTCTGGTATTTAGAGAAGTAAAGCAGACTGTCAAAATTTAAGCAGCTTTTAACCCCAATTTCAGCTACTATTCTAGAGGACCCTCAGAATGGGCCCAAAGGGAGAGAATATTTGTATCAAACGTGAATACCCAGTGCAGGGATGCTTTTAATAATCAGGTAGATAAAATTACCTTCTCTATTGTCAGCCAACCCTCTCTTCCCTAGATAACACATCTGCTGTTTGCTCAACTTTCCCATTAAAAGACCAACCTGGAGCCCCCAATATAATACCATGCCTTTGGGGGATAGCCACCTAGCCAGCTACCTAGCACAAGGTTAATTGCATTGGCAACCTTCCTTCCTGATAAAGGTGCCATTTATCTTCACTTATTATTTGGACTTTGATATGCTTTCCTTCCCAACTATGCTTCTACAAGTGCAACCATTACTGAATACCTCATATATAGTCATGACAGGCATGGTGCCTCAAAGGATATTGTTTCTGACCTAGGAACTCACTTTACAGTGATGGGGAAAAAATGAATAAACCAGCTACTAGTTTTATTATGTATCCCATCATCTAAAAGCAGCTGGAGCTAGACTTATAGAACATTTCCATGAGCTGTGGAAAAATGAGTCACTCCAGCTGAAAGACAGGCCAGATTGCAGCCCTGAAGGATTCTAGGTATGTTCTCTTTCTTCTACAGTCAGAATATGGGTCCAGGAAACAATGGAGCAGAAGGAGGTGTGATACCTCTAAGAATTAAACCTGGTAATGTACTTATAAAAAACTTTACACATTCTTATAGCTGTTATCCACTAGTTTGGAAGTTTTGTTTGCAAGGAAGGAGATAACCATCCCAGTGAACTGCCACCAGACTGTCTGTATTCCCTTTACCATCGGGTGAACAGATAAAAATGCAGTGTTACAGGATTGCCTAGTAATTGACATGAATTATCAAAAAGGAAATAAGGTTGCTCCTTCTCCATAAGGACAAAGGAAAATATGGTTAGATCCTTTCTTAACATGTTCAATGATGAGTTTTGAGTGAATGACTATGGAAGTCTCATAGAGGCAAAATTAGCTAGGTTTCTCGGTTGTCCTGAAATTGAGCAAAGAATTAGACTGGGAGAGATCCCAGTTCACTGACGTATGGCTGAAGACAAAGGGAATATCATTCTATTCACAGCTACGCTGTACAGCATTGGAGCCACCAGCCTTACGTGGCTATTTAAATCCAAATGTAAATTAATTAAAATTAAATGCAATTAAAATATTAGTTTCTCATTTCACCAGCCACATTTTGAGTGTTTGCTGGCCACAGGTGGCTTCTGCATTGAACAGTGCAGGTACAAACTATTTGCATCATTACAAGAACTTTCACTGGGCAGCATGGATCTGCAACCACATAACCAATGGAAGCAATAAGGACCGTGATTTCTCTTCACACTTCCTTCCTTCTATGAATATATTTTAACCAAATTCTCTCTTCTTCCCTCTTTTTTTACCCCTGTATATAGCAGGGGTCCCCAATCCCTGGGCCACAGACTGATACCAGTCCAGGGCCTGGGAGGAACCAGGCTGAAAAGCAGGAGGTGAGTGGTGGGCAAGAGAGCCAAGCATCATCTGTATTTACAGCCTCTCCCCATCACTCACGTTACTGCCTGAGCTCCACCTTCTGTGAGATCAGTGGCAGCATTAGATTCTCATAGGACCATGAATCCTATTGTGAACTACACATGCGAGGGATCTAGGTTGTGTGCTCCTTATGAGAATCTAATGCCTGATGATCTGTCACTGTCTCCCATCACACCCAGATGGGACCATCTAGTTGAAGGAAAACAAGCTCCAGACTCCCACTGATTCTACATTATGGTGAGTTGTATAATTATTTCATTATATATTACAACACAATAATAATAGAAATAAAGTGCACAATAAATGTAATGCACTTGAATCCCCTCCCACCCACATCCATGGAAAAATTGTCTTCCACAAAACTGGTCCCTGCTTCCAAAAAGACTGGAGACCTCTGGTATAGAGGTATTTCACTTTTCAGTTTTGTCATAATTTATAAAATATTGAGAAGAGATTATAATAAAACTAGAGGAGGGATAAATATTGGGCAGAGATCTGGGACTTGGGGAAGGGTGCAAGCAAGAACTTGCCACACTTCCAAGCTGAAAAAGCCAGAAACTTGCCCTCTCAAACCCCTTTTGGCTCTGCCATGGGCTGGAGGCTTAAGCTTAGCCCGTGGTGTGCTCTTGTTTGGGACATTCATGTGAAACAAATGATGCTTAGTAGCAGAGACTTTTCAGAAATCCAGCAGTGGCAGCTGTGGAGCTCAGTGTCCAGAGCAGGGGTGGGGAAGGTGGCTGAGGAAGTGTCTGGTGCCAGTGTCCAGGGAACACAAAGACCATGGAAAAACAGAGGCAATCAGATAGCTGCCATTCCTGGGGGTGGCCTAGCCAGTCCTGCCATGCAGCCACCAGTGGCTTCTCCCCATGTAAAACCTTCCTTCCTATCAATTCTGTGGACAGCTCCTTATCCTTCTAGAAGATTCCTTTCTGCTTAATCTAGCCAGAGTCAGTTTCTATTGTTTGCAAGTAAGAATTCTGATGGAAATTTTAATTTTTTTTAAATTTCTAATAATAGGTTAAGTATCATTTTCTAAAAACCAAAATTAAAATTTTAAGAGGAATGTTTACCTTTCAGAACATTGGAAAAGGTAAAAGCAAACAAAGCATATTACACAAAGTAAAAGACATAAATCCAGAAAACAGCAAGAAAGCATAAAATCTAAAAATATAAAACAAGATAACGGAGATGAGGCCAAGCATATAAGTTATGATAATACATTTAAGTTATTTCAACTCCCCATTTAAAAAAAGATTTTAAAAATCTAGACATACGCTATTTAAGCTTAAAGAGACACATTAAAATGAGAAATGTTTTGAAAGAATAAGCAAAGGCTTACCAGACAAATGAAATTTTAAAAACAGAAAGGATGGCCCCTTTGATTTCAAACAAAATTTAATATAAGGTAAAAAAAAAAAAAAAAAGGTTTCCATAGAAAAGAAGGTCATTTTATATTCATGAAAGGCAAAATCTACATAAAATTTATAATAGCCATGAAACTTTATGTTTCATATAAAAGCATCAAATTATGTAAAACAAAAAATAGGATTGCTATGAGAGATTGTAAAACATCTCTTTCCACATTTTATAGATCTATTAGCAGAAAAAGACAAATGGAGATAGAACTAGGAGGTGGAATAAATTTGGTAGTATGATCACAGATGTGTCCATCCATTCCTCTTCAAATCCACGCAAATAACAAGAAAAATAATTTTTAAAAAATGTACTGCCATGCTGAAAAATAGCGCCAATCAGTGCACCAGAAATTTTAAATAATCTTGGAAAATCATACATCACTAAGAGGAGAGTGATGGGGAAAAAACGGAAGAGAAACTTTAGCCTAAAACAACTAAGAAAAATAATAAAAACAACTATTGAAGTAAAAGCAATTCTAAGTACTTCAAGTTCAGTTATTAAGGTTAAGAGATACAAAATAAGGAAAGGCTATTGGTCAAACAAGAAGATGACTAATTAAAGAAACTGTGTCACCAAAGGCTGTGTAGACAGCCCCCTTCCTTCCTATCTGATTCTTACAGTGAGCAGCAGATAAAGAAGGCTTCTGCCCTACGATAAACTCCAAGAACTTTTAATACACTTACAGGAAAGATCTGCTTGAGACCATTTCCTAGCACTGTGGTTAGCAATCTTGGTTGTAAATTAAAATCAACTAGAAAATTTAGAAAAATGCCAGCATCCAAGCTGCTCCCCAGACGAAATAAATTAAGATCTCAGGGTGGGGGTGGGGATGGGGGTAAGACCAAGGCTTCAGTAGTTTCTCAAGCTTCCCAGGTGATTGCAATGAGCAAACAAGGTTTAGAGCCACAGGCTTTGTAGAAATGTTGGGGCTGAAAACAGAAGAGCAAAGACCAAAGTACTGCTAAACTTCGAAGTGGACAACAAAGGAAGAAAAACGTTGAAAGGGAACAGAGGTTCTGGCTTTAGCCCCTAAGTAAAAGCAGGGAGCACAGCTCTCAGAAATGGAAGATTTGAGCCCTAGAACTTGGGGTTGACTCTTGTGTAAGAAAAGCCTGTCAATGAGAACAATTCCAGCTACCACCATCAGTCACAATCCCCAAGAGTGACTTACGCCCGGAAGATTATGGTCTCACACAACCTACTCGGCAACAATCCCCACCTCCCCCTAGACCCCCTGAGACAGGGTTCTGTACTCAGACCACCAAGAGGCAAAAGGAGACTCTCAAATAAAAATATGGGCAACCAAACAAGAATCACACAACATTTGAGGAAAATTAATATCCACAAAAGACAGGAGCCAAATTCAACAAATAGAAGACAAAGGAAAATAAAGTTTTAAAATAAGGCAGTTAATACCCTCAGAGAAATAAGAAAAGCCTTCTATAAAAATATAACAAAAGAGATCTTAGAAATTAAACATATGGTCATATTTAAAAACTCAACTGGTAGGCTGAAGGGGAAAATGGAGCTATTAAAATCAAATTGAACTAAAGAATTCTTCATAAAACATTAAAAATCACAAAAAGAGGTGGAAAATATGAGATAAACCTTCAGTTGCATAAAAAACAGATCCACAAGTTCTACAATAGCAGAGAGGAAATAAATATAATACACACAGATATAAAATTTTATGTGTGTGTTCATGTGTGTATCTATGTGTATGATGTGTATTATATTTACACACAGAATTATATATGTGTATTATGTTTATAGAAAGATCTCTGTGTGTGTGTGTGTGTGTGTGTGTGTGTGTGTGTTTGGGTATACACACAGAAAAGTTTCCAGAACTGAAAAAAAGACCCACATCTTCAGAATTAAATGCTTACTAAGTATCAAATGGTAGGAAAGAACAAGACTGCTCTCTTTTAAAAAGTTGGTGCAGCTCAGAACTACACAGATAAACAAGAGAACCTAAAAGTTTCTAGGGAAAAATTTCAAGGCTACCGAAGGAAATAGTCTTATCTTGACTTGTCACTAGCAACAGTGAAACTGCTGAGGCCAAGGAGCAGTATCTTCAAGTTCTGAAGAAATAATATCCTAATAGGTAGTGACATACAATAAACAATAAACATATATGAGTAAAGTATATAGTATGTGAATAGACAACAAGTAGCAGAGAAATAAGAAAAAAAATAGAGCAAGGGAAGGGAAATTTGGAAAAGCAGGGAGGTAAAATGGAAGGCAGGTTGCAGTATCAGAAAGGGTGGTCAAGGAAGGACTCATTGAGAAGCAAGGTTTGGGCAGACATTTGAAGGAAGTGTGAGAGAATATTGAAGAGACATACAAGGAAAAGAATTCCAAAGAGTGTATATATGTGTATATGTGTGTGTATATATATGTGTGTGTATTAATGCGCATTAAAAGAAAAATAATAGCAGAGAACAATGGTGAGTTTGAGGATCTGGGGGCTGATCAAAGAAAAGACAGAAAGATAGAACAAGAAGGCAATATTGCACAACGCAAGCTTTATTGGACAGGATTGCAGAAAAGGGAAAGTCCTCACAGCAGAAGACGTCCCAGAGACACCCAGAAGAAGAGGGCAAGGGAAATTCCAGGGGAGACGGGGATCGGTGAGGGGGCACATGTGTCCAGGTGGTATTGCCCAGAAGCAATACAGGGAGTCTCTGGCTCAGAGAGCTCAAAAGGGCTGCAGCAGTTTGGGGTCTTCTACAGCTACAAGGTTTGTCTTCTCTGTGGCTAGCAGATGTTAAATGCAATTGTGTAGAGGATGCAAAGCAGGTGAGCTGTAAGTGGCTGAAAATATGCTTATTTGGGCTACCTTTAAGCAATTGGCTGTGAAAGAATTTGCGTTTGGCCCTGGCAGGTTCTGAGCTAACCATCCTACTGTGCTGTGAATAAGCAAACAATGTAGGGGCCAATAAACAGGGGCCATTTTTCACTCATTTCTATGACAAATATTCCTTTCAAAGTCTTAAGTTATGAAAATTAAAGCATCTGATACTACCCAGTAATCTAGAACCAAACAAAATGGACTGTATTCATACGTGTTATATAAATCCATTATCATAGGAAAGAAACACTATACCTCAAAACAGCTTTTTTTATTCCTGTAATAATTTTATACATGTCCATATATTAGTTTGTATCACTCTGCATTTTAACTACAGTATTGGTTGATATGTCTTTATTTCCTACTATACTGTTAACACTTTAAAAACAGCAACTTTTTCTGGCTCTTCTTAGTGCCCCAAGAACCTAGAATGAGTTTCCGGTACATAATGGACACCCAATTAATATTTCTTAAGGGTGAATGAAGGAAAATAAAGAATAGAATTATATGATACCCTCAAGTCCTGACTTGACCACTACACAATCTATGCATGTAACAAAATTGCATTTGTACCCCATACATTTAAACAAATTTTTTAAATGAATAGAATTATAACATCTCTCCAAGTCCACAAAGAAATCAAGAATAATTCTATGTAATCCATATTTATTTTCAGGTTGTATATCCATTTTTAGCTTTATTGTTCTAACACATAAAAACAATCTTCACACATATGTCAAATCAGTGAATAAACTAGCAACTCACCCATATTTTTAAAACATAATTTAATTATTAAGAAATATTCATTAATTCCATCCCAGTTATTTTTGTGGATGGCTGAATCCCTAAATGGAATAATATTAGTTTATAACTTAAAATGACCTGGGTTGCAATTTTAAAACTACTCACTAAAAGTGGTTTAAATATTGGAAATTTATGATCCCACACAAGTAGGAGTCTAAAGGCAACTGGCTCAAGTTTGTCTAATTGACTGCTCAACATATCTGGGCTCTAGTTTTGCTTCTCTATAATGTTTTTGCTTTTCTTTTGTGGTACAAGGTGGCAGCCACACTTCTGAGCATCATGTCCTTATACAATAACGCTCAATGGCAGAAAGGGAGGTAGAATTTCTCCATGGGTCGCTCTCTTTGTTAGGGCAAAATAGTTCTCCCAGAAGGCCCCCTTATGTCTTGTTGGCTAGAACCTGGTGCTGTTTCCACTTCAAAGCAATCACCCACACGAGGAACCTGACTTCTTCCATCAAAAAGTTGGTGGGACCAGACACGGTGGCCCAAGCCTGTAATCCCGACATTTTGGGAGGCCAAAGTGGGAGGATCACTTAAGCCCAGGAGTTCAAGACCAGCCTGTGCAATATAGCAGGATCTCATCTCTACAAAAGTAGAAAAACTTAGTCAGGCACCCTGGCTTATTCCTGCAGTCCCACACTTGGGGAAGCCAAAGTGGGAGGATTACTTGAGCCTAGGAGTTCAAGACCAGCCTGGGCAATATAGCAGGATCTCATCTCTACAAAAAATAGAAAAACTTAGCCAGGCATGGTGGCTCATGCCTGTAGTCCCAGCTACAAGGATCGCTTGAGTCCAGGAAGTGAGGCTTCAGTGAGCTATGATTGTACCACAGCACACCAGCCTGGGTAACAAAGCAAAACTCTGATTCAAAAAAAAAAAAAAACACATGGAGAAGAGGAAAGAATTAGTGGCTCCAGTTCTACTAAGAGGTACTAAGATGATGCATTTGGAAATGCAGGGAGGTAAAACGGAGGGCAGTTTGCGGTATCAGAAAGGGTGGCGAAAATCCTTGGACAGAATACATAAAGTGAGCATCTGGAGGCTGATTAGTAAATAATAGCAGGCATATTTGGGAAGAAAATCAAATCCTGAAAGTAACCCAGAGGGCAGTGAATTTCCTGACATCTTTTCATTCCATATCTTCCAGCTTAGACTGCAGGGCAATGCAAATCCAGGAACTGCACAGCAACTGTGGGCAGAAAAGGTTCCCAGAGAAATCCTCTGTTTCTAACCAGAAAACCTGAAAGAAGGGCCCCCGTGGGATGGAGGATCTGTGGGCAAATCCTCATTTTTTTTTCCTCTTTTTGTTCTCCCTGCCCTAGACTGAAGCAAGTCCCAGTCATGAAGCTGCATTCTCAAGGCAGCAACATAGGCGGATACAGCACTAGGCACACAGCAATGTGAGGCATGAAACTGAAAGAAAGTACTTCTCTCTGACCCGAATAACTAAGCAAAGAGGTCCCTGTGGTCCTGTGTTCTCCTAAAAATTTTATAGTCTTACAGTGAATACTTAGAGCTATGAGTCAATTAATTTTTGGTATGAGGGATAAAGTTGAGGATGCATGTCTCCTTTTGCATGTGAATGACAGATTGTTCCAACACCATGTGTTGAAAAGACCACCCTTTCTCCATTGAATTATTTTACACTTTTATCAAAAATCAAATTACCATATTTGTGAAGGTCTATTTATGGGATATCTTTTCTGTTCCATCGATCTATGTGTCTATCCCATTGCCTTGATTACTGTTGCTTTATAGTAAGTCTTAAAATCTAGTAATGAGATTCCTCTAACTGTATTCTTTTTCTAAGTTGTTTTAGCTATTCTAGTTCCATTGCTTTTGCATATAAACTTTAGAATCAGCTTGTCTTTATTTACAAGAAAAAACTTGCTGGGATTTTGATTGGTGTTGCATTAAGTCTATAGATCAGTTGAGGGAGAATTGACATCTTTACTCTCTTAAGTCTTCTAATCCATGAATACCATGTGTCGCTCCATTTATTTGTCTTCTTTGATTTCTTTCATCAGCGTTTTGTGGGTTTCAGCATACAGATCTTATGCATGTTTTCTTAGATTTATACCTAAGTATTTCATTTTTTGGAGCTATAGTAAATGATATCATTTTCAGATTGTGGTTTCCGATTGTTACCAGTTTATGGAAAAACAGTTGGTTTTGGGTATTGGCCTGTGTCCCGCAATTTTGATAAACCTACTTTTCATTCTAGAAGCCTTTTTCTAAATTCCTAGATTTTATAAATGTTCATGTTGTCTGCAAATAGGGGCAGTTTTTTTCTTCTTCCAACCTCCATGCCTTTTATTTCTTCTTATTGCTTCAGTGGACTAGTTAAGACATCTAGTGCTGTAAATTATAGGACTGGGGAGAGTGGCGTTCCTGCTTTGTTCTTGATTTCAGAGAGTAAGAATTCAGTCTTTCAGCATTAAAAATGATGTTAGCTATACAGTTTTTTTATATGCCCTTTATCAGGCTGAGGAAGTTCCTTCTGTTAGTAGTTTGCTGACACTTTTCATCATGAATGGCTGGTGAATTTTTCACATGCTTTTTCTGCATCTGTCGATATGATCAAGTGGCTTTTCTTTACATCATTAATATGATGAGTTACATTGACTGAATTTTTTTAGTATTGAACCAGCATGACATGCCCATGTAAGCCTCACTTCACTGTGTAGTGTTTTTTTGTTTATTGTTTTTGTTTTTGTTTTTGAGATGGAGTCTCACTATGTCACCCAGGCTGAATGGCAGTGGTGCTATCTCAGCTCACTGCAACCTCTGCCTCCCAGGTTCAAGTGATTCTCCTGCCTCAGTTTCCCAAGTAGCTGGGATTACAGGCACACCCCCATACCCAGCTAATTTTTGTATTTTTAGTAGAGACAGGGTTTCACCATGTTGGTCAGGCTGGTCTCAAACTCCTGGCCTCAGGCAGTTCCCCAACCTCGGCCTCCTGAAGTGCTGGGATTACAGACATGAGCCACTGCGCCCAGCCTAGTATTTTTACATATTTTAATTTAAAAATATTAAAATAAAAATTTTAATATTTTTAAATTTTTTAATTTTAATTACTGCACCCAGCCTAGTAATTTTCAACTTTTTAAATAAAAAGTTGAAAATTGCTATATTCAACTTGCCAATACAATAGTCTCCTCTTATTCATGGTTTCACTTTCTACAGTTTCAGTTACCTATGGTCAGTGGTGTTCTGGAAATATTAAATGGAAAATTCCACAAATAAACAATTCACGCATTTTAAATTGCACACCACTCTGGATAGCATGACAAAATCTCACACCGCCTGGCTCTGCCCCACCAGGAAGGTGAATCCTCCTTTTGTCCAGGGTATCCATGTGTCTGTACCCTCCCCCACACCTGTTACTCACTCAGGAGTTGTCTTATTTATCAGACCAACCATCATAGTATCCAGTATTGTGATGCTTGTGTTCAAGTCATTCTTAGTTTACTTTGTAATGGCCCTAGAGCACAAGAGTAGTGATGCTAGCCATTCAGATCTACCAAAAAAGAAGCCATCAGTGCCTCCTTTAAGTGAAAAGGTGAAAGTTCTTGACTTAATATGGAAAGAAAAAAAATCGTATGCTGAAGTTACTAAGATCCATGATGAAAACTAATTTTCCATCTGTGACTTTATCTGTTGTGAAGAAGGAACAAGAAATTCATGCATAGTATATATAGGGTTTGGTATCATCTGCAGTTCCAGGAATCCACTGAGGGTCTTGGAAAATATCCCCCACCAATAAGTGGGACTAATGTATTTTGATGTGGATAGATATGTCCATGAGGGATAATGACATAACATTTTTCTTTTGTCATGTCTTTGATTTGGTTTTAAGTTAATTCAGGTCTCATTAAATGAGGTTTATGTGGTTATTTAAATGGCTCAATTAAAATCCACCATCTTGCTAGCTGTTTTATATTTGTTCTATCTATTCTTTAGTTTCTGCTCTCCTTTTCAGGCTCTTCTTTTTTAATTGAATGTATTTTATTATTCCATTTTATCTTAATTATTTTTATTGGCTGTCTTAGGTTTTAAAATATGCGTCTTTAATTAACAAGAGCCTACCTTCAAATAACATTGTTTCCTGTGCTATGTAGGGACATCACAATAGTTAGTCCCAATTCCTCCCCCCCATTAATCGTACTATTGCTTTCATACCCTCTACTTTTATATATACTGTAAACACACAATACAGTGTTACTGTTTTTGCTTTAGAAGTTATCTTTTAGAGCAGATTCTCTAAACTTCAGCAATATTAATATTTTGGACTGGAGAATTCTGTTTGTGTGAGTCTGTCCCATGTATAGTAGGGTGTTCAGCAGCATCCCAGACCTTTACCTACTAGCATTAGTAGCACCACCCCGGCTGTGACAATCAAAAATGTCTCCAGACATTGCCAGTGTTCCCATGGGGAAGAATCGTAATGGAAAGGGATCTCCTGGGGTTCAGAACCATTGTTTTAGAGTAATTAAGAATATTTAGAAAATTAATTTAATTTTACCTTCATTATTTCCATTTTCACCACCTACTACACCTATACCTAGGCAAGTATAGCTAATATTTATTATAGTGTGAAAGAATTTTACAGAGTAAGAGAACTAAAAAAGGAATAACATAGGGGACTGAAGGTATGGTTTTTGAGGAAGAACTCTTTTCTCGTTATGTCCTTGAATTACAAACACAAAACACTAAATAGAAAAGTTTGAGGGGGTGTCAGGTGCAGTGGCTCACACCTGTAATCCCAGCACTTTGGAAGGCCAAGGCAGGTAGATCACTTGAGGTCAAGAGTTTGAGACCAGCCTGGCCAACATGGTGAAACCCCCCGACTCTACTGAAAATACAAAAATTAGCCAGGCATGGTGGCACACACCTGTAATTCCAGCTACTCAGGATGCTGAGGCACAAGGATCTCTTGAAGCCAGGAGGCAGAGGTTGCAGTTAGCCGATATCACACTCCAGCCTGGGAGACAGAGTGAAACTCTGTCAAAAAGAAAGAAAAGAAATGAAAAGAGAAGAGAAGAGAAGACAGAAAGGAAGGGAGAGAGAGAGAGAGAAAAGAAAAGAAAAGTTGAGGGAAAGGGCTCTAGGTGAGACAGCTTTAGGGTAGTCAGTATCTTAAAGAAAGAATGAAATTTATTTCCTCGTATAGGTCTACATTGCAGTCTGATATATTATTTTTTTCTGCCTGAAGAACATCTTTTAATATTTCTCATACAGTAGGTCTGCTGAAAATGAATTCTCACCATTTTTGTGTGTCTAAGAAAATCTTTATTTACCTTGAGTTTTTAAGGTATTTTCACAAGGTGTAGAATTTTTGGTTAACAAATACTTTTCTTTCAGCACTTTAGAGTTGTTGCTCCATTGTCTCTGGCTTGCATAGTTTCTGACAAAAAGTTTACTGTAATTCTTTGCACCACTGTACCTTTGTTCCTCTTTATGTAATGTTTTGTTTTCTCTGACTACCTTTAAGATTTTGTCTGTTTTTTTGGTTTTATGCTATGCCACAGCATGTGTATGTAGGGAGAGGAGTGAGTGTTTTTTGTTTTTTTGTTCTTGCTGTTCTCTGAGACTCCTGGATCTGTGGTTTGGTTTCTGTCATTATTTTTTGAAAATTCCCAGCCATTATTTCCACAGATATTATCTTCTGAACTGTCTCCCTTTCTTCTCCTCCTTTGATTCCAATCACACATATGTTGGGAAACTCGATATTGTTCAACAGCTCTTGGATGTAACAGGAAGTTATGATGTTGGGAATACAGTTTGAACCTCCTCATCCTCCCCTACACCTATACAATGGCAAGTATAGCTAATATTTATTATGGTGTGAAATAACTATTACACAGCACCAAAAAAAGGAGTAACATAGGAGACTGAGGGCATGGTTTTTGAGGAAGGATCCTTCTCTTTTTATGTCCTTGGATGGCAAACAAAAACACTAAACAGAAAAGCTTGAGGGAAAGAGCTCCAAGTGAGACAGCTCTGGGGTAGTCAGTACCTTACTCCTGATTTCTTAGAAAGCAGAGCCTGAAGAAAGAATGAAAGGGTTGACCCTTTAGTTGGGAAATGAAAGGCTAGAAGAATGAGGGTTAGAGGAGAAAGAAGCAACACAAGGGCCAGGATGCAACCATGTCTGCCCAGCTCTCAGGACTTCTTAAGAAAATGTGCAAATGAAATCTCACCTTGGAGTAGTCCTTGAAAGAAAGAAGGAAGCGAGGACTTCTGTCTTTCATTTTTCTTTTATCAAGTTTTACATGCAGGGAGCTAATCACTCCTCACACACACTTCTGGATTGTGTCATTTAATCCCCTGAGTACCACTTGAAAAAGCAGGTCCTAAACTCCAGAATGTGGCCTTTCACCCACATCCAGAAGGAGACAGGCTAATCAGCATAGCTATTACACCAATATGTAAAGAGAAAGGTGGGTGGGAGGCAATCTGAGAAGGTAGACATGGTTTGTATTCAGCATTGTCTGCTTGAAGTTTGCCTTGGCTCCATCCCTGATGGCTGCTGGCTTGGCTGACCTGTTTGGTTACTACCGCATCCTCTCAACCCATCACTGACTCAAGCCCACCTTCCCAAGTAATAATCCTCCCCTAGACCTAATGTGATGTTGTCTTCCACCAGCCTCCAGTTAGAAGCAACCTATCATCTGTTACTTATTTTTTCAAGGCACTTAAAGTTGTTTCTGCTAGCCAGCCAAATTTTCTAGGAGTAAGGTTCCTGTGTTCAGGCAAGTAAAAACTATTTAGATTTCTATTCTGAATATTCGGGTTATGCACTTAATTTGACAAACATTAACTTAGCATCTACTCTCTGCCAGGAACTACTCTGCATTCTGAAGAATGCAGAAGAAACAAATTTCTTTTATCTCCAAGTCCCCTTCTGTCTCATTTCTGCTGTTTACATTTGCTCTATTTTATTGCTCCTGAGCAGGTCCAAAAGAAAAGGAGGAAATGGAAGTAAGATTCATTTCAAAGCAACAGACAGCTTTTAGGATAGTTCTAAAGAAAGATTGCAATATGCAGCTAAAACTGGTCTCTAAATTACTGCTGTTTCATTAACCCTATCTCCTATCACCCATGGGAAACAGAAAGTAGACTGCTGCACTTTGATGAGAAAGTACTTGTACAAATAATCTGAATAAACTTTATCTTCACTTTACTGTACAAATTATGTTAGATCCAGGACTGAAGAATAAGCTAATCTGTTGATGTATCTTTAGAGAAAATAGGGTTTAAAATGTAGCTGGTTGAGAGCATCAGGAAGAATAGTTAATGGGTGCTGGGTTTAATACCTAGGTGACAGGAAGATCTGTACAGCAAACCGCCATGGCACAGGTTTACCTATGTCACAAACCTGCACATCCTGCATATGTACCCCTGAGCTTATAATAAAAGTTGAAGGAAAAAAATAATTAAATAAAACTCATCCATGTGGGGGGCAGCCATGGAAGCTTCTGATTGTGGTTCTGCCCCCCTTTATCTTGAGCTCTCCAAGGTTCTGACCTGACTCTCAACCAACAACCAGCTTCCCTGTGAGCACGTGTGTGTGTGTCCTTCTAAAAGAGTTTTTTTTTTCATTGATTTGCATAATAAAATCGATCAGTCCATTCCCTGGCTTACAGTTAATAAAATCTTCTGACAACTAAAAAAATTAAAAATTAAATAAAATGTAGCTGGTTGGTATTTGATCATTCATGTCACTGGCCTTGGTAGTAAAATGGGAAAAGTTCCCTTGTGCCCCTCACAGGGTGTGCCACAGGGAGAGTGGCTCACTTCTCTGGTGCCCCGCTGCTCAAACCTCAAGGGGGAGCATGCAGACGGGCAGGCTGTGGGGCTCCAACCCCACAGCAGTGTCTAGGGGTGAATGTTTACAGCTCCTGAAGCCCCAGTGGGCATGTGTTACAGTGTGCTCTTTCAGTTTAGCTCTCTGTAGGCGGCTTGCATTAGTCAGCTCAATTAGACCCTTTGCCTTATCGCAAGGACAGAGGGCTTTCTGTATCCCAGGGTTCTTGCCTTGGTATACCAGCAGAATCAGATCACACATGGGCTTGGAGAATGAGTGCAAAGATTTTAGCGAGCGGAAGTAGCTCTCAGCAGATGGGGGAGCCAGAAGGGAGATGGAGTGGGAAGGTGGTTTTCCCCTGGAGTCGGCCACTCAGCAGTGGAGCTCTCTCCTTCGACTGCCCCAGCCAAACTTCACCTCGTCCTGCTGGTCAATAGCCTGCTGGCCTGCCGGCATCTGTTGATGTGCTCTTACGCCAGAGCATTCCCCTCAATGCCCAGCCACTTGTATCTTATTCTGCTGGTGTGTTCCTCTCGACATCCAGTTGCTGTGTGCTTGCTAGCTAGGGTATTGGGAGTTTTTATAGGCACAGGAGAGGGGTGTGGTAGGCCAGGTTGGTCTTGGGAAATGCAACATTTGGGCACAAAAACAGAAATGCCTGTCCTCACCTAGGTTCATGGGCACAGGCCCAGGGGTGGAGCCCTAGCCAGGGACCACACCCTTCCCTTCCCAGCACTTCCCTCCCCAACTCCAGTATCAGTAGGTAGTATCAAACTACCTAGATGAATGAGTAACATAGTTATTTACCAGATTCTGTAGCTATGGAAAATATAACTTGATGCTGAAAAGGGTTGTTTTATTTTATTTTCTGTGAAGCCACAAATATCTAAGATGTCTAGATTGTTTTCAGTCTGGTTGTCAAAATTCCTTCAAAGATCCATTTAACAATGGTGATTCACTTGTAAGAGTATTTTGAAGTGGAGGTGCTTGAAAGTAGTGAGACTAGATGTCAAATTAAGATGGCAGGTGGCTCACAGTTCCTGACTTCCTTGCTCACAAATTGTCTAAGAAGGTTAAAAATAAAAAGCACTACATCAAAAACTAAGAATATCAATCCATGATTTCCCACACTCTGAGAAAGAATTATATTCAGACTTCTACGTGAGCAATGAGACCAGCAAAACAAATGGTTATCTATGTGATAATGCACAATACAAATAGTTAAAAATAAAGACACCAAAATCTTGCACTGGGTGAATGACTTGATTATTGTTACTACGTGCAAGCCAAAATACCATGAAGACTCATCACTAAGACCAAAGAAGTCTCTGTTGAGATTCGAAAACTATACCATTGAAAAGGAATTTTTTACCAGTTTTCTGACCAATGGAAATAAATTGAGAAGCATAATATATGGCTCACCTGCACTATGCCACTAAAAACCAAGGAGGCCACTTGTAAGGCTATAGGCAACCTGTTTGTGGGGTTAGCAGGGATTGGTTTTATGGAACTAGTTAGACTTGCATATTAGGGTCCAGAGTTTGGGTGGGCAGGTTTCTTACCTGATAATGTCTGCCATTGGTTGGTGACCAACATTCTAGATCTTCTCTTCCCCTACAGTCTGTTTCTTAGATGAGGCTAAGAGAATGGCATGCTATTCAGAGGTGATAAGAGCCAGACCCTTCTGTAAATAAAAAGGGAAAAGTTCTGTTCCTCAGTGCAACAAAGTAGAAATCTTATCCAGGGTCTGGGGACTTCAGATGCAGGAAAGAAGAGGTTTTGGAGACAATGACAGAAGAAAAATCACATCTTCTGTGCACTTAGGGATATGCTCTTGGAACACACAAAAGGCAAATATCAATAACAAGAAGACTGTGTAAGTTTGCTGGTCTGGAGACATACAGAAATACGAAGAGTGTTTAGAGTTAGAATATACAAGGTCCTGATGTGGGACACCCCACCACTTGCATGGAAGTTAAATCTGTAACCCTAGAAAAAGCCCACAATCAATTGAAAAATGGGAATCTAGGAACACAGGAGTTAGCAGTCTGAAAAAATAAATTGGGAAGTTGTAAATATATGAGGCAGTCAATAAAATAAGGAAAACCTCCTCAGAAAGGTCTTTATGCTTATAGTTCCCTACCACGAACTCTAAGAGAGGAGGCAGCTTGCCTGGCGGGTAAATGAATGTTTTTCCAAAATATGTAAAGTTTGGCATCACAATGAACCTATTGATGGGAGAGTTCTCCTTCGCTTAATTTAAAAGTCGTGGAACCAAAACAACTTGACTGTTAGGCTAATAAAGCTGAAACCATGAAATATTTTGGGTTGTTTTTTCCTTTTTTGTTAGCTGTTTTCTCTGCCCATCCCATTCTATAGACAATAGAAAATATTGGCTATGGTCTCTGACTGGTCACATTTAGAAAGGTTCCAGATCAGTAGTTGTCAACTTTGTTGTTTTTGTGGCACATTTTTTGAATGCTATAATTTTTGGCAGTCAAAAAAATACTAAAGGCAAACAAGCCAGGAATAATTATAACACAAATACTACTAGAGAAAAGCAGCATCTCACACCCTTTGGAAGCATCTAGTTACTGCACTGTCCATGAGGTCACTCTTCTATACCATGCTAGTTTTAAAAGATAACCCTCAGTATAGCCAGAACCACACTGTCAGAAAGCAAAGCCCTCACATGTTCCTTTGAATGCTTAATTTTTCTTTGACACCAGTGGGCAGGGTACCACACTTTATGCCCCTTAGTTCCAAGTTGGAGCTCCTACTCTACAGCCTGTTGTATGACCTGCTTAGCTCAGTGTTTCATCCAGCAGACAGCAGCCTTTCAAGACATATTCATGGTTCCAGCAAAAATAAGTCAAATGCTCGTAGTACAACAGTGTAACACAGCACAAGGCTTAAGAATGTCTGTTCTAAGTTTATGCATTTTGCTCAAACAGAAACAAGGGTTGGGCCCAGCAAAAAAATAAAAATTAAAAAGAGAGAGAGACTTGGGGTGGTTGGCAGAGATGAGGAGCTCTAGTCATTATGCAAAAGTGCTCCTTCTTTGGTGCACTTCCTAAAGGATTCATCTTTCTATGATGTTGGCCAGGAATCAGAACTAAAGAAGACTGCTCCAGACATATCCATGGAAGAAGGAACAAAATACGGCCCATGCTAAAGGTGGGCCCTATTTTTAGCCTAGGGCTAAGATTCTCTATGAGTATTTGAATCTAAAGCCTTAGCCTAATAGCAGGGAGAGTTTCTTTGAAAACCTGCAAGAACACTGGGTGCTGATAGAGGATGTAGGGATTCAGGATTCAAGTCAATCGATCCTCTGGATTTCCACCTTGTGAAAATAACTAGTATATTGCAGAAAACTGCCAACTAAAATCCTTTGTGATAAAAATGCATGGTTTATATGCATAATAATTTTCTATACATAGGAAATTGTTCATTTATTTTTATTTCAAAAAATAAGCACAACATCCAAAGCCCCACAAATCCAAGGCTTTGACATGAAGGGGTAGTGAGAGGAGAGGTGGGCCACATTCTTCATCTAGCAAAGGTAGAACTCAAAAGAGAACATTTCCTTCTTGAGTTGATACTTAGCAAAAACACAGCTTTTAAAATCCATTTGAAAAATTAAAAGTTAAAAACGAGGGGATTAAAAGCAGATATATATTTTCTAAATAATATAAGATATAAATGCAGATAATTTATGGTCCAGACAGCCAAAACATTAAAAAGTGAAGAAGTAAAAATTTTTTTAGGACAAGGGAAAAGCTTACTATTTAAAGCATGTTGAAAGAAGT
The DNA here is from genome assembly GCF_000001405.40 of Homo sapiens. Lineage (NCBI taxonomy): Eukaryota > Metazoa > Chordata > Mammalia > Primates > Hominidae > Homo > Homo sapiens. The sequence goes on along the minus strand of NC_000008.11, from coordinate 31,398,153 downwards.
AAGATTAAAAAAAAAAAAAAAAACCTCAACAGTATGAATCTAATTTCATTTTAAAAATATGTTGTTTATGGAAGTATATATGCGTATATTTATATACACATATGTGTTTGGAAGAAAAGAAACCAACTGTTAGTCTCAAATTGGTGGAATTATGGATAAGTTTTATTTAATTTTTTCCTATTTTCTAGTAAAAGTGTGTATTGCATTTATAATTCAAAAAAAATGACTGTAGAGCTTTTAAATTACAAAGGCTATGGTCAGAACTAGTATTCAAAGGATATTGGGTAAACATAGGTTCTGCTCTGTGCTGAACTAGGATGAATACAGATTTGGTGTTATGGACTGAATGTCTGTGTCCTCTCAAAATTCATATGTTGAAACCCTAACCCCCAATGGGATGGTATTTGGAGGTGGGGCTTCTGGGAGGTAATCATGGTTAGATGGGCTCATGATGGAATCAGGGCCCTCGTAAGGAGAGATCTCTCCACCACACACAGCACACGGCAAGAAGGTGGACACCTGCAAGCCAAGAGGTGACCCCTCACCAGAACCTGACCATGCTGGCAGCTTAATCCCAGACTTCCCAGTTTCCAGAGCTGTGAAAGGTAAATATCTGCTGTTTAAACCACCTGGTCTGTGGTATTCTGTTATGGCAGCCTGAGTTGACTAAGATACTTGGCATCAGACAGTATTATATAGAGTTCATATTGCCATCAACCACCTGGGTGAACTTCGGATTTTACTAACTTTATCTGAAAAAATTCAGCAGTAGCCACCATGGTCTTAAGATCAACTCTGTCTGAACAACTGGACTTCAAATTATCCTGAAACAGATGTGTCCAGTGGTGCCCAGAGCCATGCTCTGAGGGGGATGAAATTTGCCCCGTTGCACTGACATCTGCTAGAACTGTGGGTTGTCTACAAGCCTCTCACGTTGGGGGTTGCCATGCCTCTCTCTTTGCTACTTTGCCTATGGGTTGGGTGAGCTACTCACAGGTAGCAATCGTCAGCACACTGACTATTTTCCAGAATATAGCTTATCATGGAGTCAATATGATTTCCCGCAGATGAAGATATGGCTCTATTTTAACAAAAATAAAGCTATTTTAAAGATAACTTTAAACAGAATTTACTTTAAAACCACAGGTCATAGATGAACTGAGATGTCCTGCCATATGGTTATAAAGTAAAGAAAGAGTTTTTTTTGTTTTGTTTTGTTTTGTTTTTTGAGATGGAGTCTTGCTCTGTCACCCAGGCTAAAGGGCAATGACACAATCTTGGCTCACTGCAACCTCCGCCTCCCAGGTTCAAGTGATTCTCCCGCCTCAGTCTCCCAAGTAGCTGGGACTACAGGCGCATGCCACCATGCCCAGCTAACTTTTGTATGAAAGAGTCTTGGAGTAATTCAGCCATTGGACTGAAGAGACTCCTCCAGGACCCTCTGCTTTAGAGGGCCCCACACAAAATGAATGCCAAAATACCAGGTCACTGTTGTTTGCTTTGTTTTGTGGTTTTGGTCTTATTTAAAAATTTTTCTTTTGAAGATTCAGTAATTTATTGAGCAAAAAGAGTTTATAGGAGAGGGATGCGGCACACACCAAACTCGGACCCACAGGCCAGTGTGCTGAACTAAGAGCTGATGAGTGGGTGTGGGCGTTAGGGAGACACAGGGGAGAAAGGAATTGCAGCCCATGCTTGGGGAATGGCCATTCCAGATTGCTCTGAAGTGTGTGTCTGGACAGGACTATTTCTAACATGACCAAGCTTTCTTCTTCTCATTTGCTAAAAACGTGTGTTGTTTGAAAGGGGCTTAGAACTGTCTAGAAGTTCTTAATCAGCAAATTGAAATAAGGAGGAGAGGAACCTGCTCAAGGAGCACCCTAGCTCCTTGAGGCGCTTGACTGAGTCAGTTCCCAATCCCAGATTTGAGAATCTCCAGTCCTCACTGAAAACCACAGACTTTCACCCAGCTCCACCTGCCTTTGACTCAGCACATCCAGGTGACCATGCAGACTGGCAAGCAGCAGGGCTGGTCCTGGAGGGACTCCAAGGACACCTGTGAGAAGCCTCTACCAGGCTTAGGGTGGGAACACAGTTTGGGCCACAGGCCCTTCTTGGTTTATAACTTTGAAATATTTAGACATACGGTATATGAGACTCTACATACACTCTTGGCCTAGGCCCTGCAAATGTTAGGGTGGGCCTGGTTTTATACACAGCTTATAGAAACTAGTCTACTTTCTTTATAATTGTACTATCATGCCATAGTAGCTTGATAAGAGCTTGAGCTTTGTAGACCTATAAGCTCCACCTTAAATCACACCCTGGGAGACTGTATCCTCCTATCAATCACAAGACACAGCTGAGGTAGACAGACCTCTGGGCACAAGCTAGAAAAGCTGACCTCCATGATCCATGCCACGTTGGAAGGGCAGTCTGAGAAAATTTCTTTCCCCCAATATTTCCTCCAGCCTGTGAAAGAGTATTTTCTGTCAATCCATCTTCATGTTTATGTCATGGTTATATAGCTCCCTTTGGCAAAGTGGCCTTTAAAAGCTCCATAAAAGATAATTTCTGAGAGTTGCATGTTTATTTCTTTGACAGGGGAAATTTATAAGGACTCAAACTGGGACAACAAAAATTGTTGTTTTTACATCAAGTCATGCATGATCTGGGCATCTATGTCATGACTGGTGTAAGGGACCCTGCACTGGAAGGCACAAGGCCCCAGTCCTAATACTGACTGTGTGATCTCGGACTGGCTAGGTGATCTTTAGTGCCAGTTGCTCTACCCATTTTGGACTCAGTTTCTTCAGCTATAAAGTAGAAATAATAATATACTTTCTATCTATAACACAAGGCAGAAATACAAGTTAAATAATGTAATGAAAGTGAGGGCTTATTTTATAAAAAGTGGTATAAAGTGCTTGGAATATGTGTACAGATAGATATATTACTACATATACCAGTGCAGTCCAAAAGAACTTTCTATGGCAATAGAAATGTTCTATATATGTGCTAACTTAGAATCTATTAACCACATGTTGCTAATGAGCAATTGAAATGTGACTGATACAGTTGAGGAACTGAATTTACATTTTCTTTCATATGACTTACTTTTGAGGAACTGAGTTTACATTTTCTTTCATATGACTTACTTTTAATAGCTGTATTTAGCTAGTGGCTGCTGTATTGGATAGCACAGATGTAGACCAGTGGACATTTATTGTATGGGTCTGCTTAGCATCTATTCCATATTTCTCTGGTGACAGTACTTAGGTTTCATATGAAGGGATTATCTCTCATTCATTGTGTGCAGTCTTTGTAGGACTGTCATTCATTGCTCCAGCCCACTGAACACGGGTCTTCAATGAGTCTAGAGACCCTCCACCAAGATTTTGAACTTTGTGTGATATTTTGCAGAAACAGGAAAACTAAAAAATAGAAAGTGACTGGAGCTGATTTGACCCAGAAAGGGTTGTACCTCTGAGATTCTTAATTCATACTCCCATTACCTGGTTCTCCTGGACTTCCCTAGTTCCCACCCCTCTCAAAGCCCAGTTCTTCAATGATTGCTTCTCTATAGGCCACCTCACATTGTGTCTATCAAATTAGTTCCTATTGCTTACAACCAAATACCCTAACCAATATATATGACAATATAATATCAAAATATTGGTGGTCTCAAAGCAGAGGTCAGGTGAATGCATAGAGCATATTTCACAGATCTTCCAAGATTCTTTGAGGGCGAGAAATCTCTAGACTTATTCTACTGTGCCTAAATGGAACTTTAAGATGCTTGTTTTATCTTTGAACCTGAAAAATACTCAAAGTATAAATGTTTAGAGAAGCTGGTGGGAGTGATCCATGCCCAAGTTACTCCGGATCTTCTAGCCGGCCAGGAATGGGTTAGAAATCAAGCCCCTGTATGGAACATTTTCCTCAGGGTGGGACGGAACAGAGACCCTCCATAGGGTCCCTATAGAAATTAAAAATAACATTTTAACTCATGTCCCTGAATTGTTTTGCAGAAACCCAGACCCCAACCAAATAACAATGCTGTCTCCTGGCATGTAGACCTCAGATAAGGGAGAATTGAGGACTGAACTCTGCCATTATTTTCAAATTTCATCCTGGGGGGACTGGGGAAAGTCACACTCACAGGCCAGAGCTAATACTCTTTTCTGCTGATCCCAGACTTTTAGACAAAGCTGTGCCTCCTTATCCAATTGCAAATCAGAAAATCCCTGAATCCATTTATGACCTGTGGGTTGCCACTTTGAGATGTCCCATCTTTTTAGGTCAAGCCAATATATAGCCTCCATTCATTGATTTATGACTTTGCCTGTAACCTCTGCCTCCCTGCCTTTAAAAACACCTGTAAGCCATGGAGGAGTTTGGGTCTTAAGCATGAGCTGCCTAGTTCCCCTTGCTTGGCACCCTGTGGTAAATGCCTCACTTTCTCTTCTCAGTGTTTGGCTTTGCTGTGCTGGGCAAGTGGACCCAAGTTCTGTTTGATAACAATCTCACACAGAGTAGAAACTTAAATCCTTAAAAAGGTACACAAGGCCCTGTAGTTGGAATCTGGCTTACCTTATTAATCTGCAATTTCCTCTCTGAACTGAGGCCCTCCTACTCTCCTTGGGATCATGCTGCTACAGCCACATGAGCCTCCTTTGATGCTCCCCAACTTGCTAGGCATGTTCCTACCTCAGGGTCTTGTACCTGCTGTTCCTCCACCTAGAATGCTCCTCCCCAGATACCCTCAGGGTTCCCTCCTGCCCTCCCCACTTCAGTCCTCCTTGCCCAGGAGTGGGCCTTCCTTGCCCAGCTCATTTACAATGTTTTCTTTTTTATTTATTTTTTCTTTTTTTGAGACTGAGTCTCATTTGTCTCCCAAGCTGGAGTGCAGTGGCGCGATCTCGGCTCACTGCAACCTCCGCCTCTCGGGTTCAAGCCATTCTCTTGCCTCAGCCTCCTGAATAACTGGGATTACAGGCACATGCCATCACAGCTATCTAATTTTTTGGTTTTTTTAGTAGAGACAGGGTTTCACCATGTTGGCCTGGCTGGTCTCAAACTCCTGAGCTCAAGTGATCCACTCGCCTCGGCCTCCCAAAGTGCCCGGATTACAGAGGTGAGCCACCAAGCCCAGCCCCATTTAAGATTTTAACACCCTCCCCCAGCCCACACCTCCTAGTCCCATTTTCTGCTGTTTTTCTCCTTAGCACTCATGATTATCAAGCACTCTGTAAACTTATTTATCTTACTAATGATCAGTCTACCTCCAGCTGGAATATAACTTCATGAGAACATAGAACTTTGTGATTTTTGATCATTACCCTATTACCTTCAACTTAGAGCAGATTCCTGCACATAAGTCATGCTCAATAATTATATTCTCAATGAACCAACCTTTTTAAATCTATAGAAGTTTATTTTCTCTTCCTATTTTCCTCTTTCTCTATGCTATTCTCTGTATTCTTCTCTTTAGCAGCCTCTGTCCACTTTGGACTGATCGCCTAGTTGTAAACTACTTTAGATTACAATAAATATTTTTATATTTGATCTTATTGTGTAAAACTAATGCAACACTATGAATGATATGTGTTTATATTATTTGAGTCCTTTTCAGGTTCTAGGAGGCTATAGTAGCCACTGTTGATACCACAGCCTCCTGTCACTTTGACCCAGCTGAGTTTACCTGCAGGCCAGGGTAGACAATTCCTGGGCTTTGAACAGCATCCCACCTCTGTGTAGCTCCTGGGTCTCTCTTCTCAGCCACCGGGCTTTCTCTGATACCAGGAGAACTCCCTGCTGCACTGTTATAACCAGAATTGTGGGGTTAATGCCACTTGAGGCATCCCTCACCCTGTTAGAGGAGGAAGTGATTGGACAAATATCCCAGCTTCCATGTCCTTTCATGAGATACACAATTTTGTGAGGGCCCCAGAGGGATTGAGCCCCACCTGCCCGTGGTGGTAGCCCACTTACAAATAGACCCTTATTGGCTTTTCTCTCTCTTCTGACCCACATTACCATTTCCTCATTTGTGGTTCTTGGCATCATCTCCCAACTGAAGCAGCTACATGGCATCCCGGTCTCAGGTTTTTTGGTGCAGAGAAGGAGGAAGATGAAACCTGGCAGTTTTCTGCACTCAGTTGGACTGGAAGATCCATAGGTCCTATGAAATTCCTGAGCCTCTGTCACTGAGCAGAGATCTCGCATTTCCTGCACAGGAAGCAGCTTCTGTCCTGAGAGGTAATTGATTGTTAGCGCTGGGGAGGTTTTCTGGGCCACCTGCAGCAAATTTACCATATACTTAATGCAGCTATACTCTCAACCAAACGGGAATTATGGGCCAGGAAGAAAAATCTTAAATGCATCATTGACTTTCAGGTAGCTGTTCTTGCATGCAGTGGTACTCAAGATGACTGTGATGTTCCATTTGGCCTTCCACCCTGTTGTCCTTGACACCAGCAGTCTCTACTCCTGTCCCTTGCTTCCCTTCCTTCTCCTCTCATTTTTTTACTTAGTGTCTAGAAAAGTAAAATCAAGGGATGACAGGACTGAGAATCTCTAGCTTTCCATGGCTGCATCGGATCTGACCCCTAAACGGACTTGACCGTGATTCCTGCCTGAGGTTAAGTACACGTCAACTTAGCAGAGGAAAGAACAACCACATCGATCAAAGCACATTTGAGGGGAGTTTGCCAGAAATGACATCATCTCTGGGCAACGTCAACTTCAGCACCCATCTCCACAGCTGCTACTATCTGCAAAATGCAGTTAAGACTGATTGATTATCATGTCACAGATCATAAATCGGAATTGCAATTCACATGCAGAAGGGAAGAAGCTATCTTACTTGTCATCTCGATGGAAAGTTGCTTTTGCTTAGGATTTATTCTTTTATCTTTTTTTCCCCTGACTTTCTGAATAGGTGAGGACACAGATTTCAGCGTGCCTTTTTTGATCGTTTGGGCTTTTTTGATCTTTTTTGTTGTTGCTTTTTCCCTTTATGTTTTAGGTTAACTCACTGCAAGAGAGGTGGCAAAACGGGGAGAGTTTAAATGTCCGATGCATCAGAAATCCAAGCTCTGATTCAAAGAGACATTCTGATGAGTAGTTTTCAAACAATGATCTGAGAGCCCTGGAGCTCTGATGGGGCATCTCCTGGCCACTGGGGACTGGGAAGGGGCAGTACGAAGCAGCAGAATTCTAGATGCCCGTGCCTGCTTCACTTTACCAATCCTATTTGATATATCAGACTCCCACAAAGAAATTTGTCGCAGGGAAAACAAATAATCCCACTGTTAACATTAAATTTGAAAAACAGTGTCCTGTGTTACATGTACCTAATTGTTTTTATATTTCACAAGGATTGTGTTCTGGTCAGCTAAGGGGAGTGGGCATTTGTTTGTTGCTTTTACTGTTTCAGATTAGTAGCTTTGCTGTGAAACCATCTTCTCCTTCCATTTTCAGGAAATTCTTCCACTGTCATGCTTCGTGATCAATAAGCTTTGCTTCTGAAATGCCAGAGAGAAACAAGATTTTTCTTATGTAGGATTAACTCCCCACAAGTCAGCTTTGGATGGGAGTTGGGAAGCTGCTTAGCTCTTCCAGTACCGCAAACTTCTCTTAGGAATTTAGAATTACAATATGTGCAAGTGCCCTGAAGCTCATAGTTTAAGCTTCTAAAAGTTACTACGTTACCGCAAAATATCTCAAAACACAAACCCTATCTTGATTTTTTTTTAAAAGCACAATGAATAACAAATTTTTTTTTTTTTTTTTTGAGACAGAGTCTCTCTCTGTCACCCAGGCTGGAGTGCTGTGGTGCTATCTCAGCTCACTGCAAGCTCCGCCTCCCAGGTTCATGCCATTCTCCTGCCTCAGCCTCCCGAGTAGCTAGGACTACAGGCGCCTGCCCCCACGCCCAGCTAATTTTTTGTATTTTTAGTAGAGATGGGGTTTCACCATGTTAGCCAGGATGGTCTCGATCTCCTGACCTCATGATCCGCCTGCCTTGGCCTCCCAAAGTGCTGGGATTACAGGCGTGAGCCACTGCGCCCGGCCGTAACAAATATTTTTAACTAGAGTTAACCCAGCCATGGGGTCTCCAGTGCTAAGCTTATTTAAAAAAATACATAACAGCAGCGATGTGAGTGACTGTAGTACAGATAGGTCATGCTACACTAATGTACCAAACAAAACCCAAAACCTCCGTGGCCTAACACAATAAAGGTTTATTTCTCACTTATTCGGTTCTGATGCAGGATGGGTGACTCTCCAGGACAGCTGTCCCTATCTTTCTGTCTGCCTTCAAGAAACCCTGCTCATTACTACTTGTCAAGTCCTTGTGGCCAAGTGGTACCATGTGACCCAAGATTCTTGTAAGTCTCCTCCAAAAAAAAAGTTTAAATTCTTTAAATAAGAGTCTGAGCAGCATGAATACCAGCTGCTGCAATGCCACTGTTTTATATTATTTATGATTGCTATTATTATTATCAGAATTTATAGCAATCATTAGCTAACAGCCACTCTGGATACTCTCAGCCAGCAATCTGTCATTCTTCTCCTTGGTTGAAGGGACTGGAAAGGACATGAGCAGCTACAGAGCACCCAAAGCTCCGGGTAGTCTGTGGTTGGGATGATGCAATCCTCCTCCCAGAGAGCTGGTGAGACCTTGATAAAGGAAAAGAGAGAGAGCAAAGAGGAGCAAGAGCGCATGAAGGAGATCCGACATTGTCAAAACTCCAGAAGCGAAAGCATCAGAGATGAAAGGGCAGGTCACACAAGATCCAGGGCCCAAGGATTTGAGAGGTTTATTGCACCCTGAGCAGCAATAAAGGGTGCTTTATTCACAATAAAAAACAAAAATGAATATGCCGAAAAGGTTTTCTTTTTCCCCCCAAGGCCAGAAGTAACTCTAGCTCCTGATCCTGATTAAGCATTCCTAGCACACCATCACACTTGCCCTGTGACTCATAAACTAATAAAAGGAAGACCTCATCTGGTCAAGAACATAACTGCATAAAGCTTAAAGCCATCTGTGTCACATACCATAATTAACTTCACAGGTTAATTTTAATGACTGTTAATTTATGGGAAACATTCTTTGGGAATATAGATGTTCTGGTCCTTACCTGAATCACTTACAATCCTCCTCTTAGCCCTAATGTCAATGAAATAAAAAACACAATAAGTTAATTGCCATTCTGCGGTTGTGATGACTGTGATATTAATATCAGTACAACCTCTTACATTTGAAGAGTGATTTTTTAATCTTTTTCAAGTACCTATAATCCATCATCTCATTTGATTTTTATGAGAACTCTCTAAAATGGGGCATTGTATTTTATTTTTAGGACTACAAGGTGGCTCCCTAAGGAGACAGGTAATGACTTAGTAAGCTACAAATCTCCAGTGCTAGCACAGCGGCCGACACAAAATAAGCAACCTAAAAAATGTTTACAGACAGGATTAACAAGTACGTGAATGAATAAATGTTATTCCTATTTGAAAGATGAGAAAACTGAAATCAAAGAAAGTGTTATTTGCTTAGGGTCACCATACCACTTGGGGACACAACCAGGATGATATCTCCTAACCTTGTGTTCTTTTCACTCATGCAAATCTTATGTAGAAACACTGCTTTTTATATGTAAGAGCAAAGAAGAAAACATGATACAAAATGCACACAGCACAATCTAATCTCCTAATGAAAGACATTATTCTATTTTTTTTTCAGTCTTACTTCCCATCAGCTGATATGGTGTAAGAGCTAACTATACACCAACTGTACATTTTCATAGTTATAATTAGTGTTTTAATATGCTCATAGGAAACTGATGAACAAATTGCCATGCCCAGACACACAAGAAGTGTCCTGAGTCTTCTAAAGAAACTGACTTTGGTTAAAGGGGTATAGAGGAGTCAGGGAGAGAGAGAGAGAAAGGAAGAGTCAGAGAGAGGGGGAGCTGAAGGAAGGGAAGGAAAAGGAAGAGGGGAAGGGAAAGGAAGAGAGGAAGGGAAAGGAAGAGGGGAAGGGAAAGGAAGAGGGGAAGGGAAAGGAAGGGAAGAGGAGGAAGGATGGGAAGAGAGGGAGGGGAGAGGAGAGGGGGAGGGGAGAGGAGAGGGGGAGAGGGAGGAAGAAGAGGGGAAAGGGAGGGAGGAAGAGATGGGAAGGGAGGGGAGGGGAGGAAGAATCCAATAGGCTTCTTCTGGGCTTGCACCTCTAGCATCCAGTGGCCAGGGACAGGTGGGAGCCCCAGTGCTCACCCTCAGCAAGTTTCAGTGGCATCACCTCCTGATAAACCAGAGCCACTTCTCAGTACACTACCTCCATGGGCAGCTTTAGAGTAAGCTCCATAGTGTGGCATCTCCCTGGGAATGACTTCCTCATGTCCACCAGAGTATAGCCTCCCAGCAGATATCACCAGTACAGTACCTCCCCACAGAGAGCCTCCCCCAGCTCCATAAAGGGGCCTCTCAGTAACTTTTGCCAGAGTGCCATCTGGCATTGTGTATCTTGTATTCAACAGGCCACGCCCACACCCTCTCCAATGAGGTCTGGATCTCAGCCTGGGGATGCAGGTGGGGGGTTGAAAGTGGACTTTGATGACTGTGGGGATTTCCTCTCCTTGGGTGTTCTGCCTCAGTCCTAGCGGTAGTAGCTGTTCCTTATATCTGCTATTACTATATTCCTTGGAGTTCTCTTTGCCTCTTAGTAGGCAATCTCTTGTTATAATTAATCTTTTTTTAATCTTTAATTTTTGTGGGTACGCAGTAGGTACATATATTTATAGGGTACATGAGATATTTTGACACAGGCATACAACAAATAATAATCACATCAGGGTAAATGGAGGATCCATTGCCTCAAGCATTTATCCTTTCTTTGTATTACAAACAATCCAATTATACTCTTTGAGCTATTTTCAAATGTACACTAAATTATTGTTGACTATAGTCACCCTGTTGTGCTATCAAATACTAGATCTTATTCATTCTAACTATATTTTTGTACCCATTAACCATTCCCTCCTTACTCCTCACTAACCTGCTACCCTTCCCAGCCTCTAGTAACCATTGTTCTACTCTCTACCTCCATGAGTTTGTTTGAATTTTTAGCTCCCACAAATAAGTGAGAACACGCCAAGTTTGTCTTTCTGTGCCTGACTTACTTCACTTAACATAATGTCCTCCAGCTCCATACTTGTTGTTGCAAATGACAGGATCTCATTCTTTTTTATGGAATGTGTACCACATTTTCTTTATCCATTCATCCGTTGATGGACACTTAGGTTGCTTCCAGATCTTGGCTATTGTGAATCATTCTGCAATAAACACTGGAGAGCAGATACTTCTTCAATATATTGATTTCCCTTCTTTTGGGTATATACTTACCAGTGGGATTGCTGGATCATATGGTAGCTCTATTTTTAGTTTTTTGAGGAACCTCCAAACTGTTCTCCATCGTGACTGTACTAATTTCCATTCCATAGTGTGCAAGGGTTCCCTTTTCTCCACATCCTCTTTGGCATTTGTTGTTGCCTGTCTTTTGGATATAACCCATTTTACCTGGAGTAAGGTGATATCTCATTGTAGTTTGATTTGCATTTTTCTGATGATCTATGATGTTGAGCACCTTTTCATATACCTGTTGCCATTTGTATATCTTCTTGTGAGATATGTTTATTCAGATATTTGCTCATTTTAAAATCTGATTATTAGGTTTTTTCCTATAAAGTCATTTGAGCTCCTTATATATTCTGGCTATTAATCCCTTGTCAGATGGATAGTTTGTGAATATTTTCTTCCATTCTTTGGGTTGACTCTTCATTTTGTGGATGGTTACCTTTGCTGTGCAGATGCTTTTCAAGTTGATGTGATCCCATTTGTCCATTCTTGCTTTGGCTGCCTGTGCTTGTGGAGTATTACTCAAGAAATCTTTACCCAGACCAATGTCCTGGGTAGTTTCCTCAGGGTTTTCTTTGAGTAGTTTCACAGTTTAAGGTCTTATATTTAAATCTTTGGTCCATTTTGATTTGATTCCTGTGTGTGATGAGAAATAGGAGTCTAGTTTTATTCTTCCGCATAAGGATATCCAGTTTTCCCAGCACCATTTATTGAAGAGACTATCCTTTCTCCAATGTATATATTTGGCTTTGTTGAAAATGAGTCTACTGTAGATGTATGGATTTGTTTCTGGGTTCTCTATACTGTTTCATTGGCCTATGTGTCTGTTTTTATGACTGTACCATGCTGTTTTGGTTGCTATAGCTCTGTAGTATAATTTGAAGTCAGATAATGTGATTCCTTCAGTTTTGTTCTTTTTGCTGAGGATAGCTTTGGCTATTCTGGGTTTTTTATGGTTCCATATACATTTTAGGATTGTTTTTCTCTATTTCTGTGAAGAGTGTTATTGGTATTTTCATAGGGGTTGCATTTAATCTATAGATTGTTTTAGGTAGTATGAATATTTTAACAATATTGATTGTTCCAATCCATTAACATGGAATATCTTTTCATTTTTTTATATTCTCTTCAAATTTTGCATCAGTGTTTTATATTTTTCATTGTGGACATCTTTGACTTCTTTGGTTAATTTTTAGGTATTTTATTTTGTTTTTGGCTATTGTAAATATGATTAATTTCCTGATTTCTTTTTCAGATTCACTGTTGTCATATGGAAATGCTACTGATTTTCGTATGTTGATTTTGTATCCTTCAAATTTACTGAATTTGTCTATCAGTTCTAATAGTTCTCTTGTGGAATCTCTAGGCTTTTCCAAATATAAGATCATAGCATCTGCAAACAAAGATAATTTGACTTCTTCCTTTCCAATTTGGATTTCCTTTATTTCTTGCTCTTGTCTGGTTGGTCCAGCTAGGACTTCCAGTACTACATTAAATAACAGTGGTGAAAGTGGGCATCCTTGTCATGTTCTCGATCTTAAAGGAAAAGCTTTTAGTTTTTCCTCATTCAGTATTATACTAGCTATGAGTCTGTTGTAAATGGCTTTTATTGTGCTAAGGTATGTTCCTTCTAGATCCAATTTTTTTAGGGTTTTATCATGAATAAATGTTGAATTTTGTTAAGTGCTTGTTCAGCATCAATTGAAATGATCATATGGTTTTTGTCCTTCATTGCTATGACGTATGACATTGATTGATTTGCATATGTTGAGCCATTCTTACATCCCAGGGATAAATCCAACTTGGTCATGATGAATGATCATTTTATTGTACTGTTAAATTTGGTTTACTAGTATTTTGTTGAGGATTTTTGCATCAATGTTCATAAGGGATATTGGCATATTGTTTTCTTTTTTTATGCATCTTTGTCTGGTTTTGGTATTAGTGTAATACTCGCCTTGTAGAATAAGTTTTTTGGAATAATTTGAATAGGGTTTAGCTCTTTTTTAATGTCTGATAAAATTCAGCAGTGATGCCATTGAATCCTAGGCTTTGCTTTTCTGGGAGACTTTTTATTACAGCTTCGATCTTATTACTTGTTATTGATCTGTTCAGGTTTTGGATTTCTTCATGGTTCAATCTTGGTAGGTTGTATTTTTCTAGAAATTTATCCATTTCTTCCAGGTTTTCCCATTTATTGGCATATAGTTGTTCATAGCAGCCTGTAATGATACTTTGAATTTCTGTGAAATCAGCTGCAATGTCTCCTCTTTCATCTCTAATTTTATTTATTTGGGTTTTTTGCTCTTTTTTTTCTTAGTCTGCCTGAAGGTTTGTCAATGTTGTTCATCTGTTCAAAAAAACAAATTTTTATTTTATTGATCTTTTGTATTGTTTTCTTCATTTATTTTTGCTGTGAACTTTATTATTTCTTTTCTTCTACTAATTTTGTATTCAGTTTGCTCTTTTCTCATTCCTTAAGATGCCTCATTAGGTTGTTTATTTGAAGTTTTTTGTTATGTAGGTGCTTATCACTATAAACTTTCCTCTTAGTACTTCTTTTGCTGTAGGAGCTGAAAGAAAAGGATGTTAATGAGCAATAAGAAATCGTCTGAAGTTGCAAAGCTTACTAGAAATAGCAAGTACACATAAAAATACAGAATATTATAACATCATACCTGTGAAGTATAAACTACTCATAGCTTGAGTAGAAAGACTAAAGAATGATACACTGGTTTTATCCCATAGAGTTTGGTATGCTGTGTTTCCATCATCATTTATTTCAAGAAATTTTAAAATTTCCTCCTTAGTTTCTTCATTGACCCACTGGTCATTCAGGAGCACATTGTTTAAATTCCATGTGTTTGTACAGTTTCCAAAATTTGCCTTGTTATTGATTTTTAGTTTTATTCCATTGTGGTCAGAGAAGTTACTTGATATAATTTCAATTTAGACTTGTTTTGAGGCCTAAAAAAATGGTCTATCCTCGAGAATGACTCATGTGCTTAGGAGAAGAATGTGTATTCTGTAGGCATTGGATAAAATACTCTATAAATATCTATTAGGTCTATTTGGTCTATAGTGCAGATTATGTCCAATTTTTCTTTGTTGATTTTCTGCCTGGAAGATCTGTCCAATCCTGAAAGTGGGGTGTTGAAGTCTCCAGCTATTATTGTATTGTGGTCTCTCTCTCTCCTTAGCTCTAAAAATATTTGCCTTATATATCTTGGTACTTCAGTGTTGGGTACATATATATTTAAAATGTTTATATCTTCTGGCTGAATTGACCCCTTTTGTCATGATATTATGACCTTTTGTCACTTTTTAGAGTTGTTGTCTTGCAATCTATTTAGTCTGATGTAAGTATAGCTACTCTTGCTCTTTTTTAGTTTCCATTTGCATGGAATATCTTTTTCCAATCCTTTATTTTCAGTCTATGTGTGTCTTTATAGGTGAAGTGTGTTTCTTGTGGGCAACAGATCACTGGGTCTTTTTTTCTTTTTAAATCCATTCAGCCACTCTATGTCTTTTGATTGGAGAGTATAGTCCATTTACCTTCATTATTATTCCTGATAAGTAAGGACTTACTCCTGCCATTTTGTTATTTGTTTCCTGGTTGTTTTGTGGTCCTCTCATCCTTATTTCCTTCCTTTCTGTCTTGCTTTAAATGAAGGTGATGTTTTTCTGGTAGTGTGTTTTAATTTTTTTGCTTTTTATTTTTGTGCACATGTTGTAGGTTTTAATTTTTTTTGCTTTTTGTTTTTGTGCACCTGTTGTAGGTTTTTTGATTTGAGGTTACCATTAACCTTACAAATATCTTATAACCCATAAGTTTTAACTCATGATAACCTAACAGTGATAGCATAAACATATAAGCTAACAAAGAAGCAAAGATAAAACTAACAAAAATTCTACACTTTAACATTATCCCCCTGCTTTTTAACTTTTTGTTGTTTCTAGTTATATCTTACTCTACTGTCTATGTCTTGAAAAGTTGTTACAGTTATTATTCTTGATTGGTTCATTCTTTAGTCTTTCTACTCAAGATAAGATTAGTTTATACTATACTAAACCACTGATAAGATTCAGAATGAAAGTCCCTATTTTATCAAAAAACATTAAGTAGAAATGACTTGCCCTAGGTAATGTGGGGAAGGCAGGGTGGTCATGTAGAGAAGAAAAATCACAACCAACGGAAAACCATTTTTTTAAATAAGATTCAAACTGAATGTAATTAATTTTTATACAGCACTCATAAAATGCACTTGCAGATACACTTAATTGGACCCAAAATTATAAAAACTAAATATCTTATAAATTACTTGACCAGAAAAATGACCAAGAAGTTGCTAGCTTTTAAAATACTCATATTATCCACTGGCAAAAACAGTGCCACCTGCACATTCTCTTTGAGTCTCTTCACTTTTCCATGCAGCTACTCCTCATGTACAGCGCATAACCACAGTTACATGTGTTCCTGCATGCTCACAAGGGACTGTGTTGTAAGAGAAGAGAGCAATGCCAAGGTAGCTTGCAATACATGTAAAGTAGCATAATTTGGTTAACTGCATAGTTCTAAACGAATAGCATATTCAAAAACACATTTTTTCCAAAATTTTCACCAAGGCAGCATATGCCTTTTTTTACCAAAATTAATTGACAAAAGAATTATTTGCCCCTGGATAACTGATACAGACTTTAGAAGAAATAAAATAAGTTTCATCATGCACTAAATGCCTTTAAATTCAAGAAAGGAGCACATAAAATATAAATAAAATTTCACATAAAATATCTTATAGGACTTTCAGATGTTTTATGCTCTTGAAAAATAGGATATGGTTAAACTTTTTAATCCTCGACTTTGTCTCTTGCTCTTCTCCAGTATAATATTGTTATCCTAATATTTTATAACTATATAATGGAAAGAGTGAATGTAAGTGATTTGCTAAGTCATGTAACTAGTGAGTGATTGTTCTGGATATTTACATTGCTCTACAAATCCATTCTTCACCCTTTTCTACCATGTTGCACACGCAGGCAGCTGACTTCCTTGTCTCATATAAATGGATTTTCTTTGTCCTATGGTTTCCAATTGGATTGAGTCAATGAGAGACAACAGGAGGAAAATGCAGGGCAGGAGAAAAGAAAGGTAATGGTGTTTATTCCCTGACTTCCTTCCTGCTCTGCCACAGGTTGACAGCAGCTGGTTTCCTCTACTGGAGTTCAGAAATAAAGGCCAGAAGTGAAAGCCTCAGCCTCCTGTCATGAAGCGCTTGACTACAGTTACAGCTAGAACCACAGCTCTCTCTTATTCCTCATAACCATTCCTTTTCCTTGCCCCTTCATGTCTAATAGTGGTAGTGGCTCTCCACTGTTGCTAGCCCCAGGATACTTTATCATCTCTTACTAGTGTACTTTAACCATCCCTGTATCTGCTAAGACCTTCATAGATCTAGATATAGAAACAGGATTTGAATCCAGGTTTAATGGCACTGATATTAAACCAGGTTCATTATTCGCACACACAGAAAGCCAATCGGTGTGACAACAGGTTTTGTAAAAGAGAAAAGAGTTTATTCACAAGGCTGCCAAGCCTGGAGACAGAAGAACAAATCTCAAATCTGCCTCACTGAAAATAGGGCTTGTCGGGGGCAGGTACTTATGGAATAGAAAACGGGATGGTCTAATGTCTGGGGAATGATAATTGGTGGATAGGAAAGGTAATCAGGGTTCTGTGCAAGCATAATTGAGCAACATGGCTCTTTATAGGATGCATGTTCAGAAAAAGGCAGCACTAGCATGACCTGCAGGTAGAATTTTTGGCCCTCTCATGTCAAAAGATGTCTCTTCAGGCACCTGTGCAAACCCAGGTGAAGGGTCAGTATTCTCAACTGGCTTGAACTGGACAAGAGCTGCCCTCTAGTTCCTGAAAAACAACTTTAAGCACTCATTACTATAGTAACCCATAGTCAGAGATATTGTCTGTAAAGAAGGTAGTGGAAGTTTAGTTATTGTCTGGCTATGTGACTTGCACCTAGACCACTTATAAGTAAGCAGTTAAAAGCAAGCAACACAGGTTAAGTTTGGTGGGCTTAATCAGGTTATTCCTTGGTTTTAGCACTAATATCGGTGTTCTTTCTATTGAACCACACTATACCCACATGCACTGCTTTCACATCCTTTATATGTCTGCCTTTATTGACAATAACAGTTTAAAATACTTCGCTTAGCAGTTACATATTATCTTCAACTGTTTCTATTTACTTGCATATGTGAATCTCATTCCCCAGCTACATTATATGCTACATGATTATGTCTTTTAAATGAATTCGTTATTATCCCCCAGTTTGCCTAGCAGAATCAAGAATACAAAGGATATAATTTTTAAAAAAACACTCGTTGATAGTTTCACGTCTGCACGGTGATGTGAGCAGACCATAGACCCATTTCCCAGTGAAACAACCATAACTGGCAAAAATTACATTTAAAAAAGACAACCGTATAAAGTATTTGAAAATTGTTCTAAGGGCATACAGCAACATTTGTTCAAGAAAAATCTTTTTGAAAATCTATTAAATCTCAGTATGAACAGTAAGAGGCTGAGGCACTTGAACCATGACTTACTCCATCCCTCCTGTATGCCAGTTCAGCTTGACTGAAGCTCATTTCTGCATAACTACAGCTAAAAAGACAAAGCTTCTTTCTCCCTCAGTTCCCAATCAAGGCATGCGGTATCTCACCAGGAGGAGCAGCCCACCAGCATTTCTTATCACCTCCAACACCAAGTTGCAAAGGCTAAATTCCTGGCAAGTGCAGTTGAGAAGTCAGGGACTCTCTTTCTCCACCCAGCCCCAACTCACACTCTCAGTCACAGGGTTGGCAGGTCAAGAATACTGGGTCTCTGACTTGGTCTCTCTCTTGAGGTCTCTCTCCTCAGCCCTGCTCATTTGTAGGCCAAAGAGGCAAGAAAAGAATACCAGAAGCTATGGCTCTGACAAGCACCCTACTCATAATGCATGGTGTCACTCCAAGAGAAGTGGACCACTGTCCCTACCCCCAGCCCTGGAGCAGTAGCTCAGAGACTTTTCTCAGGAACAGAGGTAGTCCACAAGAAAAGAGAACTCCAGTGCTGTTCCCAAAATAACTGTCTTTATTTGAAGAGAACTGTGGGAAAATTCAAGCCTAAGAATGCTCTCAAAAACAATTGGTAATTTTGGCAGTAAACAATTAAAAGAAGACTTGTAGCTCTATGAGAGCTCAACTGTAGGCCAGCTAATTTATCAGACAGAACCAGAGAAAGAGACAGCCAAAAAGAGACACCAGGGGGACATAACAAGCCTCAAAGATTGGCCTCAAAAACTACCCCTATCCAGATTTAATTGGATGAGACTGTGGAGAGATTTATGCCTGGAACATTCCAGGGCATTGTCTAAAACAATAGGGATATCAGCCATCAATCAGCTGAGTTTAAGAGCTGGGTATGATACCACTAGAGGCAGACAGATTAACAGAGAAATCAGAAAAAGAGACAAAGACTCCCCTAATTTAACCAAAGAATACACTGTTATCTAGGATGAACGTGCTCATGCCCAAGGATGTGCCTCTCTGAAGGGCAACATTAGAAACTTCACACTACATGGGAAATAGATGCAACTGAAAGAGTCTAGCCAAGTCACAAAACAAACAAGCAAACAACAACAAAAACAACCCTGAAATGGGGAAGGAAATCAAAATTTAGAGTTGTTACAACATGTTACTTCAAATGTCCAGTTTAAAAAAAAAAAAAAAAAAAGCTTGCAACAAAAAAAAAACATAGGAAAATGTAGCTTACAAACAGGAAAAAGGAAGACAACAAGAATTGCCTGTGAGGGTCAACAGACGTCAGATTTTAAAGATTTCAAAGCAGCCATTACAAATATATTCAAAGAACTAAAGGAAACTCGTGCTTAAAGAGGTAATGGCTGGATATTCTTATCAAATACAGAATATCAATAAAAAGGTAGAAATGATTTTTTAAATAACCAAATGAAAATTCTAGATTGAAAAAATATGCTAGTTGAAATGAAAAACTTACCAGAGGCTCAACAGCAGATTTGAACTGACAGAAGAAAGAATCAGCAAATTCAAAGATAGATCAATAGAGATAATGCATTCCGAAGAAAGTGGAGAGAAGAAAGAGCGAAGACAAATTAATAGAGCTACATAAAAATGTGGAGCACTATTAAGCACACAAACACACATAATAATAGAGGATAATAGTGAGAAAGGAGAGAAAAATAGAAGAAATCATGGCTGAAAACTCTAAATTTTATAAAACACATTTATCTATACATACAAGAAGATTAACAAACTCAAAGTAAGATAATCACAAAGAGATCCATACCAAGACACATTATGGTAAAAATACTGAAAGACAATGACAGAGAATATTTTGAGAGCTACAAGAGGAAAATGACCCTTCACATTCAAGACAACTCCAAGAAGACTGACTTGTCATCAGAAGCAGTGGAGGCAGAAGCAGTGGAATAACATATTCAAAGAGCTCAAAGAAAAAAATAACACCAAAATCTTATATCCAGCAAAAGTATGTTTCAAAGATGAAGGTGACTTTTGAAGATTTCGTGTAGAGGTAATTAAAATGTTCTAAAAAAAAGACTATAATGAGAATTGCATAACTCTATGAATTTTCAAAAAAATACCTCATATACACTCCATGGGTATATGTATATGTGTATATATATAGTAAAATATTTTTATAATAGTTTTATTAGGAAAACTTCATACCATATATATAATTTCATACTATATATACTAAAATTTCATACTATATGTGTGTATGTATATACGTATATAGTATGTATATAGCATATACAGTAAATTATTCATACTGTATACTATATATAAATCATTCACACTATGTATACTATTTATACTAGTGTACTATTCATACTATATTTAGTACAGTATGAACAGTTACTATATAGAGTATGAATAATTTGTATATAGTATATAGTATGAATATATATAGTATAATAATTTCATTTTATATATATATACACACAGAGAGAGAGTGTGTGCATGAAATTATCTTAATAAAGTCATTATAAAAATATTTAATGATTTATTGGCTTGGGATACCTAAGAGTGCCTATGATGCAGTCTTCATATAAAGGCCTCTCTACAATATAACTGAGAACTTTCAATTCCATTATGGTGGCAAAAGACCACAACCATCCATCCCTTCTGATGATTACAACTAAAAATTCTGGACAAAATATAAACAAATAACTACTGGAGAGTTTAAAAAGTAAACAAAAATAAGTGAATTGTGGGGAGGAATTGAAAATTGTGGCAGCATCCATCATGAGTTTCCCATTTTTGTTTTTCTCTCAAAACGTTGTCCTGGGGAGAGGGCTCATATTGTAAAGGAGCACAGTGAAAATGGTGGCAGCAGCCCCGGTGGCTAACACCCTGAGAGGAAACTCTACCTTTGGGCCACAAGAACCAGGAAAAGGAGACTTTGAAGGCCAGAAAACAGGGAGAGAAATTCCAAAATGGATAGCCAGAGTAAAGTACCCATAACACTGCACATGCACTCACGTGTGTCTTTTGTCTGTATCTTCAACTATCCATGCATGGGACAGATCCAAACCAGCATACCAACAGGGTGAAAAGCTGAGCTGACATTTGAACCACCTGCAGTTTTCAGCCTAACCCTAGAAAACCTAATAAAAAACAAATCCAAAAGATATAAACCAAGAGCCCTATATGAATTTACAATGTAATACTAAAAATTAAGATACTACAGAAAAGGCAGCACAGGAGGAGCCTTAGAGGAACAAAAAACTGAGGGAACAAAAGGAACACAAACAATAAAATGGTACGGTTGATTCAAAGCATATCAATTATTACATTCAATGTTAATGGTCTAAATGCCCCAAAATAATAGAGAGGGATTGATAAAGAGGATTTAAAAATCAAGACCTTAGCATCTGTTGCTTACAAGACTCAGTCTTTACATATTATTAGTAGAACATAAATTGATTTTGTAAAGAATAGTAAAAACACAGTTAGCATAAGAAAATTAAAATGGCTATTTTAATGTATGATAGACTTCAAGACAAAGAGTGTTTCCAGGTATATAAACATTTCATAACAATAGAAGTTACACTTTATCAGGAAGACATCAAAATTATTGATGTGAATTTACCTAATAACAGAATCTCGAAATAACATAAGGCAAAAATTGGCAGAATTAAAAAAGAAATAGAGGCTGAGAGAACTGGTAGAGAAGCATAACTAGAGGAGACAGCAGTATCAAGTGTAAGAGATAGTATGGTCTGGCTACAGAAATAATATGAGAGATGATGAAATGTGAGTGAAAAAAATTGTAAATACTAAGTGGCAGATTAGAGACAAGATGGCCAACTAGACACAGCCAGGAGGAACATCTCCTACCGAGAGACTGGGACATTGGGAAGACTAGCACACTCAGAGCAGATCTTTACAGGGAAGGTATTGAGGGTGAACAGAGGGAGGAAACAGACACTGGGCTGAAGAAGAAGAAACGTGGGAGCACTGCACAGGGCTGCTGAGCACCAGGACTTGCCCTGGCTCCCAGTGACTCCTGGGGAAGGGATGAGTTGAACAGGCAAGGAGTGGCTTGTTTTCATCACAGACCTCTGGAATCCTAGCTGCAGGAGATCCCACAACCCCAACAGACACTTGAGCTGAAAGGGAGAGCTGCTCAAAGAAATGGTAGGAGCAGGAATCTAGCCTGTGAGGAGCCCAGAGGGTTTGGTGTGGGAACTTCTACACTGGAGCACAGCCAGGGATGCCTATCCCTCAAGGTTTGCTACACTTCTCTAGGTGGTTTTACCCTTTGGGTGACCATTGGACCTGGACAGACAAAGCAGGGCAATCTTGCTCATGGGACAGGGCCAGTTCAATCTGAGCACCGCTCTGTCTGCTGGCCTTTCCTGGGGCCCCAGCCTGGCCATGCCCACTTACAGTGCAGCCTCAGATGCTCAGCCAGGGTGCTTCCCAGAAGCTCCCATTATAGCTCCTTCACCAGCAGACTACTCCTAACTGTTGGAGAGTTCCAGAAAATCAGCCCCTGCCAACATGCACCAACCTACCTGCAGCCTCTTCCCACTACAGCCTCCAACTCTGCCAACATGCACTCACCCACAGCTGCCCCCCACTACTTTGCTGGCATGAGCACATTGGTGAACTTTGCCTCCCCTCTCCCACTGGTGCATATTATGTGCGTGCACTCTGCCACCAACCCCCGCCACACTGCTGGCACCCTATCTCCTTTGGCACCTCATCCCCACTGATACAGAGGCAGCCCACTGCACCACTGCTGCATGTGCAAGTGTATGCACAGATGCTGGCACTCCACATCCTTCCCCAGCTGATACACATGCATCCCACCATGCCATGGCAGCTACTGACATGGATCCCACTCCCACC